>NC_000008.11:143568246-143870324 GCF_000001405.40 Homo sapiens | reverse complement strand
ACAGCCCAGAGAGCCTCTCGGTGGATGAGGCCGTGCGCAGGGGTGTGGTGGGGCCGGAGCTGTATGGCAGGCTGAAGCGGGCTGAGGGTGCCATTGCTGGCTTCAGAGACCCCTTCTCTGGGAAGCAGGTGTCTGTGTTCCAGGCCATGAAGAAAGGTCTCATCCCTTGGGAGCAAGCTGCCCGCCTCCTGGAGGCTCAAGTGGCCACAGGAGGGATCATTGACCCCACCAGCCACCACCACCTCCCCATGCCAGTGGCCATTCAGCGTGGCTATGTTGACCAGGAGATGGAGACAGCCTTGTCCAGCTCCTCCGAAACCTTCCCCACACCGGACGGCCAGGGGCGCACGAGCTATGCCCAGCTCCTGGAGGAGTGCCCCAGGGATGAGACTTCTGGCCTTCACCTCCTGCCCCTGCCAGAAAGTGCTCCTGCCCTCCCCACCGAGGAGCAGGTCCAGAGGAGCCTGCAGGCCGTGCCGGGGGCCAAGGATGGCACATCCCTCTGGGACCTGCTCAGCTCCTGCCACTTCACCGAGGAGCAACGGAGGGGCCTGCTGGAGGACGTGCAGGAGGGGAGGACCACTGTGCCACAGCTGCTAGCCTCTGTGCAGAGGTGGGTACAGGAGACCAAGCTCCTGGCCCAGGCCCGCGTCATGGTGCCCGGCCCACGGGGTGAGGTACCCGCTGTCTGGCTGCTGGATGCTGGCATCATCACCCAGGAGACCCTTGAGGCCCTGGCTCAGGGCACGCAGTCGCCCGCCCAGGTCGCCGAGCAGCCGGCGGTGAAGGCCTGCCTGTGGGGCACAGGCTGCGTGGCCGGTGTGCTGCTACAGCCCTCTGGGGCCAAGGCCAGCATCGCCCAGGCCGTGAGGGATGGCCTCCTGCCCACAGGCCTGGGCCAGAGGCTGCTGGAAGCCCAGGTGGCATCTGGCTTCCTTGTTGACCCCCTGAACAACCAGAGACTGTCAGTGGAGGACGCGGTTAAGGTCGGCCTGGTGGGCAGGGAGCTGAGTGAGCAGCTCGGGCAGGCCGAGAGGGCGGCGGCCGGGTACCCAGATCCCTACTCTAGGGCCTCCCTCTCTCTGTGGCAGGCCATGGAGAAGGGGCTCGTGCCACAGAACGAGGGCTTGCCCCTCCTGCAGGTGCAGCTGGCCACAGGGGGTGTGGTGGACCCTGTCCACGGGGTGCACCTGCCCCAGGCGGCAGCCTGCAGACTCGGCCTTCTGGACACACAGACGAGCCAGGTGCTGACTGCAGTTGACAAGGACAACAAGTTCTTCTTTGACCCCAGTGCGCGGGACCAGGTGACCTACCAGCAGCTCAGGGAGCGCTGCGTGTGCGACTCCGAGACCGGATTGTTGCTGTTGCCACTGCCCTCAGACACAGTGCTTGAGGTGGACGACCACACCGCGGTGGCTCTGAGGGCCATGAAGGTGCCCGTCAGCACAGGGAGGTTTAAGGGGTGTAGCGTGTCACTCTGGGACCTGCTGCTCTCCGAATACGTTGGCGCTGACAAGCGGCGGGAGCTGGTGGCACTCTGTCGGTCTGGGAGGGCTGCGGCCCTGCGGCAGGTGGTCAGCGCAGTCACCACCCTGGTCGAGGCTGCAGAGAGGCAGCCCCTGCAGGCCACCTTCAGAGGGCTCCGGAAGCAGGTGTCAGCCAGGGACCTGTTCAGGGCGCAGCTGATCAGCAGGAAGACGCTGGACGAGCTGAGCCAGGGGACAACGACTGTGAAGGAGGTGGCGGAGATGGACAGCGTGAAGCGGTCCCTGGAGGGAGGCAACTTCATTGCCGGGGTCCTTATCCAGGGCACCCAGGAGAGGATGAGCATCCCAGAGGCCCTGAGGAGGCACATCCTGCGGCCTGGCACAGCCCTGGTGCTGCTGGAGGCACAGGCAGCTACCGGCTTCATCATCGACCCCGTGGAGAACCGGAAGCTGACCGTGGAGGAGGCGTTCAAAGCAGGAATGTTCGGGAAAGAAACCTACGTGAAGCTGCTGTCGGCCGAGCGCGCCGTCACCGGCTACACCGACCCCTATACCGGGCAGCAGATCTCCCTCTTCCAGGCCATGCAGAAGGACCTCATCGTCCGGGAGCACGGCATCCGCCTGCTGGAGGCCCAGATCGCCACGGGCGGCATCATCGACCCCGTGCACAGCCACCGCGTGCCCGTGGACGTGGCCTACCGCTGCGGCTACTTCGACGAGGAGATGAACCGCATCCTGGCGGACCCCAGCGACGACACCAAGGGCTTCTTCGACCCCAACACGCACGAGAACCTCACGTACCTGCAGCTTCTGGAGCGCTGTGTGGAGGACCCCGAGACGGGCCTGTACCTGCTACAAATCATAAAGAAAGGAGAAAACTACGTGTACATCAATGAGGCCACGAGACACGTGTTGCAATCCAGAACTGCAAAAATGCGCGTGGGGAGGTTTGCTGACCAGGTGGTCTCTTTCTGGGACCTGCTGTCCTCTCCATACTTCACAGAGGACAGGAAGCGGGAGCTCATCCAGGAGTATGGAGCCCAGAGTGGGGGCCTGGAGAAATTGCTGGAAATCATCACCACGACAATTGAAGAAACAGAGACGCAAAACCAAGGCATCAAAGTGGCGGCCATCAGAGGGGAGGTGACAGCTGCAGACCTGTTCAACTCCAGGGTCATCGATCAGAAGACCCTGCACACACTTCGTGTGGGGAGGACTGGGGGACAGGCACTCAGCACGCTGGAGTGTGTGAAGCCCTATCTGGAAGGCAGCGGCTGCATTGCGGGGGTCACGGTGCCCTCCACCAGGGAGGTCATGAGCCTCCATGAGGCCAGCAGGAAGGAGCTCATCCCTGCAGCATTTGCGACTTGGCTGCTGGAGGCGCAGGCCGCCACCGGGTTCCTCCTGGACCCCTGCACCCGCCAGAAGCTCTCTGTGGATGAGGCTGTGGATGTGGGCCTGGTGAACGAGGAGCTGCGGGAGAGGCTCCTGAAGGCTGAAAGAGCTGCCACGGGCTACAGGGATCCGGCCACAGGAGACACGATCCCGCTGTTCCAGGCCATGCAGAAGCAGCTCATCGAGAAGGCGGAGGCACTGAGGCTGCTGGAGGTGCAGGTGGCCACGGGGGGTGTCATCGACCCACAGCACCACCACCGGCTCCCACTGGAAACAGCCTACAGACGGGGCTGTCTGCACAAGGACATCTATGCGCTCATTTCCGACCAGAAGCACATGAGGAAACGGTTTGTGGACCCGAACACGCAAGAGAAGGTCTCGTACCGAGAGCTGCAGGAGAGGTGCCGCCCACAAGAGGACACGGGCTGGCTGCTGTTCCCAGTGAACAAGGCTGCACGGGACTCCGAGCACATCGATGACGAGACGAGAAGGGCCCTGGAGGCAGAGCAAGTGGAAATCACAGTGGGAAGGTTCAGAGGCCAGAAACCAACACTGTGGGCACTACTGAATTCCGAATACGTGACAGAGGAGAAGAAGCTCCAGCTGGTGAGGATGTATAGAACACACACCAGACGGGCACTGCAGACGGTAGCGCAGCTCATCTTAGAGTTGATCGAGAAGCAGGAAACCAGCAACAAACACCTGTGGTTCCAAGGAATTAGACGACAGATCACAGCTTCTGAACTCCTCAGCTCAGCCATAATCACGGAGGAAATGCTCCAGGACCTGGAAACGGGACGGAGCACGACGCAAGAGCTCATGGAGGACGACCGCGTCAAGCGCTACCTGGAGGGCACCAGCTGCATCGCGGGCGTCCTGGTGCCCGCCAAGGACCAGCCCGGCCGCCAGGAGAAGATGAGCATCTACCAGGCCATGTGGAAGGGCGTGCTGCGGCCCGGCACGGCCCTGGTGCTGCTGGAGGCGCAGGCGGCCACCGGCTTCGTCATCGACCCCGTGCGCAACCTGAGGCTGTCGGTGGAGGAGGCCGTGGCCGCGGGCGTGGTGGGCGGCGAGATCCAGGAGAAGCTGCTGTCGGCCGAGCGCGCCGTCACCGGCTACACCGACCCCTACACCGGGCAGCAGATCTCCCTCTTCCAGGCCATGCAGAAGGACCTCATCGTCCGGGAGCACGGCATCCGCCTGCTGGAGGCCCAGATCGCCACGGGCGGCGTCATCGACCCCGTGCACAGCCACCGCGTGCCCGTGGACGTGGCCTACCGGCGCGGCTACTTCGACGAGGAGATGAACCGTGTCCTGGCCGACCCCAGCGACGACACCAAGGGCTTCTTCGACCCCAACACGCACGAGAACCTCACGTACGTGCAGCTGCTGCGCCGCTGCGTGCCCGACCCGGACACCGGGCTCTACATGCTGCAGCTGGCAGGCCGGGGCTCCGCCGTGCACCAGCTGAGCGAGGAGCTGCGCTGTGCCCTGCGCGACGCCCGCGTGACGCCAGGCTCGGGCGCCCTCCAGGGCCAGAGCGTCTCCGTCTGGGAGCTCCTCTTCTACCGCGAGGTGTCCGAGGACCGGCGCCAGGACCTGCTGAGCAGATACCGGGCGGGCACGCTGACCGTGGAGGAGCTGGGCGCCACCCTCACCTCGCTGCTGGCCCAGGCCCAGGCCCAGGCCCGGGCCGAGGCCGAGGCCGGGAGCCCGCGCCCAGACCCCCGGGAGGCCCTGCGTGCGGCCACCATGGAGGTCAAGGTGGGCCGCCTCCGGGGGCGCGCGGTGCCCGTGTGGGACGTGCTGGCGTCCGGCTACGTGAGCAGGGCCGCCCGGGAGGAGCTGCTGGCCGAGTTTGGCTCGGGGACCCTGGACTTGCCCGCGCTGACCCGCCGGCTGACCGCCATCATCGAGGAGGCCGAGGAGGCCCCCGGGGCCCGGCCGCAGCTCCAGGACGCCTGGCGCGGCCCGCGGGAGCCAGGGCCAGCCGGGCGAGGGGACGGCGACTCGGGGCGCTCCCAGCGAGAGGGCCAGGGGGAGGGCGAGACCCAGGAGGCCGCCGCCGCCGCCGCCGCCGCCGCCGCCCGCCGCCAGGAGCAGACCCTGCGTGATGCCACCATGGAGGTGCAGCGCGGGCAGTTCCAGGGGCGGCCGGTCTCCGTGTGGGACGTCCTCTTCTCCTCGTACCTGAGCGAGGCCCGCCGAGACGAGCTCCTGGCCCAGCACGCGGCCGGCGCCCTGGGCCTGCCCGACCTCGTCGCCGTCCTCACCCGGGTCATCGAGGAGACCGAGGAGCGGCTCAGCAAGGTGTCCTTCCGCGGCCTGAGGCGCCAGGTGTCCGCCTCCGAGCTGCACACGTCCGGGATCCTGGGCCCCGAGACCCTGCGGGACCTGGCCCAGGGCACTAAGACGCTGCAGGAGGTGACGGAGATGGACTCGGTCAAGCGCTACCTGGAGGGCACCAGCTGCATCGCGGGCGTCCTGGTGCCCGCCAAGGACCAGCCCGGCCGCCAGGAGAAGATGAGCATCTACCAGGCCATGTGGAAGGGCGTGCTGCGGCCCGGCACGGCCCTGGTGCTGCTGGAGGCGCAGGCGGCCACCGGCTTCGTCATCGACCCCGTGCGCAACCTGAGGCTGTCGGTGGAGGAGGCCGTGGCCGCGGGCGTGGTGGGCGGCGAGATCCAGGAGAAGCTGCTGTCGGCCGAGCGCGCCGTCACCGGCTACACCGACCCCTACACCGGGCAGCAGATCTCCCTCTTCCAGGCCATGCAGAAGGACCTCATCGTCCGGGAGCACGGCATCCGCCTGCTGGAGGCCCAGATCGCCACGGGCGGCGTCATCGACCCCGTGCACAGCCACCGCGTGCCCGTGGACGTGGCCTACCAGCGCGGCTACTTCGACGAGGAGATGAACCGTGTCCTGGCCGACCCCAGCGACGACACCAAGGGCTTCTTCGACCCCAACACGCACGAGAACCTCACGTACGTGCAGCTGCTGCGCCGCTGCGTGCCCGACCCGGACACCGGGCTCTACATGCTGCAGCTGGCAGGCCGGGGCTCCGCCGTGCACCAGCTGAGCGAGGAGCTGCGCTGTGCCCTGCGCGACGCCCGCGTGACGCCAGGCTCGGGCGCCCTCCAGGGCCAGAGCGTCTCCGTCTGGGAGCTCCTCTTCTACCGCGAGGTGTCCGAGGACCGGCGCCAGGACCTGCTGAGCAGATACCGGGCGGGCACGCTGACCGTGGAAGAGCTGGGCGCCACCCTCACCTCGCTGCTGGCCCAGGCCCAGGCCCAGGCCCGGGCCGAGGCCGAGGCCGGGAGCCCGCGCCCAGACCCCCGGGAGGCCCTGCGTGCGGCCACCATGGAGGTCAAGGTGGGCCGCCTCCGGGGGCGCGCGGTGCCCGTGTGGGACGTGCTGGCGTCCGGCTACGTGAGCAGGGCCGCCCGGGAGGAGCTGCTGGCCGAGTTTGGCTCGGGGACCCTGGACTTGCCCGCGCTGACCCGCCGGCTGACCGCCATCATCGAGGAGGCCGAGGAGGCCCCCGGGGCCCGGCCGCAGCTCCAGGACGCCTGGCGCGGCCCGCGGGAGCCAGGGCCAGCCGGGCGAGGGGACGGCGACTCGGGGCGCTCCCAGCGAGAGGGCCAGGGGGAGGGCGAGACCCAGGAGGCCGCCGCCGCCGCCCGCCGCCAGGAGCAGACCCTGCGTGATGCCACCATGGAGGTGCAGCGCGGGCAGTTCCAGGGGCGGCCGGTCTCCGTGTGGGACGTCCTCTTCTCCTCGTACCTGAGCGAGGCCCGCCGAGACGAGCTCCTGGCCCAGCACGCGGCCGGCGCCCTGGGCCTGCCCGACCTCGTCGCCGTCCTCACCCGGGTCATCGAGGAGACGGAGGAGCGGCTCAGCAAGGTGTCCTTCCGCGGCCTGAGGTGCCAGGTGTCCGCCTCCGAGCTGCACACGTCCGGGATCCTGGGCCCCGAGACCCTGCGGGACCTGGCCCAGGGCACTAAGACGCTGCAGGAGGTGACGGAGATGGACTCGGTCAAGCGCTACCTGGAGGGCACCAGCTGCATCGCGGGCGTCCTGGTGCCCGCCAAGGACCAGCCCGGCCGCCAGGAGAAGATGAGCATCTACCAGGCCATGTGGAAGGGCGTGCTGCGGCCCGGCACGGCCCTGGTGCTGCTGGAGGCGCAGGCGGCCACCGGCTTCGTCATCGACCCCGTGCGCAACCTGAGGCTGTCGGTGGAGGAGGCCGTGGCCGCGGGCGTGGTGGGCGGCGAGATCCAGGAGAAGCTGCTGTCGGCCGAGCGCGCCGTCACCGGCTACACCGACCCCTACACCGGGCAGCAGATCTCCCTCTTCCAGGCCATGCAGAAGGACCTCATCGTCCGGGAGCACGGCATCCGCCTGCTGGAGGCCCAGATCGCCACGGGCGGCGTCATCGACCCCGTGCACAGCCACCGCGTGCCCGTGGACGTGGCCTACCGGCGCGGCTACTTCGACGAGGAGATGAACCGTGTCCTGGCCGACCCCAGCGACGACACCAAGGGCTTCTTCGACCCCAACACGCACGAGAACCTCACGTACGTGCAGCTGCTGCGCCGCTGCGTGCCCGACCCGGACACCGGGCTCTACATGCTGCAGCTGGCAGGCCGGGGCTCCGCCGTGCACCAGCTGAGCGAGGAGCTGCGCTGTGCCCTGCGCGACGCCCGCGTGACGCCAGGCTCGGGCGCCCTCCAGGGCCAGAGCGTCTCCGTCTGGGAGCTCCTCTTCTACCGCGAGGTGTCCGAGGACCGGCGCCAGGACCTGCTGAGCAGATACCGGGCGGGCACGCTGACCGTGGAGGAGCTGGGCGCCACCCTCACCTCGCTGCTGGCCCAGGCCCAGGCCCAGGCCCGGGCCGAGGCCGAGGCCGGGAGCCCGCGCCCAGACCCCCGGGAGGCCCTGCGTGCGGCCACCATGGAGGTCAAGGTGGGCCGCCTCCGGGGGCGCGCGGTGCCCGTGTGGGACGTGCTGGCGTCCGGCTACGTGAGCAGGGCCGCCCGGGAGGAGCTGCTGGCCGAGTTTGGCTCGGGGACCCTGGACTTGCCCGCGCTGACCCGCCGGCTGACCGCCATCATCGAGGAGGCCGAGGAGGCCCCCGGGGCCCGGCCGCAGCTCCAGGACGCCTGGCGCGGCCCGCGGGAGCCAGGGCCAGCCGGGCGAGGGGACGGCGACTCGGGGCGCTCCCAGCGAGAGGGCCAGGGGGAGGGCGAGACCCAGGAGGCCGCCGCCGCCACCGCCGCCGCCCGCCGCCAGGAGCAGACCCTGCGTGATGCCACCATGGAGGTGCAGCGCGGGCAGTTCCAGGGGCGGCCGGTCTCCGTGTGGGACGTCCTCTTCTCCTCGTACCTGAGCGAGGCCCGCCGAGACGAGCTCCTGGCCCAGCACGCGGCCGGCGCCCTGGGCCTGCCCGACCTCGTCGCCGTCCTCACCCGGGTCATCGAGGAGACGGAGGAGCGGCTCAGCAAGGTGTCCTTCCGCGGCCTGAGGCGCCAGGTGTCCGCCTCCGAGCTGCACACGTCCGGGATCCTGGGCCCCGAGACCCTGCGGGACCTGGCCCAGGGCACTAAGACGCTGCAGGAGGTGACGGAGATGGACTCGGTCAAGCGCTACCTGGAGGGCACCAGCTGCATCGCGGGCGTCCTGGTGCCCGCCAAGGACCAGCCCGGCCGCCAGGAGAAGATGAGCATCTACCAGGCCATGTGGAAGGGCGTGCTGCGGCCCGGCACGGCCCTGGTGCTGCTGGAGGCGCAGGCGGCCACCGGCTTCGTCATCGACCCCGTGCGCAACCTGAGGCTGTCGGTGGAGGAGGCCGTGGCCGCGGGCGTGGTGGGCGGCGAGATCCAGGAGAAGCTGCTGTCGGCCGAGCGCGCCGTCACCGGCTACACCGACCCCTACACCGGGCAGCAGATCTCCCTCTTCCAGGCCATGCAGAAGGACCTCATCGTCCGGGAGCACGGCATCCGCCTGCTGGAGGCCCAGATCGCCACGGGCGGCGTCATCGACCCCGTGCACAGCCACCGCGTGCCCGTGGACGTGGCCTACCGGCGCGGCTACTTCGACGAGGAGATGAACCGTGTCCTGGCCGACCCCAGCGACGACACCAAGGGCTTCTTCGACCCCAACACGCACGAGAACCTCACGTACGTGCAGCTGCTGCGCCGCTGCGTGCCCGACCCGGACACCGGGCTCTACATGCTGCAGCTGGCAGGCCGGGGCTCCGCCGTGCACCAGCTGAGCGAGGAGCTGCGCTGTGCCCTGCGCGACGCCCGCGTGACGCCAGGCTCGGGCGCCCTCCAGGGCCAGAGCGTCTCCGTCTGGGAGCTCCTCTTCTACCGCGAGGTGTCCGAGGACCGGCGCCAGGACCTGCTGAGCAGATACCGGGCGGGCACGCTGACCGTGGAGGAGCTGGGCGCCACCCTCACCTCGCTGCTGGCCCAGGCCCAGGCCCAGGCCCGGGCCGAGGCCGAGGCCGGGAGCCCGCGCCCAGACCCCCGGGAGGCCCTGCGTGCGGCCACCATGGAGGTCAAGGTGGGCCGCCTCCGGGGGCGCGCGGTGCCCGTGTGGGACGTGCTGGCGTCCGGCTACGTGAGCAGGGCCGCCCGGGAGGAGCTGCTGGCCGAGTTTGGCTCGGGGACCCTGGACTTGCCCGCGCTGACCCGCCGGCTGACCGCCATCATCGAGGAGGCCGAGGAGGCCCCCGGGGCCCGGCCGCAGCTCCAGGACGCCTGGCGCGGCCCGCGGGAGCCAGGGCCAGCCGGGCGAGGGGACGGCGACTCGGGGCGCTCCCAGCGAGAGGGCCAGGGGGAGGGCGAGACCCAGGAGGCCGCCGCCGCCACCGCCGCCGCCCGCCGCCAGGAGCAGACCCTGCGTGATGCCACCATGGAGGTGCAGCGCGGGCAGTTCCAGGGGCGGCCGGTCTCCGTGTGGGACGTCCTCTTCTCCTCGTACCTGAGCGAGGCCCGCCGAGACGAGCTCCTGGCCCAGCACGCGGCCGGCGCCCTGGGCCTGCCCGACCTCGTCGCCGTCCTCACCCGGGTCATCGAGGAGACGGAGGAGCGGCTCAGCAAGGTGTCCTTCCGCGGCCTGAGGCGCCAGGTGTCCGCCTCCGAGCTGCACACGTCCGGGATCCTGGGCCCCGAGACCCTGCGGGACCTGGCCCAGGGCACTAAGACGCTGCAGGAGGTGACGGAGATGGACTCGGTCAAGCGCTACCTGGAGGGCACCAGCTGCATCGCGGGCGTCCTGGTGCCCGCCAAGGACCAGCCCGGCCACCAGGAGAAGATGAGCATCTACCAGGCCATGTGGAAGGGCGTGCTGCGGCCCGGCACGGCCCTGGTGCTGCTGGAGGCGCAGGCGGCCACCGGCTTCGTCATCGACCCCGTGCGCAACCTGAGGCTGTCGGTGGAGGAGGCCGTGGCCGCGGGCGTGGTGGGCGGCGAGATCCAGGAGAAGCTGCTGTCGGCCGAGCGCGCCGTCACCGGCTACACCGACCCCTACACCGGGCAGCAGATCTCCCTCTTCCAGGCCATGCAGAAGGACCTCATCGTCCGGGAGCACGGCATCCGCCTGCTGGAGGCCCAGATCGCCACGGGCGGCGTCATCGACCCCGTGCACAGCCACCGCGTGCCCGTGGACGTGGCCTACCGGCGCGGCTACTTCGACGAGGAGATGAACCGTGTCCTGGCCCACCCCAGCGACGACACCAAGGGCTTCTTCGACCCCAACACGCACGAGAACCTCACGTACGTGCAGCTGCTGCGCCGCTGCGTGCCCGACCCGGACACCGGGCTCTACATGCTGCAGCTGGCAGGCCGGGGCTCCGCCGTGCACCAGCTGAGCGAGGAGCTGCGCTGTGCCCTGCGCGACGCCCGCGTGATGCCAGGCTCGGGCGCCCTCCAGGGCCAGAGCGTCTCCGTCTGGGAGCTCCTCTTCTACCGCGAGGTGTCCGAGGACCGGCGCCAGGACCTGCTGAGCAGATACCGGGCGGGCACGCTGACCGTGGAGGAGCTGGGCGCCACCCTCACCTCGCTGCTGGCCCAGGCCCAGGCCCAGGCCCGGGCCGAGGCCGAGGCCGAGGCCGGGAGCCCGCGCCCAGACCCCCGGGAGGCCCTGCGTGCGGCCACCATGGAGGTCAAGGTGGGCCGCCTCCGGGGGCGCGCGGTGCCCGTGTGGGACGTGCTGGCGTCCGGCTACGTGAGCGGGGCCGCCCGGGAGGAGCTGCTGGCCGAGTTTGGCTCGGGGACCCTGGACTTGCCCGCGCTGACCCGCCGGCTGACCGCCATCATCGAGGAGGCCGAGGAGGCCCCCGGGGCCCGGCCGCAGCTCCAGGACGCCTGGCGCGGCCCGCGGGAGCCAGGGCCAGCCGGGCGAGGGGACGGCGACTCGGGGCGCTCCCAGCGAGAGGGCCAGGGGGAGGGCGAGACCCAGGAGGCCGCCGCCGCCGCCCGCCGCCAGGAGCAGACCCTGCGTGATGCCACCATGGAGGTGCAGCGCGGGCAGTTCCAGGGGCGGCCGGTCTCCGTGTGGGACGTCCTCTTCTCCTCGTACCTGAGCGAGGCCCACCGAGACGAGCTCCTGGCCCAGCACGCGGCCGGCGCCCTGGGCCTGCCCGACCTCGTCGCCGTCCTCACCCGGGTCATCGAGGAGACGGAGGAGCGGCTCAGCAAGGTGTCCTTCCGCGGCCTGAGGCGCCAGGTGTCCGCCTCCGAGCTGCACACGTCCGGGATCCTGGGCCCCGAGACCCTGCGGGACCTGGCCCAGGGCACTAAGACGCTGCAGGAGGTGACGGAGATGGACTCGGTCAAGCGCTACCTGGAGGGCACCAGCTGCATCGCGGGCGTCCTGGTGCCCGCCAAGGACCAGCCCGGCCGCCAGGAGAAGATGAGCATCTACCAGGCCATGTGGAAGGGCGTGCTGCGGCCCGGCACGGCCCTGGTGCTGCTGGAGGCGCAGGCGGCCACCGGCTTCGTCATCGACCCCGTGCGCAACCTGAGGCTGTCGGTGGAGGAGGCCGTGGCCGCGGGCGTGGTGGGCGGCGAGATCCAGGAGAAGCTGCTGTCGGCCGAGCGCGCCGTCACCGGCTACACCGACCCCTACACCGGGCAGCAGATCTCCCTCTTCCAGGCCATGCAGAAGGACCTCATCGTCCGGGAGCACGGCATCCGCCTGCTGGAGGCCCAGATCGCCACGGGCGGCGTCATCGACCCCGTGCACAGCCACCGCGTGCCCGTGGACGTGGCCTACCGGCGCGGCTACTTCGACGAGGAGATGAACCGCGTCCTGGCCGACCCCAGCGACGACACCAAGGGCTTCTTCGACCCCAACACGCACGAGAACCTCACGTACCTGCAGCTTCTGCAGAGGGCCACCCTGGACCCTGAGACGGGGCTCCTATTTCTTTCTCTCTCTCTACAGTGACTGGGCTTCCTCCGTGCAGTTTTCTGCAACTCTGGAGAAGTGGAGGCATACTTGTGTGTCTGGGTTGTTTTTTTTTTTTTTTTTTTTTTTGTCATTCTTTAATTTTGTTGTTTTACCCATTCGTTATCTGTGGAAAACGTTTTAAGTTGTCATGTGACAGAAACTTTTCCTTTGTCCATCGAGGTGTTTCATAAGTTTTTTGGTGTGTTTTCTGGGTCGTCTATGTGTCATATGGTTTTACTTTTCTCTCCTTTTTCGTTTTCAGAACATTTTTCTGTCTGTTTTGGATTCACTGCTTCCATTTTACAGAATGTCACTCTTTAGACTCTCAGTCCATCATGCCATCGGGTACTCTTGTTGCAGTGTAATTTTTATTACATGCGGTTATTTCCCTAACGATGTGCTATTCACGTTCATCTTCAAACTCATTTTCCATCAGCCAGTGTCTACTATTTAGTGCCCTGGCTCTATTTCGGTCCTCCTCCCCGGGCTTTCCCTGGCTGCTGTGCTGGCCAAAAGCATGGGCTTTATTCTCTCCATTGGCTGCTGCTCCACCTTAGAGGTGTGACCTCACTAGCGTTGACTGAGCGAGTCTGTTGTGGAGAAGAACTTTTTGTAGTAATTTACTAGGAAAAATTCTGAACAAGTAAAATATGAAGGAAACTCTTGTTTTTGATTTCAGGTTTTTGAAGGTTCAATCACTAATCTTTATGCCCTTAATATACAGATAGTAGATTAAACAAGGGAAGCAAGCCGTCCAAAATCCAGGGTTCCTAGAGCCGTATCTCAGAATTTTATGCACACAGGTTGCAGTTAAGTCTTGCTCAAAGTTTTCTGGGAGAACCAAGAACTTTCATTGTTAATGGAAGTGTGGCAATTGGAGCAGGTGACAAAGAACAAGCCCTTTCGAGTCCCCCCTTCATTCACTCCACACATGGGTTGCCTTTGGCGTCTGGGCCACTTGGTCTCCAATGGTAGCAGAACACAGCAAGAATCCATGTGTTCTGCCTGGTGGCTGTGTGTGGTTGGCCTCCTGGGGGCCTGCGGGCTGGGCATGGACGCCGTGGAGGACACTCCCTGTGCTAGACTGGCTGGAGCGAGGGCAGATAGAGTGGACAGGGCTTGGACATTCTGGATGAAGAGCCAGTGGCCTCAGGGCAGAAATGACACCAGGGTAACTCATCAAAATGTGCCTCCCAGGCTCTAGAAAATCCCTGGTAGGGTCTGTGTGGCCTTTGCAGGAGCATCTGGCCCATCTGGAGGTGGGTTTGAGGGGACGGGGCCACAAGGAAATGGAAACAGTAGTGGGGTTCACATGTGCGAACATTCACAGATGCCAAAGTAGGCACTCGGCACAATCCGCTTAATAGCTCTCATCCAGACCACGTGCAACCAATGATGAAGGCTAGGATGGGGGATGCGGTCAGGGCACTAGCCTTGAAAAGGGGGACAGGGAGAACCTTCAAAAACAAGTGGAGGAAAGGCATCAGCAGGGTGCTTTCAACCACATTCTTCCTGTTGTTCTTGAGGAAGTCCTGTGTGTGTGCCCGATGCCTGTGTTGCGGAAGTTCTCACTGTGAACTTTACAGCAATGCTGAAGCAGGAATTAGCATGCCTGATTAGTGGTGATGGGACCCACGTCTTTCTATCCTTTTACCTTTACCTTGTCTTTGTCATTGTATTTGCAGTGAGCCTCCTTAGGCAGCATATTAATGGGTGGGGTTATCTTTATCCAATTTCACAATTTCTATGTTTGAATTGGCACATTTATACCGTTACATTTTATGTAATTATGTGTTTGGACTTATTCTTTGTTTCCTTTCCCTCCTCTGTTTTTTGTTCATTTCCCCTCCCTTAGCTACCTTCTTTTGGATTATTGGAATATTTTTTAGTGTTCCATTTAAATTTACTGGCTTTGGGCCATTGTTTTCTAATTTTTTATTGGTCGCCCTGGAGATTACAGTATACTTAGGATTTTTGACAGTCTTCTTAGAGTCTCCGCTCTGCCACTTCATGTGAGGTGTGGTCTCTTCCTCCACATCCCCCACCCCCCATTCTATCTTTGTCATGTTATCAGATTTACATGCATTGAAAATCCTACCAGGTAATGTGGCAATTTTGTTTTCAACAGTATAGATTTTTTTTTTCTTTTTGGAGATAGAGCCTTGCTCTGCCACCCAGGCTGGAGTGCAGTGGTGCAATCTTGGCTCATTGCAACCTCCGCCTCCCTCCCAGGTTCAAGCGATTTTCGTGCCTCAGCTTGCCAAGCAGCTGGGACTACAGGTGCGCACCACCATGCCCGGCTTTTTTGTGTTTTAGTCTCTACTCAGTGGTGTTTCATCATGTTTCCCAGGCTGGTCTCAAACTCCTGAGCTCAGGCAATCTGCCCACCTTGGCCTCCCAAAGTGCTGGGATTATAGGCGTGAGCCACCGCACCCAGCCTCAGCAGTAATAGATACATAGATATAGATATAGATAGATATGTAGATGTATAGATATATAGATAAATAGATATATAGATATAGATATATAGATATAGATATATAGATATAGATATATAGATATAGATATATAGATATACAGATGTATTTTTTTGAGACGGAGTCTCGCTCTGTCACCCAGGCTGGAGTGCAGTGGCACGATCTCAGCTCACTGCAAGCTCAGCTTCCTGGGTTCACGCCATTCTCCTGCCTCAGCCTCCCGAGTAGCTGGGACTACAGGCACCTGCCACCATGCCCGGCTAATTTTTTGTATTTTTAGTAGACACGGGGTTTCACCATGTTAGCCAGGATGGTCTCGATCTCCTGACCTCGTGATCCGCCCGCCTCAGCCTCCCAAAGTGCTAGGGTTACAGGCGTGAGCTACCAGATATTTTTAATGATTTAAAAAGTGAAAACAGCATATTATGGTTCTCTAAATATATACCATTTCCATTGCTCTTTCTGCATTCCTGAAGTTCCAGGTTCCCTCTGGTATCATTCCCTTCAGGCTAAATACCTTTCTTTAGCATTTTCTTTTAAAGTTGGCAGGTGAAGCACTTTGGGAGGCCAAGGCGGGCAGATCACTTGAGGTCAGGAGTTCAAGACCAGTATGGCCAACATGGTAAGACCCTGTCTCTACTAAAAATACAAAAATTAGCTGGGCGTGATGTTGCTTATAATCACGGGAGGATGAGGTGGGAGAATCACTCGAACCCAAGAAGTGGAGGTTGCAGTGAGCCAAGATCACACCATTGCACTCCAGCCTGAGCAACAGAGTGAGTGTCCACCTTGGCTCGTGGGTGGGAACTCATGAGCGCCCACTCCAAGCTGTGTCCTCTCAAAAAAAGTAAATAAAGTCTGCTGGTGAGGAATTTTACACATATAAATACATAAAATATTTGATTTGAGTTTATCCCATCTGGAGTTGGCCAAACTTTTTGATTTTCATAAGTTTATATCTTTCACTAAATTAGAGAACTTTTCTGCCATTATTTCTTCAAAATAAATGTTTTATGTACTAATATCTTTCCATTCCCCTTCTGGAACTTCAAATACAAAAGTGATAGATGTTTTGATATTGTTTCACAGCTCTCTGAAGCTTTGTTCATTTTTTTAAAAAATCTTTTCTCCTGTTTTTCAGATTAGATAATTTCTATTGATCTCTTTGTAAGTTTACTGACTCCTTCCTCTGTAATCCCCCTTTTGCTATTGAGACACTCAGTAAGCCTTTTTTTTTTTTTTACTTTGAGACAGAGTCTCACTCTGTTGCCCAGGTTGGAGTGCAGTGGGGCGTGATCTCAGCTCACTGCGGAGTCCGCCTCCTGGGTTCAAGTGATTCTCATGCCTCAGCCTCCTGAATAGCTGGGACTACAGCTGTGTGCCACCATGCCTGGCTAATTTTTGTACTTTTAGTAGAGACAGGGTTTCTCCATGTTGCCCAGGCTGGTCTCAAACGCCTAGACTCAAGCGATCTGCCCGCCTCGGCCTGCCAAAGTGCTGGGGTTACAGGCATGAGCCACTGTGCCTGGCCAGCTTTTTTACTTCAGGTGATTTTTTACTTCAGGTAATATGTTTTTCACTTCTACCATTTCCACCTGCTGAGAACGTCTGTCTTTTCACTCATTCTTGGGGTGTCCACTCTTGCCGCGGGGAGCATCGGGCTGGAATTGCTGCTGTGAAATCTTTTCCTGGTCCCTCCAGCATCTGAGTCCTGGGGTTCTGCCAGCAACTGTCTGTCTTTTCCCCTGAGACCGGATCCAATTTCCAGTCCTTGGCATGTTGGGTAATTTGGGGTTGTATCCTGGATGTTTTAAATAATCAGATGCGAGGCTCTGAGCCCTGCGAGAACGCGCTTGAGAATGTTGGCATTTTCACTTTGGCGGGCACTCATCCCGGCTGGGTCAGGCCACAAGCCGTATCCCAGCCGCTGTGTGCAGTGGATCCGTGTTGGCTCAATTCTCAAGGCTGTTGCTGTGCGGCCTGTTCCCCACACGTGCTGCTCAGCTCAGGCAAGCACCGAGCTTGTGTTGTTTCATGCTCAGCGTGGAGGCCCCTCCTCCAGGTCGCTGCTCTGTGGGGTTCCCATACACTCAGGCTCCTAGGAGGAGTCCATTTAGAAAGCCAGGGTTTTTCTCAGAGTCTTAGTTCCTTGTGCTGTCATCCATTTCACACGACTTGGGCCCTGCTCGGGGCAACACAGCAAGAGAAAAGACAGGGAAAATAAGAGAGGGACCTTGCACACACACGCTCTGGACCACAGAGCCCTGTGCCCAGCTCCTCTGTCAATACAGGTGGAATCTCGTGCAGGATCGCAGGGGTCTGTGATGCCACCAAAGAGCAGGCCGGGACAGGGTTAGGAGAGAAAGGAGAGGGAAGTGGGGGTTTCTCCTACGCACTCTTATTTGCAGAGGGAAAGGCGGGTTTGTATTGGGGTTGTCGGTCTTTGCACCCACGGCACAGTTGTGAGACACCCCCATCCTCAGATCAAAGCCGCACATACAGCTGGGGAAAAACAAAACAAAACAAAACAAAAACAGTAAACCTCCATGCCAGTTGTTGGTAAGTTTTGAGTTTCCTCCCCAGCCAGCTGCTACTGTTAGCGTTTCACAGTCCTCCAGGAGTCGCTTTTTATATTCTGTCCAAAGGGAGAGAGGAGCTGTAGTGGCTGTGCTCCATCTCTGCCAGCCCAGAAGTTTCCAGAAGTGCTCTTCTGATTTTACAGGTGAAGAACCGGAGTCCTGGGGGTGTAACAAGCCCAGGTCCTCAAGGCAAGGGTGGGAACTCACGAGCGCCCAACTCCAAGCTGTGTCCTCGCCCCGCAAGCTTGTGCTGGTCACTGCTGCCCTGTGCCCCCCGGATAGAAACACTGCTGGAGGAGAAGCCTTTCTCAGAGCCCTGGGGAAGGGGATGGTCAGGCCACCTACACTCCTGGCCCTGCTCCACTGGCTGCACTGGAGTGGCATCTGGATGGACAGCAGCCGGCTGGAGACTGGGAGGAGGCCTGGGTGCAGGAGGCTGGGGCGCTGGGCAGCATGCGCCGCGGGGCAGCAGGACGCAGGGGCCTCCCAGCGGGACTCGCACGTGGCACTCTCTGGGGCAGGTGGTGACGGGAGGCAGACACACTCCAGGGGAGTCCCTCAGTCACCATGCTCCAGGTACTTGCGCCTCACGTTTAGAACCAGGGTAGATTTGGAGACTCCTGGGATCTTTTGACAAAATTTCTCTCCAATCTCTAAGTACAAAGGATGCTCCTACAAAGGGCCAGATGGCAAGTCCTGGGATGGAACCCCTGCCCTTGGTGCCACCACTGCTCTTTCATAACTGTGGGCTCTTCCGAAAGTGACTTCATGGCTCAGTGCCTCAGTTTCCCTTTTTGTAAAATGGTCATCATGGCTGGGCGCGGTGGCTCAGGCCTGTAATCCCAGCACTTTGGGGGGCCGAGGCGGGTGGATCATGAGGTCAGGAGTTCGAGACCAACCTGACCAACATGGTGAATCCCTGTCTCTACTAAAAATACAAAAATTAGCTGAGTGTGGTAGGTGCCTGTAATCCCAGCTACTCAGGAGGCTGAGGCAGGAGAATCACTTGAACCCGGTAGGCGGAGCTTGCAGTGAGCTGAGATCCCGCCACTGCACTCCAGACTGGGCGACAGAGTCTCTGTCTCAAAAAAAAGAAAAAAGAAAAAAAAAGGTCATCATAATAACACTTAACTCACTCAGCAGTTGTGAGTACAAATAAAATTCAAATCCTGGAAGTGTTTGAAAAACATCCACAAGAATGACAGAAAGGAGAAGCACACTGTTGTTTTTGTTAGTTTTAACATTCGTGTGGCTTTTTTCTTCCTATCCGAAAAAGAGATTTTCTCCCCGATCAGCCCAAGTCATCCTTCTAGTGGCAAGAAAATTAGGAATGTTATGGAAAGAATCCCAAAAGAAAAAACGAGTGAATATTCAGATTCACATTTTTCTTTTTTCTTTTTTTTTGTTTTTTTCTTTTTTGAGATGGGGTCTCGCTCTGTCACGCAGGTTGGAGTGCAGTGGTACAACAGCTCACTACAGCCTCGAACTCCTGGGCTCAAGCGATCCTTCCACCTTAGCCTCCCAAGTAGCTGGGACTACAGGTGTGTGCCACCATGCCCAGCTGATTTTTTTTTAAGGACTAGAAAGTCAAAGACAAATGCCCAGCAGATTTTGTAGAGCTGGGGTTTCGCCATGTTGCCTAGGCTGGTCTTGAACTCCTGAGCTCAAGCAATCCACCTGCCTCAGCCTCCCAAAGTGCTGGAATTACAGACATGAGCCGGCACGTCTGGCCTATATTCTGATTTATATTCAAAGTAGACTTTGCAGCAAGACAATAGGCTTGGAAGACAGGTTAGTGACGCAGTTCATGATGGGGTTCACAAAGGGGCTGGTGCTGAGGTTCGAGATGGCATTTGTGATAGGATTGGTGATGGGTTCATGATGGGGTTCGTGATGGGGGTGGTGATGGGTTACCCTGGGGACAGTGAGAAGGAAAGGCAGAGACAGAGGAGCTCAGATGCCTGGCTTGTCTTCCCTTGACTCCCTCCAGTGCTGGTGGGGGTTGTTTCAAAAACATCTGGACAGGCCAGGCATGGTGGCTCACATCTGCAATCGCAGCACTTTGGGAGGCCGAGGCGGGTAGATCACTTGAGCTCAGGAGTTTGAGACCAGCCTGACTGACATCCAACATGGTGAAACCCTGTCTCTACTAAAAAAAAAAAAAAAAAAAAATTAGCCAGGCATAGTGGCAGGCACCTGTAATCCCAGCTACTCAAGAGGCTGAGGCAGGAGAATCACTTGAATGTGGAGGCAGAGGTTGCAGTGTGTGGGGAAAAGCAAGAGAGATCAGATTGTCACTGTGTCTGTGTAGAAAGAAGTAGACATGGGAGACTCCATTTTGTTCTGTACTAAGAAAAATTCTTCTGCCTTGAGATGCTGTGACCTTACCCCAAACCCATGCTCTCTGAAACATGCGCTGTGTCAAACTCAGGGTTAAATGGATCAAGGGCGGTGCAAGATGTGCTTTGTTAAACAGATGCTTGAAGGCAGCATGCTCCTTAAGAGTCATCACCACTCCCTAATCTCAAGTACCCAGGGACACAAACACTGCGGAAGGCCGCAGGGACCTCTGCCTAGGAAAGCCAGGTATTGTCCAAGGTTTCTCCCCATGTGACAGTCTGAAATATGGCCTCGTGGGAAGGGAAAGACCTGACCGTCCCCCAGCCCGACACCCGTAAAGGGTCTGTGCTGAGGAGGATTAGTAAAAGAGGAAGGAATGCCTCTTGCAGTTGAGACAAGAGGAAGGCATCTGTCTCCTGCCCGTCCCTGGGCAATGGAATGTCTCGGTATAAAACCTGATTGTACGTTCCATCTACTGAGATAGGGAAAAACCGCCTTAGGGCTGGAGGTGGGACCTGCGGGCAGCAATACTGCTTTGTAAAGCATTGAGATGTTTATGTGTATGCATATCTAAAAGCACAGCACTTAATCCTTTACCTTGTCTATGATGCAGAGACCTTTGTTCACGTGTTTGTCTGCTGACCCTCTCCCCACTATTGTCTTGTGACCCTGACACATCCCCCTCTCAGAGAAACACCCACGAATGATGAATAAATACTAAGGGAACTCAGAGGCTGGTGGGATCCTCCATATGCTGAACGCTGGTTCCCCGGGTCCCCTTATTTCTTTCTCTATACTTTGTGTCTTTTTCTTTTCCAAGTCTCTCGTTCCACCTAACGAGAAACACCCACAGGTGTGGAGGGGCAACCCACCCCTTCAGCAGTGAGCCGAGATCGCACCACTGCATTCCAGCCTGGGCAACGAGAGCAAAACTCCATCTCTAAAAATAAAAAGACATCCTGGTCGGGTGTGGTGGCTCACGCCTGTAATCCCAGCACTTTGGGAGGCCGAGGAGGGTGGATCATGAGGTCAGGAGATCGAGACCATCCTGGCTAACACGGTGAAACCCCGTCTCTACTAAAAATACAAAAAAATTAGCCAGGTGTGGTGGCAGGTGCCTGTAGTCCCAGCTACTCGGGAGGCTGAGGGAGGAGAATGGTGTGAATCCGGGAGGTGGAGGTTGCAGTGAGCAGAGATTGCGCCACTGCACTCCAGCCTGGGCGACACAGCAAGACTCCATCTCAAAAAAAAAAAAAAGACATACTGACAAGTAGGCGAACACCAAGGGCAGGGCACTCCAGTGCGGACAGGAGGGGCTCCTGTGGTTGAGAGAGAGGAGTGGCACCATCAGAGTGTGGTGAGACCCTCATGCTTCCCAGGTAATGCAGAGGCTGAGGTTGAGCTTACATCTATGCCGTAGGGCCCACAGTGAGGACAGGTGGCCTCACAGCAGACGTGGGGGCAACAGCCCACACCAGGGCAACAACTTAGAGTCAGAATGCACACTAAGCTGTGCGCAGCCCAGGGCACTGATGGGGACTCACATCTGCCCCAACTTCAACCACAGTGGCCTGTGGACACAGCTCTACAATCCAGACAGAGAGGGAGCTGGTGCTTCTGGGACATCAGACCAACCAGGATCCACCAAAGGTGAGAAACTCAAAAGACCCTCCTACTTTACAGAAGCTCCTGAGGGGTCACAACCTAAGGGTCCAGCAGCCCTTGCACAGACTTCTGCCTACTAGGGTGATCTGAAGATCTTAAAGCCTTGAGTTTGGGATAAGGCAGTTCCAGATGAGCAACACCCAGACCTTGTCACAAGTGGACAAAATTCTCTGGAAGAGGATGCATCATGTGGTGACTTCAGCTTATTCCTATAAATACTTCTCAAAATGGTCTGCACACAAGCGAAGAAACCAGAGCACATCAGGAATGAAGACTCCATGAGTGAGAACCCACAGAAATGACAGAACAAACCCACAAAGACCATAAAATAGCCCCGGTCAACTGTAAACAGCAATAACTAAAGTTAAGAATTCAATGGGCAGATTTAACCAGCATGTCAGACAAATCACTGAGGGAGTCGGTGAAATGGAAGACAGAGTAGAAGGAATTTTGGAGAATATAGCACACGGAGATAAAAGCTGGGAAGAGCAGGAGAGAAGCTAAGGTGCAAAGAGAACAGTAAGATGGTCCAACATACATCAAATGGAGTCCTTGAAGGTCAGAAGATACAGAATGGGGCAGAGGAAACATCGGAAAGGATAAAGGTTTAGAATTTTCCAGATCAAAGACATTAATATCCAAATTAGTGTCCCCAATCTCTAACTTTCTTTCTTTCTTTTTTTTTTTTTTTGAGATGGAGTCTTGCTCTGTTGCCCAGGCTGGAGTGCAGTGGCGCAATCTCGGCTCACTGCAAGCTCTGCCTCCCAGGTTCATGCCATTCTCCTTCCTCAGCCCCCTGAGTATCTGGGACTACAGGCACCCGCCATCATGCCCAGCTAGTTTTTTGTATTTTTAGTAGAGACAGGGTTTCACTGTGTTAGCCAGGATGGTCTCAATGTCCTGACCTCGTGATCTGTCCGCCTCGGCCTCCCAAAGTGCTGGGATTACAGGCGTGAGCCATGGCACCCGGCCCCTATCCATATCTTAGTGATACTGCAGACATCCAAAGGCTGAGAGAAGGTCTGAAAGGCAGCCAGAAAGAAAAGTCAGATTGCCTGTGAACAAGAGGTAGACTAACAACTGATCTCCCAAAAGTAGCAACAAAGCAAGACCAGAGGAGGTTCCACAGACAGCCAAAGAACCAGACTCTTCCCCAACCCCAAGGTCATAAGAGCCCCTCCCAACATGTCCAGACGCCAACCCTGGAAAGGGAGCATGTTGTGGAAGACTGAGCCCTCTGAGAGGCCCGACCCTCAGCTTGGAGACACTGAGCTTCATCTGACGGGGCCTGACTTAATTACTGCAAGGAACAGAATCAAACCTAGCTTTTGTCCCTGCTGGTCTGTGGTGAGGCTCATGTGTAGGGCCGGGTCAGTTACAGAAGGGTCTTTCCTTCTGCTGTACAGTATCACAGGTACAGAGAGAAGAGAGGGTGAGGAATGTTCGACCGTTACAAGGACTACCTGTCAGACAGCTTTGTATTCATTTG
Organism: Homo sapiens; assembly: GCF_000001405.40. Taxonomy (NCBI): domain Eukaryota; kingdom Metazoa; phylum Chordata; class Mammalia; order Primates; family Hominidae; genus Homo; species Homo sapiens. The sequence goes on along the minus strand of NC_000008.11, from coordinate 143,847,433 downwards.
TTGGTGCTGCTCTTCTGACAAAATGCAATTCTTTTTTTTTGAGGCGGAGTCTCGCTCTGTCACCCAGGTTGGAGTACATCAGCACAATCTCAGCTGACTGCAACCTCCGCCTCCCGGGTTCTAGTGATTCTCCTGCCTCAGCCTCCTGAGTAGCTAGGATTACAGGCATGCGCCACCACGCCCGGCTCATTTTTGTATTTTTAGTAGAGACGGGGTTTGGCTATGTTGGCCAGGCTGGTCTCGAACTCCTGACTTCAGGTGATCTGCCCGCCTCAGCCTCCTAAAGTGCTGGGATTACAGGCATGTGCCACCACGCCCAGCTCATTTTTGTATTTTTAGTAGAGACAGGGTTTTACCATGTTGGCCAGGCTGGTCTCGAACTCCTGACTTCAGGTGATCTGCCCGCCTCAGCCTCCCAAAGTGCTGGGATTACAGGCATGAGCCACCGCGCCCCGCCAGCAAGTTTCATAAGTAACTAAAAATGTCCAAAGGTTAACAAGTCCAAACTTGTGCTGCTGCTGCATGACAGCCAATCAGTCCAGACAAGGAGTTGAAGCCGAGAAGGCAACTTCATTTTGGAGAGCAGCAAGCCCAGCAGATGCGAATGAGCATCCTCAGGAACCATCTCATGCCAGTATGAGGTTCAGGCCCTTTACAAGTTCAGGGCAGGGGAAAGAGGAGGGCTTGCGATCAAGGGGTGATGGATGACAGCTGGGTGCCAATGAGGCTCCAAGGAGGTTGGGAACTTCCTCTTCCTTTTCAGGTCACAATGCTCCTGTAAATCTTCAACAAAATATAGATAGCTGTTTACATGCTTTCCCTTCAATCCTCGAATTAGTTTCAAAAACTACATGAAAACTACTGTCCTTGCATTTTATCTCAGTGCTCTACAATTATCCTAACCTATGTGCAAGAGTGGGTAAAGACCCCTTCAACAAAAAAGGAGTGAGTGATGTGAGTTGTTGTGCGGTCTCACTGTCACGCAAATAGTCCTTTAAAGCAATTTGGTGCATACGCCAAGATCCCACCAGGGAGGGCTGTTGACACGAGGAGAGCTCACCATAGGTGTCAATTATCTTCAACTTGGACTTTGCCTTATCTGTATGCTGAATAGATGCCTCTATTCCTTAGGATTGAGTTATGACTAAATATATTGCTATCCTCCTGAAATCATTTTGGAAATAATTATTCCTAATCAGTACTTCACATACACACATGTGCGCACATACCAGCTTCCAAGCTGGTTGCTGGCCGCCACAGGCCTTCATGGCTGCTGTCTGGAAACGGCTGTTTCTGGCTGTGTGTACCCTTCACAGGCTTGCTCGGAGTGAGCTGGGAAGCCAGCAAGCCACTGTCTCCACCGCCCAATCTGGGAGGCACTAGCCCAGTGCCTCTGCTGTGTTCTAGCCCTGGAAGCAAGTCACTCAGTCCAGTCCACACTCCTGGGAGGGGATTGCACATGAGGCGGAAGACCAGGAGGCAGGGTCACCAGGACAGACAGTGGGAGGGGTCCTCTGGTGCTCCTCTGACCCCCCAGAGCTGGAACCCCCTGGCTTTCTCCCACCCTAGGATTCCTGGCATCCAGGACAGCAGTCCTGAGCCCTGCAAGCCCGGGGATCGTCCACCTGCCAATGGGAAAGAAATCTGCAGGAATTCAGAGAGCAGCTCACCTGCATGCCTCACAGGAGGGAGAGGCTTGGGAAGACTCTGAGGTGACAACCATGGAGCCCCAGTAGATCTGCAAGGTGGAAGAGGAGGAGGCAGTGAGCAGCGAACCTGCAGTTGGCATCACAAGGCATCGCACAGGGGGCCAGGCACAGCGGCTCACGCCTGCACTCCCAGCTACTCAGGAGGCTGACGCAGGAGGATCCCTGGAGCCCAGCAGTTCAAGATGAGCTTGGGCAATATAGCAAGACTGGCTCTACAAAAAGTTTTAAAAAATAGCTGGGTGCAGTGGCATGTGCCTATAGTCCCAGTTATTCAGGAGGCTGAGGTGGGAGGATCCCTTGAGCCCAGGAATTTGAGGCTGCCGTGAGCTGTGATTACACCACTGCACTCCAGGTTAACAGAGTGAGACCCTGTCTCTGAAAAAAATAAAAAATAAAAAAAAAGCCAATTCACAGATTAGGCTCAGAGGGCAGGTGGATGGCTCAATGGCTAAGAGCAGCCCTAGAGAACTTCCAATAAATTGAAATGGCCTGGCAGCATCAAGGGGTGGAGAAGCTCAGAGGCCGAGCAGAAGGGAGGGTACGCCCCCGCCCTGGGGCACAGCCTGAGTGAGGCCAGGGAGGGTGTGCCGCAGCGGCCACCACTTCTGTGCGTGGGCAGGCAGTAGGACGACCCACTCTGTGCATGGGAATAAATGCTGGGACGCATCCCTGCACGCGAACACATAGCTGTTGTCACGTTACTGTTCTTACCACGGGGGTCATGCTGGAGCAGCACCAGAGATGGAGGAGTAGCGTAAAACAGCACAAACAGATTCGCTCACTGTGCTGGAGGCTGGAAGTGCAAAATCAAGGTATCGGTAGGGCTGATGCTTCCGGAGGCTCCGAGGGAGAATCCATCCCAGGACTCTCTCCTCACCACTCATGGCCCTGGCAGTCCCAAGTAGGGTCCAGCCCCACAGGGACGGTGGGTCTCTCCCCGTGTGCAGAGACGAGAGAGTGTAGAAATAAAGACACAAGACAGAGATAAAAGAAAAGGCAGCTGGGCCCGGGGGACCACTACCACCAAGTCGCGGAGACCGGTAGTGGCCCCGAATGCCAGGCTGCACTGATATTTATTGGATACAAGACAAAGGGGCAGGATAAGGAGAGTGAGCCATCTCCAATGATAGGTAAGGCCACGTGGGTCATGTGTCCACTGGACAGGGGGCCCTTCCCTGCCTGGCAGCCGAGGCAGAGAGAGAGAGGAGACAGAGAGAAAGACAGCCTACGCCATTATTTCTGCATATCAGAGACTTTTAGTACTTTCACTAATTTGCTACTGCTATCTAGAAGGCAGAGCCAGGTGTACAGGATGGAACATGAAGGCGGACTAGGAGTGTGACCGCTGAAGCACAGCATCACAGGGAGACGGTTAGGCCTCCGGATAACTGCAGGCGAGCCTGACTAATGTCAGGCCCTCCACAAGAGGTGGAGGAGTAGAGTCTTCTTTAAACTCCACCGGGGCAAGGGAGACTCCCTTTCCCGGTCTGCTAAGTAGCAGGTGTTTTTCCTTGACACTGCGCCTACCGCTAGACCAAGGTCCACTTGGCAACAGGCATCTTCCCAGACGCTGGCGTTACCGCTAGACCAAGGAGCCCTCTGGTGGCCCTGTCTGGGCATAACAGAGGGCTCGCACTCTTGTCTTCTGGTTACTCCTCACTATGTCCCCTTAGCTCCTATCTCTGTATGGCCTGGTTTTTCCTAGGCTATGATTATAGAGTGAGGATTATTATAATATTGGAATAAAGAGTAATTGCTACAAACTAATGATTAATGATATTCATATATAATCATATCTAAGATCTATATCAGTACAACTATTCTTATTTTATATATTTTATTATACTGGAACAGCTCGTGTCCTCGAGTCCCAGGCACGCCTTGACCTGTGGGTACATCCCTCCAACACTGGCCTCCATGTTCATGTGACTGTCTACCTTATTTCTCTGCACCCCAAGTATCCCTTTTCTTTCTCTGATAAGGACATCAAACATTGGATTTAGGGCCCACCCCAGCATCTCAAGATCCTAAACTTATTTACATCTGCAAAGACCATTTTTTTTTTTTCAAATAAGGCTGTGCTCCTAGGTACTGGGGATCAGGATGTAGACTTTTGGGGGACACTATGTGACCTACCACAGAACATGTGTGTCTGGTTATGGGGGCGGAGAAAGGGGAGGAAATTCATTGAGATTCTTCTGCTCAAGGCTTACCTCCTTAGGGGCTTCTCTGGACCACACCCGCCAAAACGCACCCCTGCCCACCCACAGATCCATTCAACAAGTGTTTGCTGAGGGCCTGCTGTGTGCCGGGTACCGTCCTCGCACCAGAGAAAGAGCAGGGACAACGAGCAGACACTCCTGCCCTGCGGGAGCTCGAATCGCAACAGGGACACAGACAGTGAAGAAGAGAGATGAGAAAAACCCAGATGCAAGTCAGGTGGGGTGAATACTCCGGGAAAAGTCAAGTCAAGCAGGCGAAAGGGTGTGGGGACTGTGATGTCAGGATTCGTGGTCAGGACAGGCCTCTCAGGAAGTGACCTCAGAGGATGTTTGGGAAGGGCGTTCCGGGCAAAGGTATAACCAGGGCAGAGACCCTGAGGGGAAGTGCCTGTCATGTCCGATGGCACAGGGCCGTGTACTTGGGGTGGGCTCAGCTGAAGAAGGCAGCTGACGTGAGGTAGGGTAATGGGACCAATTACTGGGCCTTCATGTTTAGGCCCTCATACCAAGTGAGAAGGGACCACTGGGGGGGCTCCCCAAAACCACCCTCAAGTTCAATGGTTCACTAGAAGGACTCACAGAACTCGGAAAGGGTACTATTTATTACAGCAATGGATGCGTTAAAATCAGCAGTGGCAAGGACTCACAGAACAGAACCCAGGACAGACCAGCACGGGTCTGCAGGTGTCCCCACCCACTGCAGGCATGGGGACAGTGCTCAACCTCCCAGCACTGAGGTGTGACAATGAGCACAGCATGTCAGCAGCCAGGGAAGCCCTCCGTACCTCAGTGTCCAGGGTTTTTATTGGGTTGGTCACACAGGCATGGCTGACCTCCCAGGTGGCTGACTTTGGCCTCCAGCCCCTGCAGAGGTCAGGCTGATGCCACATGGCCCAAGGTCCCCCCGTAGACCATATTGTTAGCACAGACCAGGGGTGTCCAATCTGTGGGCTTTCCTGGCACACATTGGAAGAATTGTCCTGGGCAATACCCTTAAATAAAATACACTTAACACTAACAACAGCTGATGAGCTTTAAAAAAAATCTCAATAAGAAAGTTTATGAATTTGTGTTGGGCCATATTCAAAGCTGTCCTTGGCCGAATGCACCCTCTGGGCTGCGGGTTGGACAAGCTTAGCATAGAATCTGGTGTGGCCGAGGTAAACACAGACATTCAAATCAGGCAGAACATTCCAAGGGCTTAGAGGGTGTCTCCCAGGAGCTGGTCAGGGCCAGTTTCAGGGTGGAGGATTTGAACACCCCAAACCTTTACTGCAGAGGGCCTCAGCAGGATCACCTGGCATTGGTGGAAACCACACACAAGGTGCCTGGTGACCAAGGCTGGTCAGAAAAGAGAGACCACAGGGGACGCAGCAGGGCCAGATGCACCTCTGCCAAAGAAAGAAAGAGGCGTCCCAAAGGGCCAGTGCATGGAGCTGCGCGGAGGGGAGGAGCGGAGTTCCAATTTGGGCTCCAGAGAGAGAAGGTAAAGGATGAGGACCCGCCGTGAAGGAGGGAGGAGACCACAGGAAGGCCGTGGGGGCTGTGGGCTGAAGGGGGTTTTAGGTGAGAATCGGGGACAGCCCCGGTGGTCGGCGTGGCTGGAGGGTGTGCTTAGAGCGGCCTCCGGAGGGAGAGGTCGTGTGAGCCGGGTGGGCTCCCCCCTCATGGTTCCACTGTCCCATGGGAGCCAGCCGCGGAAAGGAAATGCGCGTTTGAGGAGAAAAGAGAAAATCGCCATCCTGGAAAGTGAGAAGATGGGCTTGTGGGCGGGAGGAGGCACTGGTGGGCGGGCCAGGGAGAGATTCGTGGTCACCGATCAAAGTCAGCCTGGGTCAGCCTGCTGGTGGGCCTTTCCCCCGCCCTCGGTGCCCCTTCGACCTGTCCCTTGGGGGTCGGCCGGGGAATGAGTGCGTGGCCAGGAGAGCGGGTCCCGCTTTCGAGCCCGCGGGGTCTTCTGCAGCTGGAGGGTGCCGTGGGCTTGGGGGCCCCCAGATGCCCCGGGTCTTCCCCCAGATCCTAGGGGAGCAACCGCGAGAGAAGTGGGCGCTCCGGGCTCCAGGTGTCCGCAGGGCGGGGCCTCCGAGGGGGCGGGGATTTGGGGGCGGTTCCTCTGCGCGGGGCGGGGCCTCATAGGGGCGGGGCTTCGAGGAGGTGAGGCGGGGCCTGGGGTGGGGCTTCGCGGAGGACCCTGGGAACGGGCGGGGGCGGGGACTAAAACGGGGCGGGGATTCGCGGGGGTGGGGCGGGTCCTGGGGCGGGGCTTCGCGAAGGAGGCTTGGAGGACGAGGAGGGGACAGGGCCTGGGGAGGGGCTTCGCGGAGCAGGCCTGGGAGACGAGGAGGAAACAGGGACTGGGGCGGGGCTTCGCGGGGCGGGGCCTCCGGGGGGGCGGGGCCTGGGCGCGGCCCGGGCTCGGCAGCTCTCGGGGAAGCTCTGCTCTGGCTCCGGCAGGCACAGGCGGCTCGGGAGGTGCGCGCCGGCTCCGCCCCCGGGCCCCGCCCGTCCGCCGCGCGCCCGCGCCTCCCAATTCCCAGAGCCGGGGCTGGGGCTCTAGGCTGCCGCGGCGGCTCTAGGCTGGGCTGCTGGGCGCGAGGCCAGGGCGGGCCGGGAGAGGCTGCGCCGGCGGCGGATCGCGCAGAGGGCGGTGGCCTGGGCTGGCCGAACCATGGCGGCCCCGGAGCCGGCGCCGAGGCGGGCCCGGGAACGGGAGCGGGAGCGGGAGGACGAGAGCGAGGACGAGAGCGACATCCTGGAGGAAAGCCCGTGTGGTCGCTGGCAAAAGCGACGGGAGCAGGTGGGCGCGGGGGTTGGGGCACGGGGTGACACCGCCCTCCCAGAGCGGGAGGGGCCTGGAGGCTGCGCGGGGCGTGGGGGCGCTGGGAGAGCGCGGCGGCTGGAAACCTCTCCGCGGCCCCTCGCGGCCCGCGAATCAGCCACCCCTGGACCCCTTTGGCCTGGCGCTCGCCCTGGGACTCCCTGAGGGCCAGTCTCCTCCCAGGACCACCTCCCCATGCCTCTGGACTCAGCCGCTAGCTTCCTGGGGATCCCCCTCGACCCCCTGAAACCTGCTCCAAATCCCCTTAGCCCAGCCCTTGGATAGGAGCCCTTGGCTCCTGGGGGCAGCTACCCTCCAAGCCCCACCTTCCCGCAGAGTGGCTCAGGGCCTGCAGCCCACGCTTGGGCCCACTGGAAAGGTGTGGACAGGGACCAAATCCTCACCCACAACCCTGACACACACCAGGGCACACATAACCCTTTATTCACCCCCAGGTAAACCAAGGGAACATGCCAGGGCTTCAGAGCACCTTCCTAGCCATGGACACGGAGGAGGGGGTAGAGGTGGTGTGGAACGAGCTCCACTTCGGAGACAGGAAGGCCTTCGCGGCGCACGAGGTGAGACCGCTGCCCCCTCCTCATCCTGCTTGGGTGACCACCTGCTGACCACCCAGCGACCACCCTCCCTCCCCAGGAGAAGATCCAGACCGTGTTCGAGCAGCTGGTGCTGGTGGACCACCCGAACATCGTGAAGTTGCACAAGTACTGGCTGGATACCTCTGAGGCCTGCGCGAGGGTGAGCACGGGCAAGGCCCCGGGCAGGCAGAGACCACAGCTAGGTGGGGCGGGCATGGGGACGAACCCGCAGCTGGTGGAAATCCTGAGCTCGCACCGTGCAGGTCATCTTCATCACAGAGTACGTGTCATCAGGCAGCCTCAAGCAATTCCTCAAAAAGACCAAGAAGAACCACAAGGCCATGAACGCCCGGGTATGGGGAGCGGGCTGGGGCAGCCACGGGGACAGGACGGGGTTGGGGCAGCCTCGGGGACTGGGATGGTGAGGGGGTGCCCGGCGGCCTCGGACAGGGGCTGGGCGAGGATGCGGGGCGGGCTCCGCAGGCCCAGCCGCCTCTCCTGCGCCCACCCGACCGACGGAGTCGTGCGTCCGCCGCCAGGCCTGGAAGCGCTGGTGCACGCAGATCCTGTCTGCGCTCAGGTGAGGGCCTGGGCTGGCCTGGGCGCGGCGCCACCGAGCCCCCATCTCTCCAGAGCCTCCTGACCGGCTCCTCCTACTCTCCCCTCCCCAACGTCTGCAGCTTCCTGCACGCCTGCAGCCCCCCAATCATCCACGGGAACCTGACCAGCGACACCATCTTCATTCAGCACAACGGCCTCATCAAGATCGGCTCCGGTGCTGGCGGGGCAGGGCTGGGTGGGGGAACGGGGCAGGGGAAGGTGCCTGGAGCCAAGGGCAGAGGAGTTCTGATGCCCCAGCAGCTAACTCCACTCTTTCTCCCGCCCCTTGGCAGTGTGGCACCGAATCTTCTCCAATGGTAAGTGCGGACTTTGGGGGGACGGGGTCCTGGAGAGGTCCCCGCCCGCTCAGCTCTGCGCCCTCCCACAGCACTTCCAGATGATCTCCGAAGCCCCATCCGCGCTGAGCGAGAGGAACTTCGGAACCTGCACTTCTTCCCCCCAGAGTATGGAGGTGAGTGGTGCTGGGTCCGGGTGCCCCGTGCCTACCCTGCGCTTCTCTCCTACGTGTCCTGTGCTCTCTTCTGTTCAGAGGTGGCCGATGGGACCGCTGTGGACATCTTCTCCTTTGGGATGTGTGCGCTGGAGGTACTGCCCCCGCCCTCCACCTTGTGCTCTGCCCTCCTCCTAACTGTGCCCTGCCTGGCTCACCTGTGTGGTCCCTTCCCCATGCCTGACCTGGCTCTGTGCCCCAGATGGCTGTACTGGAAATCCAGACCAATGGGGACACCCGGGTCACAGAGGAGGCCATTGCTCGCGCCAGGCACTCGCTGAGTGACCCCAACATGCGGGTAAGCAGCTTGCCCTGCCCCTCCCCAGCTGGCTCACCGTGCTCAGCTAGGGCTAGCAAGGTGCTCCAGGCAGACCTGGGAGAACATCACAGTTTGTGCAGTTGAGGGGTATACCAGCTGACTGCACCCCTCCCAAAGAGGACCTCAGTGGGAGCACATACTGGTTCCAGGCCTGAAGGCCCTAAGGGGTCAGCACATTCTAAGGACAAGAAGGCAAGAGAGACCCTCCCTCTGTGGCTGCCATCACCATGCCCGTTTTATAAAGAAACCAAGGTTCAGAGGAGATGAGTCCTTTGCCCAAGGCTTTAGAGTGAGTGGTGGAGCCAACATCTGCACCTGGGTCTGCTTCACTCCAAGTCCTTGACTTTAAGCTTCCAGGAGGTGATGAGGCTCCAGCTTGTGGGGGGACATGGTGGGTGCCAAGCAGGCAAAAAGAGGTATGGGATGGAAGCTGCATCCACAGCCCCCTCTGCTCGGAGTCTAGACTTAACTCCATGGCCTCAGGAGATGGGGGTGCCTGGTCGGGGCTGGTGGCGAGCTGGAGCCGGGCTGGGCACGGATGTGGACAGAGTGGGGACCCATCAAGGTCGTCTCCAGTGTTGGGCCCGAGCTGAGCCGATCAAAAGGCCATGGGTAGGAGGCTTGCAGGTGTGACTTTAGGATCATGGCTTCTCCCCACGATTTTTTGGGGGTCGAGGGAAGCAGAGCATGGTGCTCCAATCCCAGAACCCAGCTGTCCTCAAGCTCAGAGGACCAGGTCCTGGCCTGGCTGCTGCTGCTGGGACTCCTCCCTATGGGCATCCCTGCATGTCCTGTGTGTCCCTGAGGAGGGACATGGGGAACTCAGGGGCCACCTCTCCTCGAACTGCGGGGCCAGAGCAGAGAGCCCTTGCACACCACCAGCCTCTCCTCCCTGTGCCCCAGGAGTTCATCCTTTGCTGCCTGGCCCGGGACCCTGCCCGCCGGCCCTCTGCCCACAGCCTCCTCTTCCACCGCGTGCTCTTCGAGGTGCACTCGCTGAAGCTCCTGGCAGCCCACTGCTTCATCCAGCACCAGTGTGAGCAGCAGGCCGGCCCGGGGGGTGGCTGGGGAGGTGGAGGTTGGGACGTGGAAGGGGCCCTGCAGGACCCACGGCCTGAGCACACCGCCTTGATGCTCTTGTGGCCGCAGACCTCATGCCTGAGAATGTGGTGGAGGAGAAGACCAAGGCCATGGACCTGCACGCGGTCTTGGCGGAGCTTCCCCGGCCCCGCAGGCCCCCGCTGCAGTGGCGGTGAGCAGTCAGCACCCAGAAGCCTCCCCTCCCCACACCTCCCCTCCCCGCACCTCCCCTCCCCTCGCCCCGGCCAGCCCCTCATGTGCCTCCCACTTCCATGCCAGGTACTCGGAAGTCTCCTTCATGGAGCTGGACAAATTCCTGGAGGATGTCAGGTGAGAACTGATGTAAGGTTGGGGGCCAGGCAGCTGTCAGGCCTGAACCCCCAGCCACCCTGTTGTGTCCCCAGGAATGGAATCTACCCACTGATGAACTTTGCAGCCACTCGACCCCTGGGGCTGCCCCGTGTGCTGGCCCCACCCCCGGAGGAGGTCCAAAAGGCCAAGACCCCGACGCCAGAGCCCTTTGACTCTGAGACCAGAAAGGTGAGTCCCCTCTCCTGCTGCTCAGTGCCATCCCTCAGACCTTCTAACAGCCAGATAAGAGGTGCCCCTCCTTCTCTTAGGGCCTGCATCCCCACAGCCCAGCTCTCCTCCTGGCTGCCAGAGACCAGATCCAGGCTGACCCCCTTGTGGGGGTCATGGGGGTTATAGGACAGGCTGGGCACTCTCCTTTTCCGGGAGGCTCCCTGTCCCCTCAGATCCTTCCCCTGCATCCTGCTGCCTGCCCTGAACCTACTCCAAGCATCCTTCCTCCAGAACTCACCCGGGCTCTTCCACCCTGCCAGCAATCTTCCCCCACCCCCGCACCCCTCCCACCCCCCCCACCCCTCCCATCCCCCACCTGGTGCTGATTCCCGGACATCTATGTCCTGGTGTCTCCCCAGACTTTTCCTGCAGCACCCCCTCCTGGCCAGGGGCCTCTCTCGGTGCAGTGCAGCCAGAATTCATGTCCTAACAGGCAAACTGCCTGCTCCTGGCTGCCAGCAGAGATCATGGGAGTCCTCAGCTGACACCCAGGCTCTGGGAGGCCTGATCCCGCAGGCACCGTGCACTTCGGCGCGGTCCTGTCCCGCCCAACCTCCCTTTCCCCACGCCCACAGTTCCCTCTTTGTTCAAGTTGTTCTCTCCGCGGTGAAAGCTCCTATTCAGCCTTCAGTACCCAGCCCCTAATGTCGACTCTTCTCGAAGCTTTCCTTAGCTTGCCAAGCCACTAGCAGTGAGATGGGCTCCTCTTAGAGATTCCCCCCTTTCCAGTCTTTGCTGTCCCTTCCCGGCCCCTTTGGGGCCGCGGCATGTGGTCTTGCTGCTGGGTTTGTGAGTCCCAGCCTTCCCCCGCTGCAGGTCATCCAGATGCAGTGCAACCTGGAGAGAAGCGAGGACAAGGCGCGCTGGCATGTGAGCGGGGCCTGGGAGGGCGGCGCTGCCGTGGGGAAGGCGGGAGCGTGGCGGAGCCCTGAACCCCCAGCCGACCACGCCCCGCCGCCTCCCCAGCTCACTCTGCTTCTGGTGCTGGAAGACCGGCTGCACCGGCAGCTGACCTACGACCTGCTCCCAAGTAGGCTGGGCAGGGGACTTGGGCGGCGGGCGGTGACCCCAGGCGGCGGGTGGGCAGCGGCCTCATGCCTCGCCTTACGCCATTGCCTCAGCGGACAGCGCCCAGGACCTCGCCTCGGAGCTCGTGCACTATGGCTTCCTCCACGAGGTGCGCTGGGCGGTGCGGCGCGGCCTGGCGGAGGGGGCGCACGGGGCAGGCCGCGCCCCTCCGTCCCCCATGCCTCCCTCCTTCCGCAGGACGACCGGATGAAGCTGGCCGCCTTCCTGGAGAGCACCTTCCTCAAGTACCGTGGGACCCAGGCCTGACCCGGAGCCCCAGCCCCAGGGGACCATGCCGGGGTGCTGCCTGGGCAGGCCATGTTGGGGAGACTCCAGCACCGTGGGGCTGCCCTCCTCCATGCGCCTGGGAGCACAAAGGCCCCGGTAGTGAAGGAACCCCCCGTCTCCTGAGAGTGGGGCTGACCCTGCCTTGGGCGCCGAGGGGTTGGGGGGTGGGTGTGGGGGAGCCGTTAGGCCTCCCAGGTCCTTAGGATCAGGGTTGCCCCCAGAACCCCTTCCCATATCCTCCATTCTCCGCCCTGAGTTCCTACCCAGGCTGCCTGGCCGGGGCCACTGCCTCCTCAGCATGCAGGAGGCTGCCCTGTAGGGAACCCCAGCTCTGGGGCTTGGGGGTGAGGGTCAGCCCTGGACAGACCTCTGCCCAGGGAACTGCTCCATGGGGTCTGGGAGAGCAGCCATCCCCTGCTGGCACCATAGACCCACACAAGGAGCCTGCACAGCAAGCCAGCGGTGACACACCTGCAGGTGTCAGGCATGGCACTGGGCACAACAGGGACCTGGCAGGAGAAACAGACCACAGAGAGGTCTGGAGTTGAGGCTGTTGTCAGCAAAGCCCCTGGTCCCACACAGCTCTGCCCTAGAGCCACCTCTTTGACCCTTTACCCACCCTGAGACCAGAACTTGCAGCCCCTCTGCAGATCTCCTCTGGCCACTGCAGCCCCTCCAATGGGCTTTTTCTCTCATGCATTCCCTGGCCTGGAGGCGTCAGGGACCCCACATCCTCCCTGCTCCTCAGACTCACAGCCCCTCCATGTTACCTCCCGCACCTCCTCCCTGGGGCAGCTGCTCCCTGGGCCTCTGAGGATGTCAGCTCCTGGCTCCCTGCCTCTCTCCCACTCCACTCCTGGCTCAGTCTTAGAGATTTCTATGCCCTCATGGATTCTACCCCTGCCTTCCTGGCCTCTTGATTCTTGGCTTGCCTCTCCTCCAATTCCAAACTTAGTGAAATGGCCTTAAGCATTTTAAACTGTATGTATACATTAGCGCATTCATGCCTTTCTAAACGCATTTCAAATGTCAACCAGGAAGGCACACCACTGTATTAGTTTTATACTGCCGCTGTAAAATTTACCACAAACTTAGTGACTTAACACAAATTTATTGCAATTCTGTAGGCTGGAAGTCTGACTATGGGTCTCACTGGACTAGAATCAAGGCTGGCAGGCTGCCTTCCTTCCTGGAGGTTCTAGGGGAGACTCTGTCTCCTGCTCCTTCAGGCTGCTGGCAGAATCCACATCCTTTCGGTGGCAGGGCCAAGGTCCCCACTTTCTTGCTGACTGTAAACTAAGGCCACTTCCAGCTTGTAGAGGCTGCCTACATTCCTTGGCTCTTGGCCCCCTCCTCCATCTTCAGAGCTAGCAGGTTCAGTCTGTGTCACGAACCATTTCTCTGGTTCCCTGCAGACAGGAAAGGTTGTCCCTAAGGACTCATGAGATTAGGTTGGGCCCAGCCAGATAATACATGATAATCTCCCTCCTCAAGGTTTTTAATATTAAACACATCTGCAGGACACATTTTGCCATGTAAACTAACATTCACTGGTTCCAGGGATTAAGGAATGAACCTCTTTTGTTGGGGAAGGGTGGCATTCTGCTGACCACAGCACTCCAACCAAAAGCCAAAAACCAAAGCAAGACTTACTAACGCATATCAAATAAATTAAAGGTACAAAATCGTGAATCTCAGTTATCTTAAATATTCCAATACTATTTACAAAATTATTCAAATTCTCACGCCTTCCAACTCAAAATTAGCAATCTAAAGTAATTTCCATATCCTAGATGGAAACCCTCATGCTAAACTGTCTGATTATGCATGGTTCTAAATGGTTTCAGTGGCAAATACATAACATTGTACTACTGATTAAACTGAACTTAAAAGCATCAATACCACCATTGCTGCACTTAATCATGTCTCTGTTGAATTTTTCCTTTTAAATTTTATCTTTTCAGAATTATATATGTATTGTTTTTAAAGTAGAATAGTTTTTTTTTTGAGGCCAATAATAAATAATAAATGCAGGCTCCTACTCTGATCCTCTCCAAATTCAACTCTCTTAACTGTTTCTTCAGGCATTTGAAATCCATGTTTTTCAAAACCATGAGCATGCTTTTAGTCCTGTTTATTCGTTTTTCTACATTAGATGTCCCTGGCTGGCATCCTCTGGGAGGAGGGCGGTCACCTGCCTCAGTCTCCTGGCGGCATCATTCCAGTGTTACGGGCATCATAGCTGCATGGGTGTTATTACAGCTTCATTACCACACGTCTCAGGAGAGAACACGGTGTTCTAGGATGGCATTTCTTGCACAACTTTTTGTTTTCCCTGGAGTTAATAATTGCCTTTTTTTTGGTTTGCCTAGTTTTCTATATGTGTTTGTCATTGATTCATCTTTAGACTTTCCTGAAGAAGCATGAGCATCCTGTCACAGCTTAGGACTCATCACATAACTGACTGCTCAGTTTCTTCTTTTCCTGGAGCCCCCACCATACAAGCCCCCTGCCCAGGCTACTTGTTCTTGGACTTACAGCCCAGTGGTCAGCATGGGTTAACTCTTCACCAGTGTCCTGTACTGCTTTCCTCTTCCTTCATTTGCCCTGTTTGAGAAGGACCATCCTCCAGGTTTCCTGAGAGGGTGCATAGGAAGTTGTGGAGTCTTTACCTGTTTGTCTTTGTAGGGGTGGGTTGCCCCTCCACACCTGTGGGTGTTTCTCGTAAGGTGGAACAAGAGACTTAGGAAAGAAAAAGACACAGAGACAAAAGTATAGAGAAAGAAATAAGGGGACCCGGGGAACCAGCGTTCAGCATATGGAGGATCCCGCCAGCCTCTGAGTTCCCTTAGTATTTATTGATCATTTGTGGGTGTTTCTCGAAGAGGGGGATGTGTCAGGGTCACAAGACAATAGTGGGGAGAGGGTCAGCAGACAAACACGTGAACAAAGGTCTTTGCATCATAGACAATGTAAACGATTAAGTGCTGTGCTTTTAGATATGCATACACATAAACATCTCAATGCTTTACAAAGCAGTATTGCTGCCCGCAGGTCCCACCTCCAGCCCTAAGGCGGTTTTTCCCTATCTCAGTAGATGGAGCATGCAATCAGGTTTTATATGGAGACATTCCATTGCCCAGGGACGGGCAGGAGACAGATGCCTTCCTCTTGTCTCAACTGCAAGAGGCATTCCTTCCTCTTTTACTAATCCTCCTCAGCACAGACCCTTTACGGGTGTCGGGCTGGGGGACGGTCAGGTCTTTCCCATCCCACGAGGCCATATTTCAGACTATCACATGGGGAGAAACCTTGGACAATACCTGGCTTTCCTAGGCAGAGGTCCCTGCGGCCTTCCGCAGTTTTTGTGTCCCTGGGTACTTGAGATTAGGGAGTGGTGATGACTCTTAAGGAGCATGCTGCCTTCAAGCATCTGTTTAACAAAGCACATCTTGCACCGCCCTTAATCCATTCAACTCTGAGTTGACACAGCACATGTTTCAGAGAGCACGGGGTTGGGGGTAAGGTCATAGATTAACAGAGTCTCAAGGCAGAAGAATTTTCCTTAGTACAAAACAAAATGGAGTCTCCTATGTCTACTACTTTCTACACAGACACAGTAACAATCTGATCTCTCTTGCTTTTCCCCACAGTCTTTATGCTAACCTCACATATGCTTAACAGTGCGACTAGCTACAAAAAGCTTGGCTTGGTTGAAAATCATTTATTCCCAGGATTTCAAGGGTATTGTGTCATTTTCTTCTAGTTCCAAGAACTCTTGTGCCTTCCTGAATTCTGACTCTTTACCTATGATCTCTTCTTTTTCTTTGCCCCATTACTTGGGTAATTCTCAATGATGTGTCTTGATATACAACTTCCCTTTCACCCATTGTTCAGAAAACATGACTGTTTGGTTCTAGGAAATTTTCTTGATTTATCTCTGCTGATTTCTCTCATTTCCTTATTTTCTGGACAATTTATTTAGATGTTGGACTTCTGTTGAGTTTTTGTTGTTTTTTTGAGACAGGGTCTGGCTCTGTCACCCAGGCTGGAGTGCAGTGGTGTGATCACAGGGCACTGCAACCTCCACCTTCTGGGCTCCAGCAATCCTCCCACCTTAGCCTCTCTAGTAGCTAGGACTACAGGCGTGTGCCACCATGCCCAGCTGGTTTTTTAAAATTACTTTTTGTAGAGACGTGGCCTCACTATATTGCCCAAGCTGGTCTTGAACCCCTGGGCCCAAGTGATACTCCTGCCTCAGCCTCCTGAAGTGCTGGGAAGGCAGGCATGAGCCACTGTGCCTGACCTGGACTTCTCTTTTGAGATGCAGTCATGGTGGTGGCAAGAACACAGGCTCTGGAGCCATTCTACTGCTGCTCCCTGCCTTGTGATGTTGCCCATCAGTAAAAATGGGGTAACAGCTGTATCCATTGCATAGCACTGGGTTGTGAGGATCCCATGAATGAATGTGTGTAAGAACAGTCCTGGGCACCATGCATCCTGCGTGCACATTATTGCCAAGGGAAGCTGTCCCCAGAGGGTGGTGCCTGTGGCTTCCCCTGGTGGTGGTGGCAGACCAGCCCCCCACCTCCCATCCACCCCCTCCATTGTGGAGGCCTTGTGTGCCAGGCTAGCCCTAAGAGCACCCACCTGTGTTACTGCTATTCTGTTTTCCAGCTATCTGGTTCTGTCATTATACATTCTGGAAGACTTCATCTTAAAAGCCTATTGAATTGCTCACTTTCCCCTCATGTTTTATTTCTAAGAGCTCTTTCTCATCCCGAGGTTTCTTTCTCTATAGCCCCCAGTTCCTTTTTATTGACTGAGAATGGCATTTTAGTTTTCATTTTTCTTCGGCTTCCTTTATCGTCTCTGTTTCTTCTGAGTCCCTTTTCTTCTTTCTCAGGTGTCTGGTGATCCTGGGCTGTCCAGCTGCATTGAAGAGTGAGATGCTTTTAGTGGCTGGGGCTTATGACCTGGTGAGCTTCGAGGCCAGGGATCTGGCTGGGCCATTCTACTGGGCAACACTCTACCCCTAGGTGCCCTGCCAGTCTTTTCTTTTGAGCTAGGAGCTGCTGCAGAGAGGAGCCCTCTTCTCTGAGAAGCCTGATGGCATGCGGGTGGTCAGACCCAGCCCAGGGGTGGAGGCAGGGGTAGGACCCAGAGTCTCACTTACTCCCAGGCTTTCAGACAGGGCCTTGCTTGAGCAGGGCCTCAGAGCTCCTCTCCTGGAGCTCACGTCTCAGACACTGCAGTGCCTGCCAGCCCCGGTGGGTAGGGACAGAGGTCTGGGGTTTCCTTTCTGTAGCTGTGCTTTCACCCACGACCCTCAGACACTGGCCTCCATAGCCAAGTGGGCTGGAGTAGCTCTCGCTGTCCACCTTTCTTAAGCTCTGCAATATCCCAGCTCTTTGCCCTTGCAGGGTTTGTCTTTATAAAACCCCTTTCCTATAATTTTGGAAGGTTTCAGGAGGGAGGCGGGGAATATTCTGCCCTATTTAAGTAGAAGTGTCTGTATTAAATTCTAAATGTTCCCAGGGTTGAAAGGAGGCCTGCCCGGGATGCCTTGTGGCCTTAGGCAGCTGAAGGTGCCTGAGCTTACAGATGTGGCTTCTTCGGATGACCGAGTTGGGGTCTCGG
The DNA here is from genome assembly GCF_000001405.40 of Homo sapiens. NCBI lineage: Eukaryota > Metazoa > Chordata > Mammalia > Primates > Hominidae > Homo > Homo sapiens. Next base: position 143,830,000 of record NC_000008.11, on the reverse strand, counting down.
GACTGGGTGCAGCAGATGGCAAATGTCCAGGACAGGCAGCTTTCCCAGCAGTACTGACAGACACCTTGGGCCATGAAAGCCAGTTCAGGGACTAACGGGGCCTGCGGGCTGCGGGTCTAGCGACTGATGTCAGCCAACCTAGGGTCATCGGTTCCCTGGAAGGAGAAAAAGCTGCCAATTGAACGGGGCCTCCCGGTCCCAGGGATGTCGCGACGCGGGGACGACGCATCTCACGACGTCAGCCTGAAACACGCGGGCCTTTCATCACCCGAGACTCCTCCAGCCCAGGAGGGCCCCGCTCTTTCGCCTGCCTCCTGGGGGAGAGCCTCTGGACGACGCACGCGACAGCGTTTTCTCCAAAAAAGGCAGAGAAGAGAAGCGTAGCAGTGGCCGCAAGGGCGACGGGCGGCGAAGGGTACTACGCACGCCCGCGTCGGCCACGCGGAGAGATACGCCCGACTCGAGTCCCGCGGCGCACGCCCCTAGACGCCCGAGGTGCGCGGGCCACGCCCCTCGCCCGGCCAAGAGCACGCCCCTTCCGTCGCCCCTCCCGGGGGCGTTTACCGTTCCTCCCCGCCCCGGAAGCGCGTTCTTACCTCCTTCCTCGCGAGAGTTCCGTGCACCGGCACCCAGATCGCGCGAGACAGCGGAAGGAGCAAGAGTGGGAGGCGCGCGCGGAGGCCGCGACGGACGCAAGATGGCGACGGCGACCATAGCTCTCGTAAGTGAGCCCCCCCATGAGCGCGGGCGGCCCTCGGCTTGCGGGGCCGGGTCGTCGACCCAGCCTGGGCGCGGAGGGCCTCCCAAGAACGCGGCGGTCTTCCCAGGTCCCGCGCGGACTCCCTCGTGTCCCCGGGTCGCGTGAGGCGGGGGCGGGGCGGGCGCGCGCCGGCGGCCGGCTCGCGGCCTCAGCTTCCGGCCTGCGGACCCCAGCTTCCGGCGGGGCGGGGCGGGGGCCTGGGCGCGGCGTGTGGCCCTTGCGGGCGAGCCTGGCGGGGTTGCGTTCCTGTCCGCTAGGTCCGGCAAGCGGGGGTCGTCGTCCTCCCTTTGCCGACGGGGGTGTGCGCCGTGGTCACGACGGAAGCGGGGTTCTGGGGGTGACGCGTGGGCCTTCGGGTTGATGGGATCAGAAGGGGACGGGACCTGTAGAAAGGGGCCTGCAGCTCAGAGCATGGGGCGGCCTTGGCTCACTACGCCTGCAGCTGTGAATTCGTTCTCCGGTGCTGGAGAGGGATCTGGTTATCTCCATTCTCTTGTCTCCACGTGGAAAGGAAGGACGTGCGCTCTCATCCTACGTGTTTTGAGAAATCGCATTGTCCCCAGCTCTGCGGGAGGATCTGGGGACGCAGTGGGGAACCAGACAGGCAGTTGGAGGTCTAGTGCGCACCAGAAGCCAGTTCCCACCCAGGGTGCCATTTGCTGGGCGCCCTAGGGAGCTGCGTGGGCATCCAGAGGAGTGAGTCGCCCCCTGCTCTGCTCAGTGCCCACTTCCCCGGGCAGGGCAGGCGTTATTAACGTAGAGGGAGAACACCCATGCACACAACACATGCACGATGAAGTCTGGTCTTTCCTTCTCACCACTTAGCTTATAGGACCTAATCCCCTTTTGGACCTTTCTCAGCCGCAGTTTACCCCTGTATTACTTGTCACCCTTCCCCCAGCCCACACCCAGCGGGATGGGATAAGGTCTGTTTGAGAAGACAGCTTGGGCAAATGGCTGAAGGCTGGACTGGCAGGACCAGGGAGTGTCCTTAGACTGCCATTGCCAGGCCCCCAGCGGGCGGGCTGGTCCCATGTCCCACTGAGGCAGAAACCAGTTACTAGGGGGAGAGAGGCATTTACACAAGATACCCAGCTTGCGAGGGCAGCCCAGTGTGTGATTCACAGGACTGGCTAACTCCACTCTTTCTACTATGTCCTTTCTCTTGAAGCCACAGGAGTAAGTGACCTTTGAGGGGCACTCCAGAGAGAAAGGATGTAAGGGTTGAGGACCTGGTGACTGTCTTCAGGCAGCAGTCAGAGAGTTGATGGTGAAGGAGGAGGAGGCTCAGAGACAAGGACTGGACATGGGAAGGTGGAGGAGGAGAGTGGATGCCTGACTCCCCTAGCACCCGCAGAACAGCGCCCTGTGCTCATGAGGGTTAAATGGGGGCTCAGGTCTGCTGTGGCGTGGTGCCAGATAGGTGGTGTCATTGTTGAGTTGGACGTGGGCCATAACTGACCCCACGAACGGGTTGTCTGTTGGGGTGTTTGTTGCCATCCAAATTCTGTTGGGTTTAATACGTGTTTTTTTATCGTCAGGTTTCAGGCTTGCATCCGGCTCCAGGAGTGAGCTGTAGCCTGTGGTCTAACCCATTCCTCTTTTAATCATTGGGATGGAAAGGCTTCTAGAAGGGTTATCTGTTCCCACCGTCCTGGTTGGGCACAGTGATGAGAGCCTGTCCCCTGTCTCATGCTGCTTCAGCTCTCATGGGAGGTTGAATGGAGCAGCTGAACTTGGCTGACAGTGGCCTGGTGGGGAAGGAAGCCAGAAGATGCAGAAGGGCCTCCCCTCCCATGGGCATGCCTTCTGCCTGGTGGCTGCAGAATGAGGCCGGCTGCCTCTTTGCAGCAAGGGTAGGTCTTCTGGATGCATCTTTTCACTTTGACGCATGGCTCCGTTCTCTTCACTGACAGCCAGACCAGCTCTCATTTGGGGTCATCACCCTTGGGGTTCCAGTTCCTTTCTTCTGTAGGCCCCAGCCTGCAATGTCACCTCATAGAGAGGCCCCCGGCTGCCATGGCCTGGCATAGCTCATAGCCACTCCTTTCTTATCCTGTGCTTTCTTCGTAGTGCTGGTAAACCACAGAAGTCATCTTTGATTTTGGCATTCTTTGCTGGCAGCTGACACCAGGCTCCTGAGAGAGACGTCTTTCTCTCTTGTCTCGTGTCTGCGGCCTCTGCAGCGCTCACTGTGGAGCCTGGGCACGCAGTAAGCAGTGTTCATTGTGTGAAGGGAACTGACAGATAGAAGGCAGTGTCCTGCAGCCAGCTCTGCCCTGGGTATCTGACACTGGATGTTGTTAATACTGATGAGTGCTGGAACCTGTGGCTTGCTTTGCTGCTTTCCATGTGCAGGGACTGCAGGTTGTGGGGTTGGGGGCGTGTTGGGATTTCACTGAATCTTCACAGTAGCCCTAGGAGACAGGCCGTCCCCATTCCCAGCTGAGGAGCCTGAAGCCTTGAGACCTTGGGACCTTCAGTCATTCGCTCCACATTATTTTTTTTTTCTTTTTGTGTGTGAGACGGAGTTTTGCTTTATCGCCCAGGCTAGAGTGCAGTGGGGTGATCCCGGCTCACTGCAACCTCTGCCTCCTGGGTTCAGGCAATTCATGGTAGCACCTCAGCCTCCCAAGTAGCTGGGATTACAGGTGCTTGCCACCATGCCCGGCTAATTTTTGTATTTTTAGTAGAGATGGGGTTTCACCATGTTGGCCAGGCTGGTCTCCAACTCCTGACCTCAAGCAATCCACCTGCCTCGGCCTCCCAAAGTGCTGGGATTACAGGCGTGAGCCACTGCGTCTGGCCACATTACTTTTTAAAAAAATCTTTTTTTTCATAGAGACAGCGTCTTGCTGTGTTGTCCAGGCTGGTCTTAAGTGCTACATCGGTCTCCCAAAGTGCTGGAGTTACAGGTGTGAGCCACCACGCCCAGCCCCTACATTGCTTTTCTTGTTTTCTGATGGAAATACTCTTCTTTGCTCTGGGCTGAGGAAAGGCAGTCCCAGAGTTGGCACCCCAGAGCCCCTCTGCTGTGCCGCCCCTCAGAGGGGCTTCCCATCCCTCCAAGCACTGCTGCCTGGTGCTGGGGGCATCCTGACCATAAAGACGCCATTTTAATTGCCTAAAGATGGCAGTACGTGACTAGCTGCGATTGTAAACACCGGTTTCCTCCAAGTTCTCCCAGCGTCTGGTTAGCACAGAACCCTAAGCTCCATGCAGCTGGGAACTTCCATCTGCCAGGAATGGCATGGGGTGTCCTGTGTAGAATGCACCAGTGGGCCGGCTTTTCCCAAGAAAATGTTTTTCCGAGCCACATCCCACTGTCAACACTGTTGTGGCTTACTTGTTGGTTAGTGCAGTGATTTGGGGGAGCAGGAAGTTACAAAAGTGCCCCTCAGTTCACCCTGTTCACGGGTATCTGGAGACTGGTCGTGAAGTGATCTCTTGCTGTGGGCAATGAGAGGCAGCCTTGGCTGGGCACAGTGGTCCACGCCTGTAGTACCAGCACTTTGGAGGCTGAGATAGGTGGATTGTTTGAGACCAGCTTGGGCAACACGGAGACCCCCATCTCTACCAAAAATACAAAAATTAGCCAGGTGTGGCGGCGCATGCCTGGAGTCCCAGGAGGCGGAGGTTGCAGTAAGCCGTAGTTGCACCACCGCACTCTAGCCTGGGCAACAGAGCCAGACCCTGTCTCAAAAAAAAAAAAGAGGCAGCCTCTGCTCTGGCTGTGCATGCAGTGGGAGGGGCCCCTTGTTTCCTTTCACTCTCTCCGGGGTGCAGTGTTTAGGCAGCGTGGGGCTGAGTTGGGCAGCTAGAGCACACCCATGCCGACAGCATTGGGAGCAGCTCCAGGCACGGGCTGGGTTGGCCTTCCCCAGTGCAGCTGGGCTGGTGGTGCTGCTCCTCCTCTGGAGGCTGAAGGACCTGGGACACTCTGGTGGGTCAGCCCAGCCTCTGGCTTTGCGCACATGGCTCCAAGGGTGGGCACGCTGATCTCTTCTGTTCTTAGATATTGTGGGTCTCATCCTTGAGCTGGGAGTGGGGTGACTGCATGCTGCCTTGCTTCTCGTTGTGCAGCCTCTGAGAAGGTAGAGTAGGTCTCAAGGCCCTTCCATCATCTCCCGACCCCCACAGCGTTACCCGTTTCCTGCCCGTGGCCTGTCTTTGCCCTGCCATCCCTCAAGACCATTGTGGAGCTGCTCCTCCTTCCTGTGCCCCCTTAGGTGTGGGTCTTACTGAGTGCAGAGGGCTAACCTCTTGGCCGTCCTCCTGCGAGACAGCTCTGGATGGTTCTGTTGCCAGGGAAGGGAGGCCTGCGCATCCAGACCCCTGCCCACCATGCTGCTTAAAAGTGTCTTCAGGAGAGAACTGGGACCTGGGCTGGGCCAGAGCCTGTGGAAGGCACTGGAGCTGGGGCTGAGTTGTGGGCTGGCCAAGGTGTGTACAGGTTGCCAGGAAGGCACCGCTGCTGCCTCAGGAGGGCATGGGGGACACCCAGCCGGTTCCTTTGGCCGTCCAGCCTGCCGGCAGGAGAGGATGGCTTTCTTTTGCCTGGGGCAGGAGCACAGCTCTCTCTACCCTCCTCCCCATCCCCGCTGGGACTCGCTGGCAGCCCTGGCCCAGCCCATGCTCCGCTCTGCTTCTGACTGGGTCCCTGGGCGTGCTGATGGGTGTGAAGAGAGGGCAGTTTGGGCTGGGGGGTCATGTCGGGAATGCCTCCCTGCCTGGCCTCCCTTGCTTATCCGTGAGGAGCTCAGCCCTTAGCTCGGGAGGAGAGCAGGCCTGGGCGGTGGGGTGGTGTGCCTGTCGTTACAACATCTCCTTCCTGCCTGCAGCAGGTCAATGGCCAGCAAGGAGGGGGGTCCGAGCCGGCGGCGGCGGCGGCAGTGGTGGCAGCGGGAGACAAATGGAAACCTCCACAGGTACTGACCTTAAGCATCCTCTCCCTCAGGCCCGCCCGCCTGCCCGCCCGCCCGCCCGCCTGCCTGTGCGTCCCTGGGCCCAGAGAGGGCTGGCTGGGGGCGGGGCGGGAGGAACCTCGGGAACCCTTCTCTGCCTCTGGGCAGACAACTGCCCGCAGGACCACGGCCCTCTCCCCGCACCAGCCCTGCACCCTCCCCACCCAGGCACTGAGCTGGCCTTTGCCCTCTGCATCTGCCCTGCTCCAAGCACCAGGCGGGGCCTGTTGACAGTCTGGCTGGGCGGGGACGCCGGGGCCTGGAGCTCGCGCGTTCTTAGGCATGAGCGTCTTGCAGGAAGGGTGGGCCAAGCTTCCCAGAACTCGCAGTGCTTGAGGAGCCAGAAGGACAGATTTCATTTCAGACCTCTGTGTTTTCATTTAAATAAAACAGTGAAGCAATGCGCAAGTCAAAGCACAGGTCTGGTTGGGACTCAGCCCTCCCCATCTTTTTTCGGCCCCAGGCTCCAGAGTGGGTGCAGGTGGGTCTTGGTCTGTTCGATGGCCCAGCCTTGGGAGCAGGTCCTCTCAGAGGTGGAGCTGGGCCTGTGGCTGGGTAGTTGGGTTCTTTGTGCTTCTCCATGGTAGCGCCCGCCTCCAGAGCATTCCAGTGGGGCCTCAGCAAGGTGGCCTGGCAGCCTCTTGGGGCTGGGCCCTCCTCTTGGTCCCCCAGGCACACTCAGGGGGTGGGACTGGGACATGGTATGCAGCTTGGATCCTGGGAGATGTGGGGGCTGGTGCTCCCTGGCCCTTGGCTGGCGCCCAGCCGGCCATTGGTTGGTGGGAGAAGGGCCTTTTGTTTACCAAGACAAAGAGGAGATTGAAAAATGTCTGGGGGCTGAGGGGGTTGGCATTGATTACCATGGTGACAGCCTGCTCTCAAGTCCCAGCCTCTGGCTCTTGGGCCCTCTTTCCCACTAAGGAGGAATGGGCTTGGGGCCAGCTGTGAGGGTGGTGAGGACAGGCCTAGTGTGAGCCGGACTGGGGCACCTGGTGCTGAGGGTGGTGAGGACAGGCCTAGTGTGAGCCGGACTGGGGCACCTGGTGCTGAGGGTGGTGAAGACAGGCCTAGTGTGAGCCGGACTGGGGCACCTGGTGCTGAGGGTGATTAGGACAGGCCTGGTGTGAGCCGGACTGGGGCACCTGGTGCCACCCACAGCCAGCCTTTGACCTTCAGGGACTGGTTGGGGCTCTGGTTGCCTGGGGAGGGGTCTCCAGGGCTTCCTGCCCTTTGAGCCTGGGCCAGCATCCCAGCACTTGGCAGGCAGGAGGGGGTTCTTGGGGCTTGGGCCAGCCTGTCCCTTCCTGCCTCCTGTGTCCCTCTGTCCTTGCTCATCACTTCTGTGCTGGGGACCCTTCTCTCTTCTCTGCTGTCCCTCAAGGCTGTGTCTGGAAGTCTCGGAGGGCCCGGTTGGTGGGCCAGTGATCTTTGTGCTTGCTGAGCTGGAGGACAGGCGCAGGCATGCTGTTTGCCCATCCCACACTCTGATGGGCCTGCTAGCCATGCCTCCCTGCTCACACAGCTGCGTTCTTCCCTCTGCAAAAAGCTTAGAGATGGATTTTGACAGGAGGGACGTAAACATAATCCTGGTTGGCATCAGCTTGGGTCTGCAGTGGCTGTGACTGCCCAAGGGCCTCTTGGTCCCCAGGCCCACCTGGCTAGGGTGCCAGTGGGGTCTGCTCCTGGCTTCTCCCAGTGGGCCAGGCAAAGCCCATGCAAGAGTGTGTGGAAGTGAGCTGGAGCCCTCTTCAGGGCTTGTGTGGCCCGAGAGAGGCCTGTGTTCTCTGGGAGGTGTGCACAGTGCCTGCGGGGACGGTGGGGGGAGCACTGTTGGGAGAGAGGCCCTTGTATTAGCTCCTTGGGTGGGCCCCTTGAAACTCCAGGGAAGCTGAGCCTGTGTCTGTGGCAGGGACTGTGAGGAAGCCTGGAGGAGCCTGGGAGCAAGGAGTCCCAGAACGTCCAGAGAGCCGTGGCCCTTTTCTCCTGCCTTGGAGGACGGCTGAGGCTGGCTCTCCTGCCGGGCATGTGATAGCAGCTCTGGGGTCAGACTGACAACAAGGGGCTGGACCCCTTTTCTGCCTCCAGCTGTTTATCTTGGTGGTTCCCGAGGAGGCCACTGTGGCCTGGGCCCCACAACTGCTCGGGTTGGCCCAGGGCCTCCAGGGCACCTGCCTGCCTCAGTCTGTGTTCTACCCCATGGGTCCCGGGGGAGACAGTGGCCTGGGCTGGGGACAGCAATGTCAGAAGGGCTGGCCTGAGTACAGGCCAGGCAGGGGACAGTCTGTGCTAGGGGTGGCCCTCCTGGGGCCACGTGAAGGAGAACTTGAGCTTGCTGCTGATGGATTCCCCTGCTCCCTTACCAGGGCACAGACTCCATCAAGATGGAGAACGGGCAGAGCACAGCCGCCAAGCTGGGGCTGCCTCCCCTGACGCCCGAGCAGCAGGAGGCCCTTCAGAAGGTGAGCATGGACCTCCCAGGGCACTGCAGGTGTGGGACAGTCAACTGGGGGCAGGGGCAGGGGCGGGGTGCGGGGCAGGCCTGTCTCCCATGGGCTGGGCCCCCAGTGCTCCTCACTGCCGCCTCTCTCAGGCCAAGAAGTACGCCATGGAGCAGAGCATCAAGAGTGTGCTGGTGAAGCAGACCATCGCGCACCAGCAGCAGCAGCTCACCAACCTGCAGGTGAGCCCCGGCCGGAGCCTCTACCGCCCTCCCCACCACAGCCACCATCTCCTCCTCTTCACGCTCTTCCTCCTCCTGGGCCTGCGGCCGTCCCCGCAAGCTGTTACAGTGCTCCGATTCTCAAAGACTCATGCTCGGGACCCCCGGGGTCCTCTCTGAGGCACGAGTGGCCCAGCCTTTCCCACCTGTTGCTCGCTGGAGCCCCTAAAGCGCCGCAGCCCCTTTCTTGGCTGCTTGGCTGCAGCTCTACCCTTTTCCCCTTCCTGGTCTTCACACTGTGGCCTCTGGTCTCTCCCGTGCTCCCTGCCCCAGCTGTGCACAGCCGATGGTGGCAGCATGCAGGGCGTGGGCCTCCCTGCCCCCGTGGCCTGGATAAGACTGCTCAGGCCCTCACCCCTGCAGTGAGTCCAGACCACCTGGGCTCAGCCCCAGGACTGAGGGGACAGTCTGGAGGCACCTCCCTTGGGGCCCTGCTCCAGGCCTGTGGCCGGAGGCTGCGATACCTTCGTGGGAAGAGGCCGGTGTGAGGCCGACAGGTTCCTGGGCCTCGAGCCTCACGCCCCCCCGCCCAGCCCTCAGACATTCACGCTACCAGGAGATGTCCTGGCCATTCACTGTGCTCCACTGCCCTCCTCCCTCCCTCCCTTCCTCCCTCCCTTCCTTTCTGCCCCAGCCGGCCCAGCTGCAAGGCTGCAGGGCGGGGCACATGGGGCGCTGCGGCCCCCCTGGGCAGGTGCTGGCGGCCGGCAGTGTGGGAAGGCAGGCGGCCTCCCTGGCAGGGCGGGGACTCCGGGCCTTGCCGCTGTCTGCGTGAGGTGTTGACGAGAGCGGGAGACTGCTCGGCTCCAACAGACTGAACTCTGTCTTTACTGTCTTTCAGATGGCAGCAGTGACAATGGGCTTTGGAGATCCTCTCTCACCTTTGCAATCGGTCAATAGAAATGCTCACTTCTTCCGGGGCTCATGTCCTTAGTCAGGGCTAGAGGGGGGCAGTGCAGCCCACGTGCTGGGGACCTTGCTCCCCTGGCCGGCCCTGCCCGCCAGCTCTGGACGAGCGCAGCAGAGCGCCAGGCGTGGTGGGGCCAGTGGTGTGGGCACCCACCCGGGACCGCCCCTGGGGAGGCCTCCATCTGCTCTGAGGGCCCACCTTAAAACTAATCGGCCAGGTAACTGCGGAGGGCAGCCGGCCAGGGCGGGTAGCTGCCAGCACCAGGCCCGTCTGCGCCCACGCCACCTGCACGCACGGGGTGTGCCCACGGCCTCCAGCCCCGTCAGTCTCCAGGCTGCCTGGCTCTTGGGTTGGGGTCAGGCCCCTGAGGAGAGAGGGGTCCTAACTCATGGCCCCATCAGACCCTGGAGGGAGGATGGTTGGATGGGGTGGGGGTGGGGGGACCCAAGCGAGCAAGGGAAGGGCAAGCAGGGCCTTGTGCCTGGCTGTCAGCAAGGGGCAGAGGCCACGCAGCCAGGGCGGAGGAGGCAGGGGCCATGGCTATGGCCTTGGCTGTGGTGGGCAGAGGAGTGTGGGAAGGAGGTGTCCCTCCCTTCCCCCAGAGGCAGGCTCAGGAGGAGGCCAGGTCCCATCTCGGGGATCCTGAGGGGAAGATGTGGACCCTTCTCTGGGAGCCTCTGTTCAGAGGGGTCATCCCTGTGTGTGGCTCCCATGGGGCAACACACGCCTTGTTCTCTCTGGGAAGCATCTGAATGGGAGCCCGGGCTGGGGGTCTGGTCAGGGAGAGAGCTCTTGGCCTGCCTGGGGGTGGGGCCCCACACTGAAAAGGAGACATGGCCCTGTCTTGGGGGAACCATGACCTGAGGGACAGGCCTGGTCTCGTGTCTGGGGAGCCTGCTGAGTGAGGGGGATGTGATTCCACCTTTGGGGGGGTCTTGCTCTGAGTGGGGAGCCTGAGGTCTGTCAGGGGGCCCAGTGTGAGGAGAACACAGTCTCGTTTTCAGGGAATGCCTGGTTTGAAGGAAGATATCTCACCTTGGGAAGTCCCTTGATGTGGAGAGATGCTTCCAGGCCCCTCTCCACGGGATGGGGAGGTTCGGCCTGCATTAGGCCAGCTGATGTCTAAAGAGGGAAACTGGTCTCTGGCCACAAGGCCTTTTGTGGAGAGGGGCAGGGCCTGGCTCCAGCTGTCTGCTTTGCCTGCCCTGGCCCACAGGCTCCCTGTGGCCCACTGCGTGTGGCTCTGGAAGTCCCCTGTCTGGCATGCCTCCTGTGAGGTGACAGGGGCGAGAACCCGTCCCTGAGGGTGTGGGGAGGTCCCTCAGCGCAATAGCCAAGCTCACAGCCAAGGCCCTGGACCGGCCAGGCCTGTCACCAGCTCTAAGGAGCCTGGGGGCTTCTCGTAGGGTCTCTGCTACCTCATGGTGCCCCCGGGGGCCAGGCCAGTGGTCTCGCCTGGGCCCGCTCTCTCGGCTGGGGGCACAGGCTCCAGGCAGCTCCTTTGTGAGGAGTTGCAGGGCACTGGGAAGGCACAGCATGAGCCCCCACCTGAGTTGGCCCAGCATGAGCAGCTGCTCCTCGTTCTCTCTTCAGGGAGCCCCCATCTGGCTCCTGAGCTCCTCCCCTGGGGTCTCTTCTGGGCAGTGGCTGCCCTGTCTTCTGACCTCCTCTCTTCTGGCCACCAAACCAGTGGGTCCCTCCAGCTTGGATGGTTCCTCCTTCCCTCTTCTGTCGTGGTCCTTGGCTGGGACAGTGGGAGGATCTCCCAGCCCAGCCTGGGATACCCAGCCCCCAGACTGGAGGGGTGGTCTGGGTGGGAGGGCGCACAGCCCTGCCTCCTGACCATCTGTCGGCTTTGCTGCCGCAGTCTGCCTGGGACCTTGGCGGGCTGGGGTGCGTCCTGTCCTGCCGCTGGGCCTGGCCTTCCTTCTTTGGGTGGCGGGGTCCTGCGACCCCCACACTATGACTGCAGGGATGGAGCCCGCACCTCCCTGTCATGTGGGGAGCCCTCCCCACAGCAGGGCTGGGTGGGTGGGCCAGGAGGGGAGTGGGCTGCCCAGCTTCCTGCCGCCCCTGACGAGCCAGCGGTTCTCTCCCCTCTGTCCTGCTGCAGATGGCGGCTCAGCGGCAGCGGGCGCTGGCCATCATGTGCCGCGTCTACGTGGGCTCTATCTACTATGAGCTGGGGGAGGACACCATCCGCCAGGCCTTTGCCCCCTTTGGCCCCATCAAGAGCATCGACATGTCCTGGGACTCCGTCACCATGAAGCACAAGGTCAGCAGGCTTGGTCCGCCCCGGCCACTTCGGGCTCGCCCCCACCCCTGGGCTCGCGCAGCCTGACAGGTGTGTCCCTGTGTCTAGGGCTTTGCCTTCGTGGAGTATGAGGTCCCCGAAGCTGCACAGCTGGCCTTGGAGCAGATGAACTCGGTGATGCTGGGGGGCAGGAACATCAAGGTGAGGCAGGGAGCCAAGGCCTCGATCCCGCAGGCGTGCAGGGCTGCCCCTCCACGGAAGCCTTTTGTGGCCGGGCCTGGGTTGACCGGTCTTTCCATCTCACCGCCTCTTCCCCAGGTGGGCAGACCCAGCAACATAGGGCAGGCCCAGCCCATCATAGACCAGTTGGCTGAGGAGGCACGGGCCTTCAACCGCATCTACGTGGCCTCTGTGCACCAGGACCTCTCAGACGATGACATCAAGAGCGTGTTTGAGGCCTTTGGCAAGATCAAGTCCTGCACACTGGCCCGGGACCCCACAACTGGCAAGCACAAGGGCTACGGCTTCATTGGTGAGCTGGGGTGGCTGAGGCGGGATGGGGGCCACCTGAGGCTGGGGCTGGCCCTGCTCACTGCTGCTCCTGCCCACAGAGTACGAGAAGGCCCAGTCGTCCCAAGATGCTGTGTCTTCCATGAACCTCTTTGACCTGGGTGGCCAGTACTTGCGGGTGGGCAAGGCTGTCACACCGCCCATGCCCCTACTCACACCAGCCACGCCTGGAGGCCTCCCACCTGCCGCTGCTGTGGCAGCTGCTGCAGCCACTGCCAAGATCACAGCTCAGGTGAGGGCCCACACAGCTGTCGGCTTGAGGGTGGGCGGGCTGGCCCCTGATTCCTTGGAGACTGATTCAAGGTGGTCTTGAGTAGCCAGACCAGGGACTGAGCACGGTGACCTTTTGGGTTGCAGGAAGCAGTGGCCGGAGCAGCGGTGCTGGGTACCCTGGGCACACCTGGACTGGTGTCCCCAGCACTGACCCTGGCCCAGCCCCTGGGCACTTTGCCCCAGGCTGTCATGGCTGCCCAGGCACCTGGAGTCATCACAGGTGAGTCTTAAGTGGTACCAGATCCTCTCCTCTCCTGTCCTGGCATCTCTCGGCTCGCTGCCCTCAGCTGCCTGGCCCTGGTGGTCTGGGCACAACCCTCTGAGCCCAGGGCAGGCCAGCTCTGTGCCTTTCTGGGAAGGGGGGTGGTAGGGAGTGACTGATGGACCTGGTTGGTTTTCCTGCAGGTGTGACCCCAGCCCGTCCTCCTATCCCGGTCACCATCCCCTCGGTGGGAGTGGTGAACCCCATCCTGGCCAGCCCTCCAACGCTGGGTCTCCTGGAGCCCAAGAAGGAGAAGGAAGAAGAGGAGCTGTTTCCCGAGTCAGAGCGGCCAGAGATGCTGAGCGAGCAGGAGCACATGAGCATCTCGGGCAGTAGCGCCCGACACATGGTGATGCAGAAGCTGCTCCGCAAGCAGGAGGTAGGCAGAGGGGCAGGGTGGTGGCGGGGGAGAGGGTAGGGGGGCGGGGCCGCAGTGCTCAGCTGTCTTCCCCTCGGCCCTGCCCCACAGTCTACAGTGATGGTTCTGCGCAACATGGTGGACCCCAAGGACATCGATGATGACCTGGAAGGGGAGGTGACAGAGGAGTGTGGCAAGTTCGGGGCCGTGAACCGCGTCATCATCTACCAAGAGAAACAAGGCGAGGAGGAGGATGCAGAAATCATTGTCAAGATCTTTGTGGAGTTTTCCATAGCCTCTGAGACTCATAAGGCCATCCAGGCCCTCAATGGCCGCTGGTTTGCTGGCCGCAAGGTGGTGGCTGAAGTGTACGACCAGGAGCGTTTTGATAACAGTGACCTCTCTGCGTGACAGTGGTCCCTCTCCCCGGACTTGCACTTGTTCCTTGTTTCCTCTGGGTTTTATAGTGATACAGTGGTGTCCCCGGGGCCAGGCGCGCTCTGCCCAGCCCAGCCTACAGTGCGGATAAAGGTGCGGATGCTGCTGGCCCTGAACGTCCGTGTGTCTGCCGTCGGTCCTGTCACCGATCCTGGGCGTGTGTCCTTAGGGGGTCTAGGGCGAGGAGGCAGGGTTGGGGGGGTCTCTGGACCTGCTTCCTGTTGGCAGGAGGGGCCTGCCGTGGGCGAGACCTGGGCAGGGGGTTGGCGCCCCGGGCCCCGTCCCGCGGGTGGCGGCGGCTGGGTGGGCGGGGCTGCCTGGGGCGCCAGGCTCTCGCGCGCGGGCTCGCAGCCGTCCCCGCAGGGTGGTGCTGAGAGAAGGCTGGGCACCGGGACACCGCGACCCGCTGGACAGCGCGCGCTGCCAGTGCTTTTGTGCCGCAGAGCCGGCCGTCCAAGGCGGGCGGGCGGGCATGGTCGCTTCCCGGGAGGAGGCTGTGCGTTAAGATTCGTGGCCAAATGCCGCGGGGCCAGGGGCCGGGCTGAAGACCGGAGGGCGGAGGGCGCCGCCTCTCGTGGATTGTAGCTCCCAATATCCCGCGCGCGGGGCGGGCCCGGCTTCCCGGCACGCTTTGCGCGGTGCCGCTACGGGTCCTCAGAGGCGGCGGCGCGCGGGGCCTTCTGGGGGCCGCAGTCCGGGCGTGCTAGGCGGCGAGGGCCGGACTCGGCTTCCCGACGGGCTGCGCGGCGGCCGGGTGGGTGTCGGCGGGGCAGTCCGGCGGGCAGCGGCGGTTCCGGTGCGGCACAGCGGGCGGACGAGCGGGCGGGACGAGCTGAGCAGGACCAAGCGGGATGCGGAGCCGCCGCCGCCGCCGCTCCCCGCGCTTCCTAAGAGTCTGAGACCCGCCGGGCCGCGCCCCCTGCCCAGGCCCGCAGTCCGAGCGTTCCGAGCGCGGGCCGGGCCCAGCGCCGGCCGCGGCCGCGTCCCCGTCCAGTCTCGGGCGGCCCGCCCCCTGCCTGCGCCCCCTCCCCATGCGCGGCGCCCATGCGGACTGAGCCCCGCCCCCCGGCCCCGAGCCCGCCGAGCGCCGCCGCCGGAGCCCGCGCCGCCCACCCGCACCATGCTCAAGTGCATCCCGCTGTGGCGCTGCAACCGGCACGTGGAGTCGGTGGACAAGCGGCACTGTTCGCTGCAGGCCGTGCCGGAGGAGATCTACCGCTACAGCCGCAGCCTGGAGGAGCTGCTGCTCGACGCCAACCAGCTGCGCGAGCTGCCCAAGGTGAGCGGCCGCCCGCACCTGCCGCCCAAAGGCGCGCCCCCAGCCCGTGATTCCTCCGGCGGCAGAATCTGCCCGGGCGAGTCACCGCAGCCTCCAGCCGGCCCTGCTGGTTTGCACTGGCCAGGTCCCCACCCCAGCCAGCCCCACCCTTCTCTTCCAGCCGCCCTGGCTGGCGCAGGTGGCAGCGGTCATCAGGTGCTTGCCTGGGGATAGCGATTGTCACCGAGCCTGGAGGCGGAGCCTCAGAGTGAAACCCGTGGGGATTCAGGGAGGTGGATGGGGTTAGGGTGGAACTTGGATTCAGGTGGCTGATGAGTACTAGCTTCTTGGGCCGCTCTGGAGGTGGGTCCAGACCTCCTCTCCTTTTTTGCTGGGTGCAGGGGTGAGTGGGGGAGCCCTCTTGATGTACTCTTTGCTCTCGGATCTGTTCGCTGTCCCCCTTTCTTTACCCTTGCTTCTCGTGGTCAGGTGCTCTCCTAAGGCTGCTACAAGAAAGGAGGCTGGAGAAAGCAGATTAAAAAGTATTTCTTTTCTGGAGATGGGGTGCTGGGTGATCAGTACCTAGGGGTTGGGTGTCCCAAAGAATGTGACCCTGTTCTGGCCGTGGCAGTGACAGCTCGGTCCTCTGTGGCCACCTGCAGGCCTCGCGCGTAGCACTGTGCCTGTGGTACTGTGTTATTGTGGGGAGCGTTTACTGAGTTCTTGCTGCAGAACCAGGCCAGGCTTGTTGTCAGGATGCAGTAGCAGAGGCCAGTGTGGGCCCCTGGAGGGTGGCAGAAGTGGTTCAGGGGCTGGGTGGGCCCTGAGGTAAGACACAGGGTAGGGGATTGGGGCTTTGTCTGGTCGCCAGCAGGTGTCTTCTCAGAGTGGAGGCTGGTGTGAAGAGTAGAGGGAGGCAGCCACAGTGGGCGTGTGTACCGTGTGTTTCTTTCCTTTTTTTGCAAATGGGGTGTCGTGGTTAGACCCCAGGACCCGGTGTGACCTGGAGCAGACAGAGGCCTAGGGACTCTTGACTTGTGACACTCACGTGTCCAGGAGCTCTTCTCTGCTCTGCAGTGGTCTCTGCCACAGAGTCCGTGTCCTCCCTGCCCACAGCCTTTTTTCCGGCTGCTGAACTTGCGCAAGCTGGGCCTGAGCGACAACGAGATCCAGCGGTTGCCTCCCGAGGTGGCCAACTTCATGCAGCTGGTGGAGCTGGACGTGTCCCGGAACGGTGGGGAGCCTGGGCAGGGGCTGGGTGGGGTCTGGGGAGTGTCCGCTGGGGCTGCAGACGGCCTGCAGGCCATGGCATCTGTCCACTGTGACCCTCTGTGACAGATATCCCTGAGATCCCGGAGAGCATCAAGTTCTGCAAGGCTCTGGAGATCGCGGACTTCAGCGGGAACCCCCTCTCCAGGTGGGTGGCAGCCTGTGGTGGGGTCGGTAGGGGCTATGGGTCCCACAGCCCTGGACTGGTCATCCGAGGGCCTCTGCTTCCTCCCATCCAGGCTCCCTGATGGCTTCACTCAGCTGCGCAGCCTGGCTCACCTGGCCCTGAATGATGTGTCTCTGCAGGCACTGCCCGGGGACGTGGGCAAGTGAGTGCCTTCTCAGGTGGAACTAGGGTGGGGTGGGGGACCAGGATTGGCCCTGCCCCTGCTGCCACTGCTTTCCTTCCTCTTGCCCCAGCGCCTGGTCTCTCTTTCAGCCTCGCCAACCTGGTGACCCTGGAGCTCCGGGAGAACCTGCTCAAGTCCCTGCCAGCGTGAGTGTGACAGGCATTCTCCTAACAGCCAGGGCAGGGCCACAGCCCAGGGACCAGGGCTGCGTGGCCACACCTCCACCCTGCTTCCTCTGCAGGTCCCTGTCATTTCTGGTCAAGCTGGAACAGCTGGATCTGGGAGGCAACGATCTGGAAGTGCTGGTGCGTGGAGGCCTGACAGGGCAGAGACCGGAGGGCGGGCCACGGAAGCAAGGGCAAAGAAGGGGACAGCGAGCAGATCCGACAGCAAGGGGCACCTCGGGAGGGCAGGCGGGTGGGAGCTGGGTGTGGGGGCGTATAGTCTCTTGAGCACGGCGCAGCAGGAGGCTTTGCCTCATAGTCACTATTTTCTCTGTTCCTTCTTGCAGCCAGACACTCTGGGGGCTCTGCCCAATCTTCGGGAGCTGTGGCTTGACCGGAACCAGCTGTCAGCACTGCCCCCGGTGAGTCAGGGTGGGGCTGGCCCCCTGCTTCGTGCCCATCCGCGCTCTGACTCTCTGCCCACCTGCAGGAGCTCGGGAACCTGCGGCGCCTGGTGTGCCTGGACGTGTCGGAAAACCGGCTGGAGGAGCTGCCTGCTGAGCTCGGCGGGCTGGTGCTGCTCACTGACCTGCTGCTGTCCCAGAACCTGCTGCGGAGGCTGCCCGACGGCATCGGTTAGTGTGCCTGGGGGTGCCTGGGTGGGGCACACGGAGCCTGGCCCTGGGAGGAGCGTGGGGCGTCGGGGCTGTGTGTGGTGTGGAACACAGGGGAGGATCCTGAGTGTGCCCAGGCTCTGGGAGCTGTCCCTGGGGAGGGGAGGTGGGACCCTGGGGCAGCCCAGAAGGCTGAGGAGGCAGCTGGTGGTGCTGGAGGGGGCGGTGGAGTCTGTGAGGGCGGAAGGGTGGCAGTGCCACTGGGGCCTGGTGTTTTCTTGAAGGAGGTTGGGTCAGGCTTGTGGGGCAAGGTAGGTAGGGTCCTCCCGAAGTACGGCGGCGGCAGAAGGGGCTGGGGGCCTTGCTGTCTGCCTTGAGGGCGCTTCTGGCCAGGTGGGTAAGGCACGTCTGGGGACCATGCTCAGCCTTGTCCCCCTGTCTCCCCGACGCCAGGTCAGCTGAAGCAGCTATCCATCCTAAAGGTAGACCAGAATCGGCTGTGCGAGGTGACCGAGGCCATCGGGGACTGTGAGAACCTCTCTGAGCTGATCCTCACGGAGAACCTGCTGATGGTAGGGTCTGGCTTGGGAGGCAGAAAGGATGGGGCCGTCGGGGGTGCAGAACAAGGACAGGGCATCAGCCTGTGTCTGCTGCTGGGGGGTGCTGGTGGCAGCCTGACGTGGAGCCACTCAGGAAGGGCTCTTCTCTTGTCAGAGGGGGAGCATGCTGGCCGGAGGTGAGGCGGGGCAGTGAGGCCAGGGCAGGGGCCTTTGCCGTTTACCGTGAAGAATCTAGGTCTCGTGTTTATCGCTGTATGTTGTAACACTGGGGAGCGGTTACAGAAGAGGCAGGAATGGGAACTTATTTGTCTGTAGGGAAGACAGATGGAGAGCAGGCTGCTCCCCAGGGGCGTCTGCCTGCCCCTCACAAAGCAGGGCAAGCTGAGGCACCAGGCCACGGTTCGGGACGGTGGTGTTGCTATCCCCATCCCCAGGCTGGGAAACAGGAGCTAGCTGTGGGGAGGGTGTTCATGGGAGTTTCCGGGGGGGTTCCTCACTGGGGAGATGGAGAAAGGGACTCTGGGGTTCAGGGCCCTGGGAAGGGGCTGGCCCTGAGCAGGCAGGCTGGAACTGGGGGCCTGGGGAGCCCTAGGGATGACAGGGCAGACCAGTGGGGCACCAGACAGGCTCACAGGGCGCAGCCTCGCAGGTCAGTCCAGGGCACCCATGGGAGAGGGTCAGGGATGACCTGGTGGGGTGTTTTGGTGGTGGGGACTGAAGGCTGAGGGCAGTGGGCAGAGCTTGGGGAGCAGAGGGCACGAAGTGGGGTGGAGACAGCTTCTGTGGTCAGGTCCTTGTCCCGGTCTCCAGGGGCTGTGAGGGACCCTGGCTGGAGCTGGCCTGGGGTGTCTGTGCCCTCCTGCCAGGGGCTGTCATCTCCTTCCCACCCCCAGCAAGCCCCTAGCGTCCTCTGACCTCCTCTTCTTGGCCAGGCCCTGCCCCGCTCCCTGGGAAAGCTGACTAAGCTGACCAACCTCAACGTGGACCGGAACCACCTCGAGGCGCTGCCGCCCGAGATCGGGGGCTGTGTGGCACTCAGCGTCCTCTCCTTGAGGGACAACCGCCTGGCCGTCCTGCCACCAGAGCTGGCCCACACGACAGAGCTGCACGTGCTGGACGTGGCGGGGAACCGGTGAGTGCCAGCCTTGCCCTGCGGGCCTAACCGTGGCCCCAACGCCTGCTGACTGTGCCCGCCCGGCCCGCAGCCTGCAGAGTCTGCCGTTCGCGCTCACCCACCTCAATCTCAAGGCCCTGTGGCTGGCAGAGAACCAGGCGCAGCCCATGCTCCGGTTCCAGACGGAGGATGATGCCCGGACCGGCGAGAAGGTGCTCACCTGCTACTTGCTGCCCCAGCAGCCCCCACCCAGCCTCGGTAGGTTGTTGGCAACCGGTGCTTAGCGCGGGGTGGCTCTCAGGCAGGGTTTGGGGACTAGCCTGGGTCCTGACGCTCACCTGCTGCAGAGGATGCTGGGCAGCAGGGGAGCCTCTCGGAGACCTGGAGCGATGCCCCGCCGAGCCGCGTCAGCGTCATCCAGTTCCTGGAGGCCCCCATAGGTGATGAGGACGCTGAGGAAGCTGCAGCTGAGAAGCGGGTATGAGGGTGAGGATCTGGGGGGCGAACCTCTGCCTGACCCCTGCCCTGTGGCTGCTGCTCATCCTTGTCCCTACAACAGGGCCTACAGCGCCGGGCCACACCTCACCCCAGCGAGCTCAAGGTGATGAAGAGGAGCATCGAGGGGCGGCGGAGCGAGGCCTGCCCTTGCCAGCCAGACTCTGGGTCGCCCTTGCCTGCAGAGGAGGTGGGCATGGAGCCACGGCAACCTGGCGGGCCGCTGACCCGGGAGCTGTGGTGGTCCGGTCCATCCTGGGAGTGGGGCTGTGAGGGCCAGGGCAGCACAGAGAAGGAGCAGGAGATGAGGCTGGTGACAGGTTTCAGGGACATGGAGCTGCAGGGCCAGCTGGGTGAAGGGTGCCAGGGTGGACGTGTGGGTCGTGCAGGGCGGGTCTGTGGGGCTGGAGTATGGGGAGAACCAGTGGTGGGTGTGCCTGGGAGCACAGGGAATGGGGTTTGGTTGTGGGGTAGGGTCTCTGGTGGAACTGCCGTGGGTGTCATCGGCACCTGGGAAGGGGTTTGGGACTGGGACAGAGCAGGCCTGACTGTTCTCACTCAGAGCTGTGACATGCGTGCTGTGGGTTTTTGGGTGCAGCAGAACCAGTGATCTGGGCTGGGGTAGGGTGTGTGGGGCCGTGCATGGGAGGGGAGGAGGTTCATATCACGCTGGGATTTTCCTGGGAACTTGTGTGGTCCTTGTTTGTTTTAGGAAAGGCTTTCCTTGGGGCTGGGCTGTGGAACCGTGGCTTTGTCCACCCTAGGCTTTGGAGGCGTGTGGCTTCCTTGCAGGCTGGGACAGGGAGCAGCTGCGAGGGCGTGAGCCCGTTAACGGTGCCTGGTCGGGGCAGCGGGAAGCTCAGGGAAGGCCTGCCACGTGGGGGGCATCCCAGGTGGCCAGCCTGTGAGTCGGGAGCTCCGTCGAAGCCTGACCCCACTTCCCGCCGCAGGAGAAGCGGCTGAGTGCCGAGTCTGGCCTGAGTGAAGACTCTCGCCCATCTGCCAGCACAGTCTCTGAGGCTGAGCCCGAGGGCCCGTCGGCTGAGGCACAGGGTGGGAGCCAGCAGGAAGCCACGACTGCTGGCGGGGAGGAAGACGCCGAAGAGGACTACCAGGAGGTGTGGATTGGCAGGAAGGAGGCAGGAGGCTGGGCCTGCTGGGTGGGGGCTGCCTCCCCTGCGGGGCCTCAGCTGGGATCGGTTTTGGTGCAGGCAGTGCCTGGGCCCTGCTGATGCTTCGGGGAGCTGCCCTGTACAGAGTGGCTACGGGTGGTGCAGGGCCGTGCTGCTGGGGGTGCCCTGGAGAGCTGCCTCCCTAGGTGGGGTTAAGGTCTCCCCTGACGGCTGGGCTCACAGAGCCCACCCCCACCCTGGACTCTCTTCTGACCCCCGTGGGCTCCCTGGTGTGAGGCCTTGGCGCACCCCTTCGTTTCCACCTGGGGCGCTGCGTGTCTCCAGGATGAGCCCCTGGCCTTCAGCTTTTCTCAGGGCTGAGACACGCGCCCCTCACTGGGCAGTTAGTGCTGAGTCTTTGTGTGGCGGGGAGGCTTTCGGAGCCCGTCTGTGGCCACACTGTTTAGTAGGGTCTTCCTGTGGAAGCACAGCCACAGAGCTGGGGCCACCCTCACCCTTTTGTCCGCACAGCCCACGGTGCATTTCGCAGAGGACGCACTGCTGCCCGGGGATGACAGGGAGATCGAGGAGGGGCAGCCTGAGGCCCCCTGGACCCTGCCAGGCGGGAGGCAGCGGCTCATCCGCAAGGACACACCTCACTACAAAAAGCACTTCAAGATCTCCAAGCTGCCCCAGCCCGAGGCCGTTGTGGCTCTGCTGCAGGGCATGCAGCCTGATGGGGAGGGCCCTGTGGCTCCCGGGGGCTGGCACAATGGCCCCCACGCACCCTGGGCTCCTCGGGCCCAGAAGGAGGAGGAGGAGGAGGAAGAGGGTAGTCCTCAGGAGGAGGAGGAAGAGGAGGAGGAGGAAAACAGGGCTGAAGAGGAAGAGGCCAGCACTGAGGAGGAGGACAAGGAGGGGGCCGTGGTTTCTGCGCCCTCTGTCAAGGTTGGTGTCAGCCTCACCCCTGCCTGACCCAGATTCCCCTGGCCCTCCTGGGCACCCAGGGCTGCGGCAGGAGCAGGGCCGAGGCCTGACCCACTGGCCCCTGGCCACCCGGAGAAGGTGGTGGACACGTGTGCTCCACAGTCGGCATCACGGCCACTCTCACCAGACCCCAGGCCTGCCCTGGCATTGGTCTCAGTCCATGCTTGGACTCCAGGCCTGCCCTGGCGTTGGTCTCAGTCCATGCTTGGACCCCAGGCCTGCCCTGGCGTTGGTCTCAGTCCATGCTTGGACCCCAGGCCTGCCCTGGCGTTGGTCTCAGTGCCAGAGGCAGCTCTGCTGGCCAGTATTTGCCCGACCTGCTGGCGGGCACGGAGTTCACAGAAGTCAAGCATGGCTGCCCACTCTTTGTGGGTCTCCAGGGCCTGTCTACATGTGTCGTGGTCCCAGGGCAGGGTCTGTTCCTCTCCCAAGATCACTGGGCTCTCCTGGGATCCTCTCTTGTGTTGGGCACTGCAGGCCCGAGGCCCTGATGGCTCTTTTCTGCCTTGTCGGGCCCTCCTGAGGTGCCACACAGGCCTTCGGGGCACCAGTGTGTCCCTCCCTGGCCCTCAAGTCTCCTCTCCATGGGTCACAAAGGGTCTCACCTGCTCTCTGGGCAAACTCAGATTCCAGGGGGAGTCCCCGGGTCTCACTATCCCTGCCCTTGATGACACTCTGACCCTGAGTGTGGGCCAGTGGCATGATAGCTGAGGGGGCCCGGAGGGGCCACAGCAGGGACAGCCCGGTGGGACTCTGCTCAGCTCTGGAGCCCCGCTTGTCCCCAGGTGTGTGGTGTCACTCACGCCTCCAGGATGGAGGCGCCCGTGCCAGGGCAGTCGAGGGAGCTTGCTGTGGTCTCCTCTGTCCTTTCTGCTTGTGGCGGGGGCTGGGTGAGGCGGTGGTGGTGGTCTTGGCGGTGGCTAACCTGCATGCCTCACTGGTCCTGTCCTAACAGGGAGTGTCGTTTGACCAGGCCAATAACCTGCTGATAGAGCCTGCTCGCATTGAGGAGGAAGAGGTCTGTACTGCTCGCTCTGCACTCTGGCCGGGCCGCTGCTGGCCTTGCTTCCCGGGCTGTGGGCTCACGCCTCTCCCCGCCCCTGTTGCTTGAGCGCAGATCCCTCTCAAAAGAGCTCTCAGATCCAGCTGGGCTCCAGGATCAGGACACCTCCTGCCTGGGGCAGCCCGTCTTGGCAGGGGTGAGCGGAGAGGCTGGTCCAGCTCCCATCAGCCGCCTGTGGTGCTCTGAGCCTTACCTGCCTGCGGAGGCAGCGCAGTCCTCACTCGAGGGTGGCAGGGGGGCCTCGGGCCACCATCACCTGGAGGTGGGCAAGCCCCAGCCCACCACGCTCTGCAGAGCAGTGCCCTCCTGCTGGGGTCTTGGGGCTTCTCCAGCTGGCGTCTGGGCTGGCCCTGGCTGGTGAGTGGCATGAGGCCCCATTCAGCTGCCTAGAGAAAAGCCAGAAATGGCATCTGCGTGCTGGTGGGGTCTCCTGCAGAGAGCACAGGCAGCCCCACTGCGGCCCTTCTAGACACCCTGTCTGTTCTGTTTCCAGCTGACCCTCACTATCCTGCGGCAGACTGGGGGCCTGGGCATCAGCATTGCGGGCGGCAAGGGCTCCACACCCTATAAGGGGGACGACGAGGTGAGCACTGCCTAGGAGGGCCTTTCCGCTGCCACTGGCCTGCCCCACCACAGTTCACACTGATGGCACACAGGCCCCTTGCCCTGAGAACACTCACACGCTCTGGGGACACGGGCTGGGCCCAAGGCACCTACTGTTGTGGGATCCCGAAGTCCAAGAGCAACCTGAGGGTGCCTGGGTCTGTCTTCCCTTCACAGCCCTCCTTCTCTCACCAGCTGCCTGTGCACCAGGCCTGGGGCCACGAGCCCTTTCTCGGGGCTGACGTGCTCCTTCTAACCCCCTGGCACTCAGGATCCCACAGTGGCTAGAGCTCAGTCCTCCTGCTGGCCAGGGCTAGGGGCTGCTGGGAGTGGGTCTTCCCCTCCTGGGTCTTCTGCAGAAGGAGCAGGAATGCGGGCCCGTCTCCCTGGCCCCTGCCAAGCTCGTGTCTGTGCCCTAGGGCATATTCATCTCTCGGGTGTCCGAGGAAGGCCCTGCGGCCCGGGCTGGAGTCCGTGTGGGTGACAAGCTCCTGGAGGTGAGTCGGCAACCTCTCCGCCCCGAGTGGCAGCTGTGCCCTCTGGAGGTACATGGTCCCTGGTATTAGGGTGCTTGGCTGCCTTCTCCCGGCCTCCCCAAGAGTTCCAAGCACAGGACACCCAGACTTCCGGGTGAAGCCACGGAACCTGTAAACCCCAGGAGAGAATCACCTGGGCAAGTGCCACCTGGGCTTTCCGTTGTCACCCTGGCTCCCATCCAGCGCCCTGATTGCTCATCTTTGTTCTGTGGGTACAGGTGTGTTTTTCTACCAGTGGGTAGGGCAGCAGCTGCACCTGGCACAGTGGCCTCTCCAGGAGGGGCCGCTCCTGGGCTGACCGAGAGGGGTCAGGCTACTGGCAGGTCTGGTGGGGTTTGGACCCTGTATGGGAGTCCTGGAGCCTCCACCTGGACACCTAGCTGTTCAGCCGGGGCACGGGCATCCGGGGGCTCTGAAGAGGCATGCGCCCTTCTTGTAGGGACACACTGAGGGCAGGTGAGGGCCCTGAAGCCCAGCCAGGAGGCGTCTGCCCAGGGCTCATATGCTGCGTCTGCTGCTCAGCTCTCCTGACCTTTGCGTGGGAACTGCTGCTCCTGGGTGTTGGGGTGGGGGTGTGGGTCAGTAACCCAGCGACCTTAGGTGTGTGTTGGGCTGTGCAGATGGGCCGGAGGTATCCAGGAGCGGGGCCATGTGTGGCCTGGCCGTGGGGGCATCTGCTTGCCTCCCGTGGCCAGTGTGTGTCCTGGCCCTAGGGCTTCCCACACCGGGTTTCAGAGGACCTGGTAGGGGAGGGGTCGGTGCCCACGAGGAACCTTGTGGCTAAAGGTCTCGGGTGATGTCAGCGCCTGGGGCCTTTCCCCTCGCCCTGTGCCTCAGTCTCCCCATCCTGGAGGGAGCGTGTGGAGCCCCCAGCACGTGGCTGTCTGTGGCGGCACTGGGTCCTGAATACGCACGTGGTCCCTGGCCCGCAGGTGAATGGTGTGGCTCTGCAGGGCGCCGAGCACCACGAGGCCGTGGAGGCGCTCCGGGGGGCCGGCACTGCCGTGCAGATGCGAGTGTGGCGGGAGCGCATGGTGGAGCCTGAGAACGCGGTCACCATCACGCCGCTGCGGCCCGAGGATGATTACAGCCCCCGAGAGCGGCGGGGAGGGGGGCTGCGCCTGCCCCTGCTCCCGCCTGAGAGCCCCGGGCCCCTCCGTCAGCGCCACGTGGCCTGCCTGGCACGCAGCGAGAGGGGGCTGGGCTTCAGCATTGCTGGTGGGAAAGGCTCCACACCCTACAGGGCTGGTGATGCGGTGAGGCTGGGGCCCAGGGCCGGGGAGGGCTGCTCTAGAGCTGACAGCCGCACTCCAGCCTCACCGGCAGCCCTGCCTCCTCCACCCTCCCCTGCAGGGCATCTTCGTCTCCCGCATTGCCGAGGGCGGTGCTGCTCACCGCGCGGGCACACTGCAGGTTGGCGACCGCGTCCTCTCTGTGAGTGGGGATGGGGCCCCGCCCCACCCACCCATCCCCCCTGCCCCGCCCCGCGCCCTCTGTCCCCTTCTGCCCTTGGGCCTCCCTGATTCGGGCACGCTCTCACAGATTAATGGAGTGGACGTGACTGAGGCCAGGCATGACCACGCCGTCTCCCTGCTGACCGCTGCCTCCCCCACCATCGCCCTGCTGTTGGAGCGGGAGGCTGGGGGCCCTCTTCCTCCCAGCCCTCTGCCACATTCCTCACCCCCCACCGCTGCTGTTGCCACCACCAGCATAACCACTGCCACCCCCGGGGTGCCTGGGTTGCCGAGCCTGGCCCCCAGCCTGCTGGCTGCCGCGTTGGAAGGGCCATACCCAGTGGAGGTGAGACACAAGCCCCCACCCAGGCACCCACCCAGCTTCAGCTGTGGGCACTGGCCTTCCCAGGACCTGCTCTCTTATGGCCTTGCGGCCCACTCCAGGTGGGAAGCCGGCCTGCTCGCCCTTTCCCCTGCAGCTCCTTGAGGCTGGGGCTCTGCCCCACAGCCAGACTCCTCAGTATGGTCCCCTTGACACAGTCTCCTGGCTGGCCACATGGCCACAGTCAGCGAGGATATTGTCCTCACGCTGCGTGCCTGCCTGGGCAGCAGAACACTGGTGGCGCAGAAATCCCCGTGGGCATTAGGGCAGCCCCCGCCCGCCATCCCCAAGGACCGGGACGGACTCTTGGGAGCCCTCCCACACCCTTTCCCTGTCCTGACCGAGGCCTGTCCTTGTCCCGCCCTAAATCCCCAGGAGATCCGTCTGCCAAGAGCTGGGGGCCCTCTGGGGCTTAGTATTGTCGGAGGCTCCGACCATTCCAGCCACCCGTTTGGTGTCCAGGAGCCTGGTGTGTTCATCTCCAAGGTAGGGCGGCCCATCCAGGCGGTTCTGTGAGAGGTGCACCCATCCCAGGTACCAGCGCAGGTCAGCGCGGCCTCAGCCACCAGCTGCCACCCTCCTCCCTGACAGGTGCTCCCGCGGGGCCTGGCCGCTCGCAGCGGCCTGCGGGTTGGGGACCGCATCCTGGCAGTGAACGGGCAAGACGTGCGGGATGCCACGCACCAAGAAGCAGTCAGTGCCCTGCTCCGGCCCTGCCTGGAGCTGTCGCTGCTGGTGCGGAGGGACCCGGCACCCCCGGGCCTACGGGAACTGTGCATCCAGAAGGCACCTGGGGAGAGGCTGGGCATCAGCATCCGCGGGGGTGCCAGGGGCCACGCTGGCAACCCCCGCGACCCCACAGACGAGGGCATCTTCATCTCCAAGGTGAGCCCCCCCCACCCCAGCCCGCCCTGGGCCCCACCCCCCAACAGGTCTCTCCCATACCACGTCTCCCCACAGGTGAGCCCCACGGGGGCAGCCGGGCGCGACGGTCGGCTGCGTGTGGGTTTGCGGCTGTTGGAGGTGAACCAGCAGAGCCTGCTGGGCCTGACGCACGGCGAGGCGGTGCAGCTGCTCCGCAGTGTGGGCGACACCCTCACCGTGCTGGTCTGTGACGGCTTTGAGGCCAGCACCGACGCAGCCCTGGAGGTTAGCGATCCCGCCCCGGGGACCGGGCCTCCCTCTGGCCCAGCCCAAGGTGTTGTGAGCCGCTGACACCTCTCGGGGCAGGCGACGGGTCCCCTGTGCCTCTGGGTCTGGGCGGTGCTCTGCGGCTCTGCATCAGCCGTGCGGGCTGGGGAGCTGTGGGCGGAGGGCCCTGCCTTCCCTTTCTGCTGAGCTCCGGCTCATCGAGCTGTCCAGAGGCCCAGTCCAAGTAGGACGAGGCACGTGAACGGATGGTGGGAGGGGCGTGTGTTTGGGACGCACTACGTGGTCTGGTCCTAAAAGAAGCTGAGCACTGGTGACTCCTGCAGAGTCCCATCAGGCTGCTAAGGGATGACTCCAAGCCCTGCCCAAAGCCCACCAGCCAGGCAGACGCCTTGGGATGCTGAGGGTCCCCGCTCCTGTGCCTAGTGGCACCTTGCTCCTCTCAGCCCATCCCTGGGCCATGACTCCAGGGAGCCCCTCTGGTGACCCCTCAACAGAGAACTCCCTACCCAAGATCTCCTGCCCAACTGCTGGTCCGTCCCTTCCTGGACTCCAGAGCAGAAGCCCAGACGGGGAGTTGGGATGCGAGGTGGGGCCCCAGGAGTCCTCCCCACCAGCACGGCCTGGATCCTGGACAAGCCTGGCCTGTCTCAGGGGGCTCCCATCTCCCTTCCGTCTTCTTCCCCATGCCATCCCAGGGGCCCTGCAGCAGGCCTCAGCAGTTTCCAGGGGTTCTTCACTGGCGCCAGGGTGTGCAGGCTGGCTTCCCACTGGAGTGGCCTGCAGGGCCACAAGAGGGTGGGTCCCGGGAGGGCCAGCGCCCATGGCTGAAGCTGGGTGGATGCCTGGGCCTTCACCTGGAGGGGCCATCTGCTCCTCCCAGAGGGTGTCCCTGCTGGTCACACAGGTCCACAGGGGGCAGGTGGCTGTCACCACTCCCCACCGGCACACAGATGGCTTCCTCTCTGTAACAGCCTCTGGGATGCGGCGGCCCCTCACATTGGTTCTGTCCTGCAAGGGATCTCTGGGATGGTGGCTTTCTGCCAGGCTGACAGTCACAGAGTGTCCTGACCCACAGCCAGCGTGGGGGCCCCTTGGCGGGAAGTGGGTCTGCATTCGTTGTTTTTGCTCCACAGCTGGACGTTGAGCTTGGGGTTGGCCCCGGGCCAGCCCTCACCCACCGGGTCCCCTCCTGTCCTTGAGGGAGTCCTGGTGGTTTCTGGGGAAGGATTTATCTGAGGACTCGAGCTCTGGACCATCTGGTTCTCAGAGAGGGCCTTGCCTTTTATTATTTTAAATGTGTATCTAAACACGTTTCATTCGATATATTTACTCGTGAAGTTTTTATTAGAGAGGGAGCGAGCTCCCTCAGGGAAGAGCTAGGTATGCAGAAGGCAGGGCTAGTGCCATGTCTGCAGCCGGCGTGCCGCGCTGCTGTCGGCCACAGGTTGTCCTTGCATCTGGCCGGGTCCCCCACGAGCCTGCCGTGACATGTCGGTATAGGAGGGGCAGGGGTCTCAGACCTCACACTCTGGCCAGCCACGGACAGAGCCACCTCCACACCCTCCCTGGTGTTGGGGGCAGATACCATTTCTGCCGCGTCGGGCAAGCCAGGGGTCCCGAGCAGTGGGGCTGAGAGCTGCCATCCAGCTCCCCTTCCCCGTCACTGCTACCTCTTTCCCATGTCCTTCCGTCTTCCCGGGGGCTCGCTGTCCGCCCCAGCACTGCCCTTGCTCTCCGTTGTCACCCTGGCTTCCGTCCAGCAGCCTGGTTGCTCATCTTTGTTCTGTGGGTACAGGTGTGTTTTTCTGCAGCGGTTGCTTATCTTTTCCTTTAAAAAAATGGGATCTTTTGAGTTACAAAAATCAAAATTTTTAAATTAAGTCTTCTGGGTTCTTTATGACTTCTGGATTCTGGTTTTTTCCTTGGGAAGATCTTCCCTACTGCAAGATTACAAAAACATTGTCATGTTTTCTTCTAGTATTTCTGGAAGTTTAAACAACACATAGCTCCATGGTCCACCTGGAATTGCTTTGATGAGGTCTCGCTTGTCGCCTAGGCTGGAGTGTGGTGACACAATCACAGCTCACTGCAGCCTCCGCCTCCTGCGCTCAAGCCATGTCCCCATGCCCAGCCCTGGAACTGCTTTGCAAGTAACTGGATGCATAGCTGTCCCCACAGTACTGACTGAACAGTCTGTCGCTTCCCCAGTGATTTGGGGGAAATGTGGCCTCATTGTGTTCAGTTCCTGTAGGCTCCAAGCCCTGTTTCTGGACTTGGTCCCAGTGAGTTGTGAGCTACTTCTGGGCCAATGCCACGCATTTAAATCCCTCACTTTGTAGCAGGTTTCATGCCTAATCCTAATGGGCAAAGTCACCCACTCCTTTTTCTTGTCTTGAAAAGTTTCTATTGTCAATGTGTTTTCTCTTACGAATGAACCTGCCAAGTTCTGTGCAGAAACCGACTGGAATTCTGGGATTTCACGTACGTGTATGTATGTACATATTTTGAGAAAGGGTCTCGCTCTGTCGCCCAGGCTGGAGTAGCGGCACAGTCGCTGCACGCCGCAGGCTCGCCCTGCCGGGCTCAAGCGATCCTCCCACCTCAGCCTCCCGAGTAGCTGGGACTACAGCTGCGCCACCACACCCGGCTCATTGTTTTAAAGTTTTCTGTAGAAACGGGGTTTTGTCATGTTACCTAGGCTGGTCTTCAGCTCCTGGGCTCAAGTGACCTGCCTGCCTTGGCCTCTCAAAGTGCTAGGCTTCCAGGCGTGAGCCCTGCGCCCAGCCTTGGGGTTATCTTTATGTCGAGCTTTTCTCTAGGGTGTCCCCCGGTGGCTCTTGCTTTCCTAGTAATTCTTATAAATCCTCACCTGGATTTGTAAATCTGCTTCACCCCCTGGCAGAAGCCTGGCCGCCCTTCCCCCTTCGGGCCTCTCCCTTGTCCCCTCCCGCAGAGCCCCTGGTCCTGTGGAGGTGGGCTTGTCTTGTGCTCAGCTCTGAGGGACTTTCATCTTGTACTGTGACGTTTGCTGTAGACTCTCTTACAACATTTTTTAAATGGAGGGGGGGCTGTTTCTATTTATAACCTGTAAGAATTGTTATCTGAAGCGGGTGTTGAGTTTTCTGAAGTCCTCTTATCTGCTAAGTAGGGTTGGTTCAGCCCATGGAGGTTTCATCAGCGGGCTTGGGGCTTGAGAGAGAGGAGCTGGGGTCTCACACATCAGGAGTCCACGCCATGTCTGGCTTCCTGGCTTCTCACAGAAAGCTCAGAGGACGTGGCACGGCCAGGCCGGTGCTCCCACAGGTCCATCTGTGTTTCTGACTCCAGAGCATGGGTGGGGTGGGGGGGGGGCTTCAATTCATGACCCTTCCCCATTTTTCTGAAACTCAGGCCACTGGACTCATCTGTGTCTGTCTGCCTGGCCCTGTGGGCATCGGTTTGCCCACTGGGTTCTGTAACTTTCTTCTCACTGTGCGAGCCCATCTTGGCATTGGCTCAGGAGCTGCCTGCATGTCCCTAGCACTCTGGAGCAGTGGCCCGTGTTTGTCTGTCAGAGCCTACGTCTCCTGCTTTCTACGGCCCACGTCTGTCTGTCAGAGCCTACGTCTCCTGCTTTCTAGGACTGGTGCATTTTTAGGGGTCGTGCACAGTCCATCTAAGCCTGGCCCTCACTTGCTGTCGGGCCTTGACTTTACTCCTCAGTCTCCTCGTCTGTACAATGGGTCACCCGCAGTGCCTGCTTCTCGGGGTCGAGAGGATTGATTCAGTAACGACCTGCCTCGCCATGGTCGGCGCCGACCCCTGCGCAAACCTAGGTGGGTGTGCGCTGTCTGAGAGACTCGCCCGCTACCCCGCGTGTTTGGCATGAGGACGCAAGTCCTCTCCCACTGGGCCCCTCCTCTGCGGCCACCTCCCCCTCGGCCCTGCTGTCCGCATCCTCTTCCTCCTGGTCACGCTGACCAGGGTCCTGTGTGTTGATGGGCTTGTCAGAGCCAGCTTCTGACTACTGGTCAGGACCACCTCTCCCTTGTCATCATCACCATTAAAAATTAAACTTCAGAAGAGACTGCCCTTTCTTTTGGCATTTCCTCGATTTACGCTCTCAGGAAGAATCCTTCAGTCTTTCCCTCTGCATCTCTGGCTGTTAACTTTTCTGTAGATATGTCTGTAAAGAAGAGATCACTAGCTCTGTTTCTGTCCTGATGTGAGCTCCTGCAGGAAAGACCTAGGAAGATGAAATGCTTGGTTCTTCCATTTGTTAGTTTTTAGAATAACAGGCTGGGGCCCTGGAATCTTCCAAAGGTGGTTCCTGAGGTGTCTTTCTGTTTTTAGGGTTTTCGTGAACTTATGAGTCTTTATTTTCCTGATGGGTTTCAACACAGCGTTCCCTTGATGTCCCTTGATCAGGCAGCGAGACCCCGCATCCCTGTGGCATGACCCCATCATTCCCCAGCTGCTTTGACAGGGCATTCTTTGTACTTCCTGCCCCGGCCCTGGATTCCAACATTTTTGTGTGGGACCTGGCCCCTCTCGGTGGGAGCTGGGTGTGGGGCTCCTAT
Source organism: Homo sapiens (assembly GCF_000001405.40). Classification (NCBI taxonomy): domain Eukaryota; kingdom Metazoa; phylum Chordata; class Mammalia; order Primates; family Hominidae; genus Homo; species Homo sapiens. Next base: position 143,798,820 of record NC_000008.11, on the reverse strand, counting down.
AACCATGGGCCAGGCGTGCTCAGGACTCAGGCACTGCCTTTGCTGCTCTGTGGCCTCTGCAGCAGATGGAGGCTGAGAGGTGGATGTTTTCAGAAAGAGAACAAATCCTGAGTTTGTACTGTTACATTTAACTCATTTAAGATTGTAGGGTTTTTACTAACTTTTGTAATTTTATACTTTTTCTCATAAAATCTTTCCTTAATTCCTTAATTTCAAAATTAACTGAGTGTGGTGGCACATGGCCTGTAGTCGCAGGTATTCAGGAGGCTGAAACAGGAGGATCGCTCGAGCCCAGGAATTTGAGTCCAGCCTGAGCAAGACAGACTCTAAAAAACAAAAACAGTGACACCACTGGTACAACTGAGAGCAGGAGCGTGGAGAGGGGCCGAGTTCTGGCGGCTGCTTCCTGAGGGTTCACCCTGCCTGGGACGTACAGTCCGCATCCTGTGTTCTCAGCCACTTGAGATCATTCTGTGGTTTTGCTACCAAGCTGATAACACAGTTGGGCTGACTCATTTTAGCTTTTAGGGTAACTTTTTAAAAATCTGTTTTTTGTTTTTTTTTTGAGACGGAGTCTCACTCTGTTTCCCAAGCTGAAGTGCAGTGGCACGATCTCAGCTCATTGCAACCTCCACCTCCCGGGTTCAAGCGATTCTCCTGCCTCAGCCTCCCGAGTAGCTGGGATTACAGGCGTCTGCCACCGAAAAAATCTGTTTCTTAATTGTGTAAATCTTCACGTGGTTCCAAAGTTGAAGTTATATAGAATCATTTCAGAAGACCGGCCTCCATCTCTCTGCTCCCAGACTACCATCTTTATTAGTTTTGGTTTATTCTGCCATTTGTTTCTCTTTGAAAAATGTAAGCACATACATAAATGAATTTTAAACTTAGAGAAAAGTTGCAAAAACAGGACAAAGAACCTCTGACACTCAGCCCTATTCATGGCTCACCCACTGCGCCGGGGACGTGCTCCGTCGTGGAAGGGCGCGGCCCGATCCCTGTGGGGCTTGGCCACCGCATCCCTCTAGTCTCCTTCGGTCGGAGCGTGCCTCTGTCTTTGCTGATTTCTCTGACCTTGACGCTTCTGCTGGGCGTAGGCCCTGCCTGCAGTGACTGCCCCCACGCTGGGTCTGATGTCCTCACAGGCTTCAGCGTGTGCATCTTGGCCGGGATTATCATGGAGCTACCACGTGTCTGTGTGCCTACCACCAGGGCTCACTGGTGATGCTCTGAACCGTGGGGTCAGCCAGGTTTCCCCCTGCAGTTACTCCTGCCCCTTGAAATCAGCAAGTGAGGAAGGTGCTTTGAGAGCATATAATAGGCTGTTTCTCATCCAGCTTCGCCTGTGAGCCTCAGCACCTTGATGGTTCTGAGCGGGCCCCGAGGTGGTTGGCGACATTCCTGACCCACCACTGCCATACTCATCAGGCAGCTTCCTGCCACCGAGCCTTCCCTTCTCCCAGTTTATGTGTGTCTGCTTACCTGTTCACGTGGGCTCACAAGGGAGTCCATTTCATTAACAAGTGAGCTTCCATTTTATTTCATGGGCGACAGCCTTTTACCATCGTAATTTATTTTGAGGCTCAAATTGTCCCAGCCTTGGCCCACGGAAGGGGCTTGAGGACCTGAGGCATTCTGACACGACCTCCCCTCTCTCAGCAGCCCCTCACCTTCTGCCTCCAGGATGTGCTGGGCTTCTCTCCATACCCTGCCCAGCCCTGGAGTTGCCCCTTTCTCTCAGGAGCGCTGGATCCTTTTAGTGGAGAGTGACATTTAGAAGCTGTGGTCTGGCCCTGGACCCAGCGTTCTTGGGGTGTCATCTCGGGACCTCCTGGGGGCCAGAGCTGGAGGGTATGCCGGTCATTCCCAAGGTTATTCTTGGAACAGTAGAAGAGGGTGAGCTCCTAGTGGCTGTCGGAGTCAGCACCCGGGTCTGCCTTTTCTGTGTTTGAACAGCTCTCTCTGACATGAGAGGCCGGGCTACCTGGGACCTTGCTTCCCACTCTGCCAGGACCCCTGCCTCTCTTGGACCTGCCCAGTGGCTTTTTGACTTGTTATTTCAGAAACTGAGAAGACAGGCACCTTGTTTGTTGTTTGTCCCGCTAGTCCTGTGAGTCTGAAAGAGACGTAGCTAAGTCTGCCTGTGTAACTGTGCTTTTACGACACTCGCGTTTCTAGTCTTTGCTTTCTGTGTTTAGCTGCTTCCTTGTTGAGCGCTTACAGTTGATGACTGTATCATCGTTGTAAACAGCATCTTCTGTGGTGACGGCATCCGTCTGCCTGCTCGACAGCTCTGAACTCACACCCTTTCTCCCCCGGCCTGAGCAGCCCCTCCCTGTGCCTCCCGTGTGTTTGCCTGGCATCTCTTTGCCTGCCCCTTACTTACCATTTCAGCTGTGTTTTTAACCAACAGTACAGGGCTGGGTTTGTCCCTGAGGCCACACTGAGAGCTCCTCGATTTTGCAGGGACCCCGTCTGTGATGAGGGCGGTGAGCAATGCCTGTGTCCACTGTGCTGCCTCCTCCGCTGCTTCTGGCTGCTGCTGGGGGTGGAGGTTTGAAGCAGTCCCGTTGCCCGCCGCAGGCTTGGAAGTCAGCTCTTCCCATGGTTCCCTCTGCCCGTGTTAACCCCAGGCTCGGGATTCAAGTACATCTTGTGCCCAACCAGAAGCCCCTGCCTGTCCTGGCCCTGTCTCCTCGCCCCCCTCTGCCCTGCCTGAGCTATCTGAGTGCCTTTCCTTTCTAGACGCCCCCTCCGCCCTGCCAGTCTCTGGCTTGGGACAGGTGATTGAGCTCTGGGGAGTGCAGAGCTGGCCGGGCCTCCTGCATGGTGTCCCTTGTTTCAGAATCCCTGCCCAGCACTCACACTGGGGTCTGGAGCCAGCCTTTCCACCCGAGGGGGCCGTTCTGCCCCATCAGTTCCAGTGCCTGCTACTCACGCCCCTCCTTCCCCCATCTTGGTGGCTGTCAGCTCTTCCTGGGGATGACTTTACACAGTCAGCAGAGTGGCAGGCATCATGCTACTTCACAGTCTTGCCTAGTGCAGACGTGACCACGTCCACGGCAGCCCTGTGAGCTGTGATGGGGACCGGCCGGGGACAGTGCTGCAGCGTCCTGGGGGGCCCAGCGGAGTGCCCTCCAAGGCTGCCCCAGCCACGCGGTCAGCCCTGCCCAGGGACGCGGCTCCTGGGCTCACCGTTGCTGACTATTCTGGGCTGGGACCCCAGCCTGCCCCAGAGGTGGGACCCCGGGTTGCAGTCCCCCCTTCTTAGCCCACACCCCTCTTCTCAGGTGTCCCCAGGTGTCATTGCCAACCCCTTTGCGGCAGGCATCGGCCACCGGAACAGCCTGGAGAGCATCTCTTCCATCGACCGGGAGCTGAGCCCTGAGGGCCCAGGCAAGGTCAGAGGTGCCTGCAGCCGGCAGCCCCAGGGCCAGGGAGCCCGAGGCCGGTGGTGCCTGACGGGTCTGCTCTGCTCTGCTCACAGGAGAAGGAGCTGCCTGGACAGACCCTGCACTGGGGGCCCGAGGCCACAGAAGCCGCAGTGAGTGTGGTCGCCCCACCCCCTCACATCAGGGCACTGGAGCGGGGTGCACATTGCCTGTGGGGTGCTGGGTAGTAACCCCCAGGACCCCCTCTCCTGCCCTGTGCTGGCCGGGTGCTGCCACGGAGCTACCCCTGCTAGTGCTGTGTTCACTCTGCCCCCAGGGTCGGGGTCTGCAGCCCCTGAAGCTGGACTACCGCGCCCTGGCCGCCGTGCCCAGCGCTGGCAGCGTGCAGAGGGTGAGTGCCCAGTGTGCAGTGCCCCCCACCTCCGTCCTGTTGTCCTGTTCATCGGCCACCCCAGGACAAACGCCAGGGCCATCCGGGAGGGAACCTTTGGGCGGGGGCTGGGGTGGGAGGAGGCCACGTCTGACCTGCAGGCTACCCCAGCCTGGCACATGCTTATCACCCTCATTCTCAACCCAAGCCATGTTGGTGCTGCCCCACCCACACACCCTGAGCTGCGGATGGGTGACACAGGCCGAGGCATCCCTCTAGTGGCGGTGCGAGAGCTTCACCTGCTGCTGCTGGGGCTGCCCAGCCCCAGAGGGTGCGAGTGGGGGCAGAGGCTCCTGGGGGATTGGGCAGGCACATGTCCCCAAGGGGAGGACAGGCTGGAGCAGCTGGAGGGGCGGGTGCTGGGGACAGGCAGGAGGATGTGCAGGCCCATCCCTCCCCTTAGAGATACAAATAACCCTCCCAGAGGGTGCGCCCCACCAGCCCCACCGAACGTGAGTGCCGAGGGGTGGCTCCTGCAGGCCCTTGCCCAAGCGGTGGGGTGGTGGTGAGGGGCCAGGCAGGGCCTGGATCTGAGGCAGCGCATTCGGGGGCTCTTGGGTACTGACCCTGCCTCCTCTGGCCATGGGCAGCGCCAAGAGGGAGGCTTCCGGGAGGCCCTTCATCCTCATGAACAACAGCACAGTCATGGGGGCAGCAGTCAGGGCGCCACTGAGCCCTGAGGGCTGCACACCACAAGTAGGGGCTCCCCACCATCACCTCTGTCTCTGGCCCCTCCCCCGAGCCCTCCCTGCTCTCTTCTCCGGCTGTCCTGTCTGCTCCCATCTCTCCTGCAAAGCTCCAGCCAGCACACTGCCATGGAGACAGCAGCTGCCCAGCCCAGGCCCCCGCATCCTGTGGGAACGGGGACGAGCCCCTCCGTGCTGACCGAGTGTCTGGGGCATCCCCTGGGCTATAGTCAGGTTGGGGAACTGAAGAGCTGCTGTGGCTTTTAGGCAAGCCCCAGGGCCCCCAGTCCCTCCTGGTCGGGGGCCACAGCCCTGCCCATCCTCACCCCACCCACTGCCTACTCCTCCAGGTACCGTCTGGAGCAGCTGGAGGGAAGATGGCTGAATCTCCCTGCTCCCCTAGTGGCCAGCAGGTGAGTGTCCCAAGTTAACGGGTGTGCCCCATGGTGGGTGGAGGGCAGGGCAGATGGCCGCTGTGCACAGGGCCCCTCCTCCAGGGATGGGGGGTCAGGGGCCATCGTGGGGTGCTGTTGACTCCGGTTTTCCCTCTGCTACCATGGGGCCTCCTGTGTGAGGAAGGCCAGGGACGCTTTCCTGGCCAGAGCTGCCTGGCGATGGGGTGGGGGGCCTGAGTGTGCTGTTCCTGGAGGGGCTCAAGCTCCTGAGACCCCAGTCAGTGTCTCAGGCCCAACACCTCCCAGGGCCCACCTTATCCCTGCCTGCCTTTTGTCTGGGGGTCCTTGCCCCCCCACTGTTGGCACCTCCCAACACACTGCCACGTGGGGGTGGAGGTGGCAGCCCCCATGAGACCCAGCCCCAGCTCAGCCCCTCACAGGCAAGATGTCAGCCCCACCCAGGTTGGTCGGTCTCTCTCTCTCTGTCTCTCCCACCCCCCTCTCTACCCCCGTCCCTTGCCTTAAACCCCTGATCCTGCTCTCCTCTGCCCCCGCCGCCCCCACCTGCCTTTTTTAGACAAAACCAGGGGTGATCCAGCCATTGGCTCAGGCCTGGCCAAGGGGCTCCCCAGCCCCCAGGGGCAGAGGTTGTCCCCACTCCGTGAGTGCTCTGTCCCGTGGGTGGGGGTGGCAGAGCCTCCTTCCCCAGCAGGATGGTGGGTGGGGATCAAAGGCAGGCGGGGGGACAGGCGGGGGGACAGCCGGTGGTGAGTTGCACACAGCTGCAGCCCCGACAGCTGCCCCAGCATAGCTCACAAGAGCCCCACCCCCCAGCCGCCCTCCCCGCCTTCTCCGGATGAGCTGCCCGCCAATGTGAAGCAGGCCTACAGGGCCTTCGCGGCCGTGCCCACTTCTCACCCGCCTGAGGATGCCCCTGCCCAGGTGTGTGGGGGCAGCACGCCTCCCTGCTGCGCGTGGTTGGGGTGGGTGCCCGGGGGCCCCAGTATCTCGGAGGAATGCCAGCCAAACCTCAAGGTCCGCTCCCCCCAGCCCCCCACGCCTGGGCCTGCAGCCTCCCCGGAGCAGCTGTCCTTCCGGGAGCGGCAGAAGTACTTTGAGCTGGAGGTGCGCGTGCCCCAGGCCGAGGGCCCCCCTAAGCGCGTGTCCCTGGTGGGTGCTGACGACCTGCGGAAGATGCAGGAGGAGGAAGGTGAGGGGCACGGAAGTGGGGTGGGGGTTGGGTCTCGGCTGGTCTGGCCTGACCCACCCTGCCCTCCGGCAGCCAGAAAACTACAGCAGAAGAGAGCGCAGATGCTGCGGGAGGCGGCAGAGGCTGGGGCCGAAGCGAGGCTCGCCCTGGACGGGGAGACGCTGGGCGAGGAGGAACAGGAGGATGAGCAGCCACCCTGGGCCAGCCCGAGCCCCACCTCAAGGTGAGCACCCGCCCACCAGACGCCCCCTACTCACCCCACGTGCCCCTGCCCCCCACAGCACGTCCTGTCCCTTCCCCAGGCAGAGCCCGGCGTCCCCCCCACCCCTGGGAGGTGGCGCCCCGGTGCGGACGGCCAAAGCTGAACGGCGCCACCAGGAGCGGCTGCGCGTGCAGAGTCCGGAGCCACCGGCACCCGAGCGTGCCCTGTCCCCTGCCGAGCTCCGGGCCCTGGAGGCCGAGAAGCGTGCGCTGTGGAGGGCAGCCAGGTGAGCCCCTGTGTGGGGTCGCCACCCCGCCCTGCTGCCTGTCCCTGCTCCTGCCCCAAGTCACCCCTGCCCGCTGTTCTCTGCAGGATGAAGTCATTGGAACAGGACGCTCTCCGAGCACAGATGGTCCTCAGCAGGTCCCAGGAAGGCCGGGGCACGCGGGGGCCCCTGGAGCGACTGGCCGAGGCCCCTTCCCCTGCGCCCACCCCGTCGCCCACCCCTGTGGAAGGTCTGTGGGTCAGGGCAGGTCGGGGGGGTCAGCCTGCCGCATGGGCTGCTTCCAATGCCCGCTTCTTGTCCCCCCAGACCTCGGCCCCCAGACCAGCACCTCCCCGGGACGCCTGGTGAGGAGCCGGTGGCTATGCCTTCCCTTCACCCCCGAGGCATGGGGGTGGGGTCTGGCCTGCCCCCACCCCCGTGGCCCTCATCCCCCCCTTTCCTCTCACTCTCTGCCTCTCCCCTCACGCTGTCCTTTCAAGCCCTTGTCTGGAAAGAAGTTTGACTACAGGGCCTTTGCGGCCCTGCCTTCTTCCAGACCTGTCTATGACATCCAGGTACCTGGCCTCCAGGCCTCTGCATGCCTGCCACCCTGTCCGTGCCTGCCACCGCCCCCATCCGCTCCCGCAGGGCCTCCCCACGCTCTGCCGTGGCCCTGCCTCTTCACCCCCCCTCCCCCTTCAGCCGGGCTCTGTGGGCCTCAGGGCTGGGAGCCCACCCGTCCACCTGGGTGGTTTGGGGCAGGGCTGGCACCGGCCTGACCAACACTCTCCCCATCACAGTCACCGGACTTTGCTGAGGAGTTGAGGTCCCTGGAACCATCTCCCAGCCCTGGTGAGTTGGGGCCGGGCTGGGGTGAGCTCCCAGGAGCCCAGCTGCCCTCAGCTCACTGCCCACCTGTCCCTGCCCTCCAGGCCCGCAGGAGGAGGATGGAGAAGTGGCTCTGGTGCTTCTGGGCAGGCCCTCACCCGGCGCTGTGGGCCCTGAAGATGTGGCACTGTGCAGCAGCCGCCGCCCCGTAAGGCCTGGGCGCCGTGGCCTGGGCCCTGTGCCCTCCTAGAGGAGCAGGCACCTCCCCCAGACTTGGGGTGGGGGCCCTGCCAGCTCCAGCACCACCCTTGCCCCAAGTCTTTTAACCTGGGTGTTAGCATTTTAAAGAGACCCCACAGGAGTTCTGGCCTGTGACTAACTAACTGCCCCACCCCAGCCGAGACCTCGGCGAGACTGTAACTAGTGATGTTTGTACAACCAAAGACTCTATTTTGTGGTTTAAGGAGAATAAAGTTGACTACATTTTACCTCCCGTCTGCCTGTCCATCCCCCACCCACTAGCACAGACCCTTCCTGCCCTCCGAGGCGAGGCTGAGCTCCGAGGGCTGCACCCTCACCGTCCCTCCCACGTCTCCCGCTGCGCCTCACTGCGCACGGGTCGGCCGGGCAGGCTGCCCATCCCCAGCAGGGCCTCCCCCAAGTGCCTGCAGACCCATGTCCGCCGGCCGGGGCCCGGGACTGCCGGAGTCCTGGACTGGCACACGCCACCGCTGCCCCCACGCACGCAGCACAGATGCAGCACCGCGCCCCGGGGCACACGTTTTATTGGGACTGGGGCCAGCACTAGAGGCCTGTGCCTGGCAGCTGCACGCGCACTGGGAGCAGCACCTGCAGCTGCTCAGCTGGCGGCCACTGGACCTTGGTGACGAAAAAGAGGCGGAAGTGCTCCAGCCGCTGCTCCTGGAACTGCGTGGGGCTATACTCAGGCCCGTCCGTGGGCCGCAGCAGCGACAGGTACCTCTCCTGCACCGCCTCCAGCTGCCGCTGCACGACTGGGAACAGGTCTTCCTCTCGCAGGTCGAACACCAGCGGCTTCCCATACCTGCCCCATGAGGCTGGTGAGGCCAGGGTGGGGCTAGGGAGGTGGGGTGGGGTGTACCTGTCACCCTGCCTGCCTCACCGCAGAGCCCCCAGCAGAGCCAGCCACATCGTCTCCGGCCTCAGGGGCTCCGGGTTCACCGTGTCCACATAGTTGGTATCCTGGTAGCGCAGGAAGGTGGCCGCCTGGCCCAAAGGGTCAATAACAAGAGGCCACCTGGGGACACCCATCAGGTCACTGCTGTCTGTCCAAACCCCAAATCGCCCACGTCTGGCCCGGAGAACTGACCGGCCATCGGCACGGATGCGGTTGCCTACATCTTTCATCAGCACATCGTGCAGCTCGGTGACCTGGCACTTCAGCCCAGGCGCCTCTTCCTCCCCTGTCGGGGTAGCAGAGTGCAGCTGACAGGCAAGCCCGACGCCGGACCCCGCCCTGGGCTGTATGTCCCAGCCCCCAGCCGGCGCCCCATGCCAGGCCCACCCTCCTGCGTCTGCTCCCGAAGCTCCAGCCTGGCCATAGCCAGCGCCTCCTCGGCCTTCTGGGCCTCCTGCCGCAGCCTGTCCACCTGGGCCTCTGTGTCCTTGATGGCCTGGAGGAGGAGGCCACACTGACTTGCTTGCCCTGCCCCATGCTCTGGCTGGAGAGGGCAGCTGCCCGAGCTTCCTCCCCACCCCACCCCAAGCAGGCCACTGTCGGCTGGTGACTCCCCATGTTTGAGAGGGAAAAACCCCAGGCCTGGGAGCGGGGAGCTCTGGGCTGGTTTGGAACAAGGAGGGGTGTTGAGGACGCAGGGGCATATCAAGTCCACCACGGGCCCCCACCTGCAGCGTGAGCTTGGTCTTGTCCATGCACCTCCACTCACACTGGTCGTGCTCTGAGATCCTCCGGCTAAGCTCACAGTAGGCCTGTTGCAGCTGGGTGGGCGTACGGGCAGGCCCTGGCAAGGCTGGCCAGTATCCTCCGACCAGGTCACTCCTGGCCCAGGGGCCTGAGGACACCTCCCCTCCTGGCTCTTCCCCCAGCTTCCTGGCCCTCCCTCGGCTCCCCCTCCTCCCCACCCGGCTCTCCCTCCTCCTTTCCTGGCTCCTCCCTGAGGTCACACTCACCTCCTTGTGACACTGCTGCTGCTCCCTGGTCAGCTGTTGGACCTTGAGGGTCATACTAAGGAGCAGGAATGAGCTGGGACAGAGGCTTCCGCCAGCGCCCCCACCAGCACCCCCTGCCCGGGCTCCCTGCCAGCGCCCCTTGCCAGCACCCCTCGCCAGCACCTCCCACACCCCTCCTGCCTTCCACACCGCTCAGCCTCGGCCTCCTTGTGCCTCTGGGCCTCCTGGGCCCGGCGCTGCTGCTCAGCCTCCATGTTCTGGAGCATGGCCTCCGTGAGGCTCAGGTCCCACGAGCGCAGCACGCTCACCACTGTGTCCAGTGAGGCCACCTAGTGACAGACGACATTTGTCGGGCCCTCAGTGCGTGTTCCGAGTCTCCTCAGCCTGGAGAGGAACTGTTGCTCTCCCATCTGGGAGAAAGGGTGCCATTATGCAGAAAGGGCCTCAGTGCTCACAGCTGGTGCGTGGTGGGCCCCAAAGCATGAGCCCCTGTGGGGCTGCTGTCCCCAAAGCCCAGGCCACCCAGGCCGCTGGGAATTCTCCTGGGCTCCCTGACCAAGTCCAAGCAGGAACCTGCTCCTGTGGCTGGGCCTCCAAGGGCTTCCTTCCCCTTCAGTCCCCCAGGACCTGGCCCAGGCTTCCCGCCTCTGTCAGACTCAAGTACACGCCTGAGGCCTTGGGTGCCACTGCTGCTTCCTGAGTAGGAGGCTGGCCCGCAGGATGTGCACACTGGAGCTCCCTCCTCTGTGGTCTCCCACAGATCTCTGCCTGCAGGACACAATCCCTGGGGCCGCCGCTGCCTCTCACCCTCCTGAGTCCCCAGCACTCCAGGAGCAAGGAGTGGGTGCAGAGAGCCGGGCTCAAAGCCCAGCTGCGCCGGGTGAGTCCCTGACTTCCTGTGCCTGGCCCTCCTTGTCTGTGGAGCAGGGGTGATGCTTGGAGGGGGTCACAGTGAGGAGGAAGGAAGAGCAGGAGCTCAGAGCAGGTCCACATGCGCCTGGTGGCGGGCCAGTCCCGGCATCACGCTTGACCAGGAAGCTGTTCGTGGGTGGCTCCGTGTGTGAATGCCACTTGCCCCTTCCTGCTCTGGGAAGCAGGGGTGACCAGGGCCTGTTGTCTAGTGTGGCCAGCTCCCTAATAGCTGGATGACAGCGGAAGGAGGCAAGGCGGTAGCTGAGAAGGGCCGGGTGGGGCAGGGAGACTCTCATACTCGGAATTAGGCCTGCGAAACAGTCGGGGCCCGAGGAGCTGCTGGCTGGAGAGCAGAGGCCTGGGAGAAGAAGAGCAGGTGGCTGAAGGTGGGTGCCACAACCAAGAGCAGACCGAGAAGGTGTGGCAGGCCTGGCGACGGGGCCAGGTGGAGGTGGACAGGCACGGGCCATGGAGCAAGCAGAAGGCACTGCGTTAGGGGTGCGCGGGTGAGCGGCCGCATTCCCACAGAGCAAGGGGTTTGTGGCGTGGGAAGGATGAAGACAGGATGAGGGGAAGGAGGTGGGGTGCGCGGGTGAGCCGCCGGCGTTCCCACAGAGCAAGGGGTTCGTGGCATGGGAAGGATGAAGACAGGATGAGGGGAAAGAGCGGGGGCAGGATGAGTTCCCTGTAGCTCTTCCAGGAGACTGGCCACAGACAAGTGCAAACAGGGAGACTGAATGTGGGCAGAACTGGGAAGAACTCACAGATGCACGGGAGGGAGGGAGACACAGCAGACGAGAGGGAGAGAAGCAGTGGCGCGGCGTGGCCTTGGGTAACTGCCATCCTGGCTGAGTCGGTGCTGACTTAAGCATTTGTCTACAGATGCAGGGGGCAGAGATGGAAAGAAGGGGCAGTGTAGGGGGCCTGCAGGTCTGTGGGGGGCCAGGGACATGCAGACACGTGGTAAACTCACCTCCACGGCCACCTGATGGATCCACAGGCTAACCACGGCCTGAGGACTGCCCTGTGCTATCTGCTTCCCAGCAGCTAGGACCAAAAGTTCAAAGCCCACCAGGGCCAAAATCAAAATTTTACACAGACATTTGCTTTAAATAGAGCCCAAATATGCATACTTCTAGACATTTAGACCGACCCTGCTTGCTTTGAATACCCTGCAAAACTGAACCCACGTCTGCCAGTGGTGGATGAGACAAACCCTGGGGCTACAAAAGCCTTCAGGCTGGGCTGCCCTCTGGAGCTCCCTGGTGCCCCATCCTGCTTCTGAGCAGTTTCCCCTAGGCGTCAAGCCCTCCGTGAAAACCTGTCCAAGTGCCACCAGAATAAAGCTCACTGCGTGCTACCGCCCTCTCCTGGTCCTGTATTCCTCGATCAGCCCCCAAATCCTCCAGCCTCTGTGCCTCATTCCCTGGCAGCCACAGGGGCTCCTTCCTTGTCCCCCTCAGGATCTTACACTGGCCAGTCCTCCTGTCTGGAAGCTCCTCAGGCGTTCACAGCCCTCATTCCCTCCCCTCCAAGTTCTCCCTTGTATGCCACCTTCTCAGCAAACCCCACCTTGGCCACCTTTCTTAAAATTCCAGCCCAGCCCTGCCCGCCCTGGTAGCCTGGCATCTCCACTGCACTGTGAGTTGTGACAGAAGGGACTTTGTTTTGTTCAAGGATGGGTCCTAAGGACCTAGAACAGCTCCCAGCTCAGGTCTTCTGTCAGTTGGTCCAGTGGCTGGGCTAATCATGAACGGATGAGCTAATTCGTACATTAGCATATACCTGATTGTTTGGACAGATAAATGGGTAAACACATAGGAGAGATGACTATATAGATGTATTCATTTATGCACATTCTTCTGCACATTTATCAATGATTCTGTCTATATTTGTAAATATAAATTTGCAAATATAAACGTGGGTGGGTGAGTGAAGGAATTTATGAATATGCAAATTTGATCCTCACTTTGGGGTCCTAAGGACAGTAGCCTCCGAGTGAGGTTGACTTCAGCTTAGCTTCAAATCATCTTAATCTCTGAAGTTGGTGAAGTGACTCCAGACCGCTGGTACCCCCAATACATGGCAAAACCTAAATCCTCAGTGAAAAAAGAGTGAAAAATACCTTTCTAGGCTTCAAATGATTCCTACCAGTAAAACGTATGACATGGCCAGGCAAGGTGGCTCATGCCTGTAATCCCAGCACTTTGGGAGGCTGAGGCATGCAGATTGCTCGAGCCCAGAAGTTGAAGACCAGCCTGGGCAACATGGCAAAATCCTGTCTCTACAAACAAATAAAAAAAATTAGGCCAGGCACGGTGGCTGACGCCTGTGATCTCAGCACTTTGGAAGGCTGAGGCAGGCAGATCACAAGGTCAGGAGTTGGAGACCAGCCTGGCCAACGTGGTGAAACCCCGTCTCTACTAAAAATACAAAAATTAGCCAGGTGTGGTGGTGCGTGCCTGTAATCCCAGCTACTTGGGAGGCTGAGGCAGGAGAATTGCTTGAATCTGGGAGGTGGAGGTTGCAGTGAGCTGAGATCGTGCCACTGCATTCCAGCCTGGGTGACAGAGCAAGATTCCATCTCAGAGAAAAAAAAAAAAAAATAGCTGGGCATGGTGGCTCAAGCCTGTAGTCTTAGCTACTTGGGAAGCTGGGGCAGGAGGATCATTTGAACCCAGGGGGTCAAGGCTGCAGTTAACTGTGATCACACCACTGCACTCCAGCCTGGGTGACAGAGCAAGACCCTGTCTCAAAGAAAATAAAAAATAAAAAAGGCTGGGTCTGGTAGCTCACGCCTATAATCTCAGCACTTTGGGAAGCTGAGATGGGCAAATTACTTGAGGTCAGGAGTTCAAGACCAGCCTAGCCAACATGGCAAAACCCCATCTCTACTGAAAATACAAAAATGAGCTGATGTGGTGCTGCACACTGGTAGTCCCAGCTACTCGGGAGGCTGAGGCATGAGAATCGCTTGAACCTGGGAGGCAGAGGTTGCAGTGAGCTGAGATCATGCCACTGCACTCTAGCCTGGGTGACAGAGGAAGACTCTGTCTCAAAAAAAAAAAAAAAAAAAAAGATACAGAACAAAGGCACAGGAAAATACAAGGCAATATAAACAAAAATCTGCAGAAACTACAAATGATAGAAATAGCTCCACAAGGGATCAGGATATTAGAGTTAGCTACAGATTTTCAAATAACTATATTTACTGTGCTCAAAGAGAGACTAGATTGATTTTAGCAGAGAGCTGGAACCAAATAAAATTTTAGACATGAAAATTAAAATAACCAAAATTAAGGACAAAGTGCATGGATTTAATAACTAGCTAGATGCAGCTGAAGAGAGAATTAGTAAACTGAAAGACATGTCACAAGAAAATATCCAGAATAAACTCAAAACAAAAGGATGGAAAATACAGAAAAGAGGGTAAAAAAACTGTGGTAAGTTACTAGTGCTGATCATCAAACATGTCCGTCCTTCCACCTTCTAGACATAGTATAGGATTACACTTCCTGACCAATTTGTGGTTTTGGTGGAGCCAAATGACTAGATCTGACCAATGAGCTATAAGTAGAAGTGTTTGTGCTAGACCCTCCTCAGCTCTTTCCCTCTGGTATACTGACCAGCAATATTCAAGATGGTGGTTGCTCTGTCAGCCTGGGTCCCTAACAGACTACAGTTAGCAGAAGCCCCCTGTTAACCCTCAATGGACATGTAGCATAAGTAAAAAATAAACTCATTTTGTTTTATACCATTGAGATTTGGAGACTGCATGTTCCACAGCACATCTGTATTAGTCCATTCTCACATGGCTAAAAAGAACTACCTGAGACTGGGTAATTTATAAAGAAAAGAGGTTTAATTGACTCATGGTTCTGCAGGCTGTACAGGAAGTATGGCTAGGGATACCTCAGGAAACTTACAATCATGACAGAAGGCCAAGGGGAAGCAGGCACATTTTACATGGCTAGAGAAGGAGGAAGAGAGAGCAGGGGGAGGTGCTACATACTTCTAAACAACCAGATCTCATGAGAACTCACTATTGTGAGAAGACCATGGGGAAATCAGCCCCCGTGATCCAATCACCTCCCCCCAGGCCCCTCCTGCAACACTGAGGATTACAATTTGACATGAGATTTGGGTGGGGACATAGATCCAAAACATAGCAACATCCTAGTCTATCCTGGTTGATACAGAAATGTAGAGGCTATGGTGAGATCTACCATCTGTATATTTGGAGAGTGAGAATAAGGGCAGAAACAGAGGTAATGACTGAGAACTTTCCAAAACCCAAGCATGAAGAAAAACAAGGTGGGAAGACTTGCTTTTATCTGGTACAAGACTTGTTATAAAGCTGCTGTAGTCAAGACATGGGTATTGACACAGGATAGATCAATAGACCTATGGAACAGAACAGCGATCCCAGAACAGAGCTATAAGTATATAGACACTTGACTTAGGGCACAGTTGATGGTGTAGAGTGAGGAGGGCAGTCTTTCACAAAGACTGTGGGTGCTCTCAGGACAACTGTGCATCCATATGAGAAATAAACAAGCTTGAACATGACCTTGCACAAGGAGGACCAAAACAACGCACAGAAGTCTATTCTAGTGGATGATGGCTCTAAATGTGAAAGATGTAGAAGACTGCACCAGAAAATATCTTTATGTCCTTGGGAGGATGGAGAGACTTCTAAACTGACATAAAAGGCACCAACCATAAAGGAAAAGAATGATAAAATTTACTACAGTAAAACAAAATTTTCCATCAAATTATAACATTAAGTGAGTGAAAAGGCAAGTAAGACAGAAGACACCTATAATACATGTAATTGATAAGGAGTTTGATCTAGAATATATAAATAAGGTCCACAGAGCAATAAGGAAAATAAATCAGGCAACCCAGAGAAAAGTGGTCACTAATGCTAACAGGTACTACTTTTAAAAAGATAGCTAAGGGGCTAATATGCCTAAGAGTTCTCAACTTCATTAGTTGGCAGGGAAATGCAAGGTAAAACTGCAGTGAGGCACCACGGCACATCCACCATGAGTCTGCATTAAAAAACACTGGCAATCACAATGTCTGGGAGAGCATGGGGCAGTGGGACTATAACATATTGTCAGTGGGAGTGGATAAACTGGTACAACCATTTTGGAAAACTGTGCACATATGTACCAAGAGACACATACAAGAATGTTCATAGCAGCATCATTATAACCAAAGCCTGGAAACAAACTGAACGTTCATCAGCAGTAAAATGGTAAATATATTGCAGACATTTATATAATTAAAGTCTCCATAACAATGAAAGTAAATGAACTTTAGCTACAGGCAACAAGACTGAATCTCACGAATATAGCCTGTGATAGAAGAAGCCAGATACCAAAGAACAGCTGCCATATAAATTCATTTACATAAAGCTCAAACACAGTGAAACAAAGCTATATTATTTAGGCACTCATGTTTAGGAATGAATGGATGAATGAGTAAGTGGATGACAAAGTGAATGAATAAAGGAGGGATGATTTAATGATGGAATAAAGAAAAGCAAGAGGCCAGGCACGGTGGCTCATATCTGTAATCCCAGCTCTTCGGGAGACCGAGGTGGGCAGATGCCTGAGGTCAGGAGTTTGAGACCAGCCTGTCCAACATGAAGAAACCCTGTCTCTACTAATACAAAATTAGCTGGGCATGGTGGCACGTGCCTGTAATCCCAGCTACTCAGGAGGCCGAGGCAGGAGAACTGCTTGAACCTGGGAGGCGGAGGTTGCAGTGAGCCAAGATTGTGCCGTTGCACTCCAGAGCCTGGGCAACAAGAGCGAAACTCTGTCTCAAAAAAAAAGAAAAAGAAAAAAAGAAAAGCAAGAAAGTAAGCACTGACAAGCCCACAGCCAACATTATACTGAATGGGCAAAAGCTGGAAGCATTCCCCTTGAAAACTGGCACAAGACAAGGATGCTCTCTCCCATCACTCCTATTCAACATAGTATTGGAAGTCCTAGCCAGAGCAATCAGGCAAGAGAAAGAAAAGGCATCCAGATAGAATGAGAGGAAGTCAAACTGTTTCTGTTTGCAGACAACATGATTCTATATCCAGAAAACCCCATAGTCTTAGCCCAAAAGCTCCTTCAGCTGCTAAACAACTTCAGAAAAGTTTCAGGATACAAAATAAATGTACAAAAATCACTAGCATCCCTATACACCAGCAACAGCCAAGCCGAATGCCAAATCAGAAAGGCAATCCCATTCACAATTGCCACAAAAAGAATAAAATACCTAGGAATACAGCTAACCAGGGAGGTGAAAGATCTCTACAATGAGAATTATAAAACACTTCTCAAAGAAATCAGAAAAGGCACAAACAGAAAAACATCCCATGCTCACGGATAGGAAGAATCAATACCATTAAAATGGCCATATTGCCCAAAGCAATTTACAGATTCGACGCTATTCCTATCAAACTATTATACCAAGCATTTTATTCACAGAACTAGAAAATACTATTTTAAAATTCATATGGAACCAAAAAGCCCAAATAGCCAAGGCAATCCTAAGCAAAAAGAACAAAGCTGCAGGCATTGTGTTACCCGGCTTCAAACTATACTACAGGGTTACAGTAACCAAAACAGTATGGTACTACACAAGCACATAGACCAATGGAACAGAATAGAGAGCCCAGAAACAAGGTTGCATACCTACAACCACCTGATCTTCAACAAAGCTGACAAAAACAAGCAATGGGGAAAAGACTCCATATTCAATAAACCGTGCTGGAATAACTGGCTAGCCATATGCAGAAGATTGAAGATGGACCCCTTCCTTACACCATACATAAAAATCAACTCAAGATGGATTAAAGACTTAAATGTAAAACTCAAAACTATAAAAACCCTGGAAGACAACATAGGCAATACCATCCTGGACATAAGAACGGGCAAAAATTTCATGACAAAGACACCAAAAGCAATCAAAACAAAAGCAAAAATTGACAAGTAGGATCTAATTAAACATGAGAGCTTCTGCATAGCAAAAGAAACTATCAGCAAAGTAAACAGACCACCTACAGAATGGGAGAGCATATCTGCAAACTATGCATCTGACAGAAGTCTAACATCCAGCATTTATAAGGATCTTATACAAACTTACAAGAGAAAACCCCATTAAAAAGTGAACAAAGAAAATGAACAGACACTTTTCAAAATAAGACATGCATGTGGCCAGCAAGCATATGAAAAAAAGCTCAATATCACTGATCATCAGAGAAATGCAAATCAAAACCACAATGAGGATACACCATCTCATACCAGCCAGAATGGCTACTATAAAAAGTCAAAAAATAACAGATGCTGGTGAGGTTGTGGAGAAAAGGGAACACACACACACTGTTGGTGGGAGTATAAATTAGTTCAGCCACTGTGGAAAGCAGTATGGGAATTCCTCAAAGACCTAAAAGCAGAACTACCATTGGACCCAGCAATCCCATTACTGGGTATATACCCAGAGGAATATAAAGCAGTGTACCATAAAGACACATGCACGCATATGTTGACTGCAGCACTATTCACAATAGCAAAGACATGGACTCAACCTAAATGCCCATCAGTGACAGACAAGATAAAGAAAATGTGGTACATGCACACCGTGGAATACTATGCAGCCATAAAAAAAGAATGAGATCATGTCCTTTGCAGGAACATGGATGGAGCTGGAGGCCATTATCCTCAGCAAACTATCGCAGGAACAGAAAACCAAACACCACATGTTCTCACCTGTAAACGGGAGCTAAAGGATGAGAACTTAGGAACACAAAGAAGGAAACAACAGATACTAGGATCTACTTGAGGGTGGAGGGTGGGAGGAGGGAGGGGAGCAGAAAACTATTGGGTACTGGGCTTAGTTCCTGGTGAGGAAATAATCTGTACGACAAATCCCCATGACTATGTCACCTGCATAACAAACCTTCACATGTACCCCCAAACCTAAAAGAAAAGTTAAAAAAAGATGACTTAACATCTCTGTGCTTAAGTTTCTTTGTATATAATAAAGTCTTTGTATATAATGTAGGAATATTAATAATACTACAATCAGGTTTGTTGAGAGGATTAAACTGGGAACTTTATACATATTTCAGGAAAGTTTTGTAACTTGAAAAAAAGAAGGAAGCAAGCACTATAAAATTCAGGATATGATGATCTGGGGAGAGGTGTGGTGTTCTGGCGATACTTTATTTCTTGAGTCAGGTAGTTACTACATGAGTATTTCCTTTGTGGTAAATAATTGAGCCACAACTTTGATTTCTGCAATATTCTGTATGTCATTTGTAATTAAAAAGGAAAGTCTGAAGATGTATAAAATCAAGGAGTAGCTAAAATGAGAGAAGGGATGAATGGATAACTAGATAAATAGGATGGAAGAGTGAACAGACATACGAATGAGGCAATGATTTTGTAACTTAAAAGAAATTGTGATACTCATTTAAAATAATAATAGCTACCATTTCTTGAGAACTGACTTTGCACCAGGAATTGTGCCAAGGAATTTCATTCACTATCTCATGAATCTTCAAAAAGCTGTTATTAGTCCCATTTCTGAATATATGGAAACAGATTCAAATAAGCTTCAGAACTTGCCAAAGTTCTGTCTGTAAGTGGAAGAACTGGAGTAGACGGAAAATGAATGAAGACAGAAAATAAAAGGATAATATAACGAGTAAACTTACGAGTGTCTTAATGAATAGGCAATAAATGATGAATGAATGAGTAAATTAATGAATTAAACTATAAGAGAATGAAGATTAGATTAATTGAATGAACTGATTAAATGATGAACTGATACATGAAAAATTAATAGATGAATGAGTGTAAAGAATGGATACGTGAGATAAGCAAATGGTTAGTTGAGCAACTGGATGGATGAATTGATGGATGAATTCATCGTTCAACAAAATGTTTCAGTGCCTATCGTGGTCAACCAATACTGGGGCATACGATTAAGGGGTGAACGAGACACAGTCCTTCTTTGCTTTCTCATAATTTTCTGTCAAGTAAACAGCATGAATGCGTGTATGAATGGATGAATGGATGTCTGAATGAATAGTAGATAAAAAATAAGTGAATAATTATTTAAACATGGTGTAAGGGTGGAATGGGCACATTAATGAGTGGATAGCTTATAAGTTTATAAATTTATATATGTTTATAAGTTCATAAATTTATATATAAGCTTATAAATTTATTTATAAGTTTATAAATAAATGACTCATGGCTGGGCATGGTGGCTCACACCTGTAATCCCAGCACTTTGGGAGGCCGAGGCAGGCAGCCCACCTGAGGTCAGGAGTTCGAAACCAGCTGGCCAACATGGCAAAACCCCATCTCTACTTAACATACAAAAGAACAAATTAGCTGGGCGTGGTGGCGCATGCCTGTAGTCCCAGCTACTCTGGAGGCTGAGGCAGGAGAACCGCATAAACCCGGGAGGCAGAGGTTGCAGTGAGATTGCGCCACTGCCCTCCAGCCTGGGTGACAGAGCAAGACTCCATCTCTAAATAAATAAATAAATGACTCAAGTTAATAAGATAATTATGAATTGGCGAAAGCGCAAACCAATACTGGGGCGAGATGGATGAAGTGGGTGAATGTATGGAAACGATGACTGATGAATGATGAAGGGATGGTGATGGACAGCGTGGTTCAGCTCTTCGGTATCATCGCTGATATTCCGTCTACTTGTCTCATCAATTATGGGGAGAGAGAGATGGCAAAATCGCCTATTACCATTGTGGATCTCTTTATTTCTCCTTGTAGTTCTCATAGTTTTTGCTTCATGCATTTTGAAACCCTGTTAGTAGCTGCATGAACATTTAGGATTTTTATGTCCTCATGATGAATTCCTACATTTGTCATTACTAAATGATTCTTTTATCCTTAGTAACATACTTTTTTCTGAAATCTACTTGATGTTAATACAGTTACTTCAGCATCCTGTTTAGTGTTATCTTGGCATATTTGTTTTTATCATTTTAATTTTCAACTATTTGTGCTTTTACATTTAAAGCTTGTTTCTTATAGGTAGAACATAGTTAGCTACAATTTTTAATCCAAAATGACAATCCATCTTTTTTTTTTTTGTTTTGAGACGGAGTCTTACTCTGTCACCCAGGCTGGAGTGCAGTGGTGCGATCTTGGCTCACTGCAAGCTCCGCCTCCTGGGTTCACGCCATTCTCCTGCCTCAGCCTCCCAAGTAGCTGGGACTACAGGCGCCCGCTACGATGCCCGGCTAATTTTTTTGTATTTTTAGTAGAGACGGGGTTTCACCATGTTAGCCAGGATGGTCTCGATCTTCTGACCTCGTGATCCGCCCGCCTCGGCCTTCCAAAGTGCTGGGATTACAGGCGTGAGCCACCGCGCCCGGCAACAATCCATCTTTTAATTGGGGTGTTTAGAATGTCCATGTGTAATGAGATTATTTATATGGTGGAGTTAAAATCTACCATTTGCTGTTTGTTTCCCACTGGTCCCAGTGGTTCTTTTCCTTTTCCTCTTTTCCTGACTTCTTTGGCAATATTTTTTAAGAATTCCATTTTATCTCTTTTGTTGGCTTATTAGCTCCAACTCTTTTGATATTGTAGTAGTTGCTTTAGGCTTTAGAGTATACAGCTCTAAATTGTCACAATCTACTTTTTAATGATATTAAACCACTGCACATATAAGAACCTTAAGACAATACACTTCCATTTACCCCTCCCAGCCTTTCCGGTATATTTTGGGATTTTTTTTTAGTGGTTTGTTTTTTTTTTTTTTTTTTTAAGACGGAGTCTTGTTCTGTCGCCCAGGCTGGAGTGCAGTGGCATGATCTCAGCTCAGCTCACTGCAGCCTCCGCCTCCCGGGTTCAAGCAATTCTCCTGCCTCAGCCCCCTGAGCAGCTGGGATTACAGGCGCCTGCCACCATGCCCAGCAAATTTTTGTATTTTTAGTAGAGACAGGGTTTCACCATGTTAGCCAGCCTGGTCTCAAACTCCTGACCTCAGGTGATCTACGCACCTCAGCTTCCCAAAGTGCTGGGATTACAGGTGTAAGCCACTGTGGCCAGCCAATTATTATCTCATATATATGTGTATATATGTATATATGATAATGTATGTGCATATATATGTATATATACGATAATATATATGTGTGTGTATATATATGTGTGTGTCTTATATAGGGTCTTGCTCTGTCGCCCAGGCTGGAGGACAGTGGCACAATCACGTCTCACTTCAGCCTCCATCTCCTGGGTTCAAGTGATCCTTCCCCTTCAGCATCCCAAGTAGTTGGGACCACAGGCACATGCCACCATGCCTGGTTCAAATTAATTTTTTTTTTAATTCTAGGAATAATGATCCCTCACCACTGAGCCAAGCTCCTTCTGAGAACTCCACCCAATACCCTATGAATCATGAGATTTTTCACCCTGGCTGACGGGAGTAGGCACTGCTTCCTTCACGCTTCTCAGAAGCCCGTTTCCCCAGCCTTGAGCCGTTTCCCCATGTATAGGAGCCATTAAATATTCAACTGCCTTATTAGCTACAACTAACTACCACGAGGGATCCAACTGAATGACCAAAGGGGATCGTGTCCATGTCTCTAGGGTTCTTTCTTTCTTCAGCTGTCTCCCCTCTGGCACTTGTGATCTCCTGCTGCCTCAGTATCCTTGAATTCTGAATTCTTGTCTCCTTAACTCAGAGAATATGCCTGGCTCTGTCTACGTTCCCCCTTCCTATACTACACCCTGAAAATTCTCTCAAGGTGGTAAACTGGGACAAGCTTAGGGCTCACTTTGCTTATTTTCAGCCTCTTGGAGATCTCTTTCTGATTTGTTGCCTGATGTCCAATGTCTTGGAAACCTTTGTTTCCTATATTCTGTCTTGGATTTGTTCTTGTTTGAAGTGAGAGGATAAATCAGACGTTTTTGCTCAATTTTTTTCTTTTTTCTTTTTCTTTTTTTTTTTTTTTTTTGAGACGGAGTCTCGCTCTGTCGCCCAGGCCGGACTGCGGACTGCAGTGGCGCCATCTCAGCTCACTGCAAGCTCTGCCTCTTGGGTTCACGCCATTCTCCTGCCTCAGCCTCCCGAGTAGCTGGGACTACAGGCGCCCGCCACCACGCCCGGCTAATTTGTTGTATTTTTAGTGGAGACGGGGTTTCACCGTGTTAGCCAGGATGGGCTTGATCTCCTGACCCCGTAATCTGCCCGCCTCGGCCTCCCAAAGTGCTGGGATTACAGGCGTGAGCCGCCGCGCCCGGCCGCTGGGATTACAGGCGTGAGCCACCGCGCCCGGCCCTCCTCAATTTTTTTCAACCTTCTCTTTCTCTTTGTTTCATTTTGGAGAGTTTCTATTGCTATATCTTCAGATTAACTAATTTTCTTCAGTGTCTAATCTGCATCTTCCATTAATCCCATCCAGTGTATCAATGTACTTTTCATCTCAGACATTGCAGTTTTCATCTCTAGTTTAGGAATGGTGTGTGTGTGTGTGTGTGTGTGTGTGTGTGTGTGTAATACAGCTATAGTTTTTTTGTTTTTGAGGCGGAATCTCACTCTGTTGCCCAGGCTGAAGCCCAGTGGCGCGATCTCAGCTCACTGCAACTTCTGCCTCCTGAGTTCAAGCACTTCTCCTCTCTCAGCCTCCTAAGTAGCTGGGATTAGAGGTGCCCACCACCACGCCCAGCAGCTAATTTTTGTATTTTTAGTAGAGATGGGGTTTCACCATGTTGGCCAGGCTGGTCTCAAACTCCTGACCTTGTGATCTGCCCGCCTCGGCCTCCCACAGTGCTGGGATGACAGGTGTGAGCCACCCCGCCCGGCCTCAGCTATAATAACTTTTAATGTTCTTGTCTACTAATTCCATCTCCTGTGTCATCCCTGAGTCTGTTTTCATTGATTTTTCTCTTCACTCTGGGTCATTTTTCGTGTGTGTGTGTGTGTGTGTCTGTGTGTGTGTGTGTGTGTAGCATGCCTGGCAATTTAACTAAATTTTTATTTTGAATTTTTATTTTGATTTACATGAAGTTACAAAAATAGTAGAGTTCCCATATACCCTTAACAAGCTCCCCCAATGATGACTTCTTACATAATTACGGTACAACATACAAACTAGGATACTGACATAGTACAATCTACAGGGCTCACAGTGGATTTCAACTATTTCACATCTACTCGTGTGTGTGTGTGTATCATTACAATTTTCTCACATGTGCAGTTTTGCGTTACGACCATCGTAATCAAGATACAAGACTGTCTCATCACCTCAAGGGTCTCTTGTGCTACTCCTGCCCAGTCGGCCCCATCTCTCCCCGCTTTTCCTGCCCCCACTCCCATCCGTAACCCCTGCAGCCCTCCGATCTGTCCTCCGTCTCCACAGTGTTGTCATGTGAGTGTGTGTGACCTTCTCCCCCACTCTGTGAAGCTCCCTTCCGGTTTCTCCACGTTGCTAGTTGTTGCATGGATCATGTGTGCACACCGTTTTATTGCCAAGCGTGTTTCGTGGCAGGAATGCACCAAGCTAGTGGAGCCACTCGCCTGCTGGAGGACATCTGAGTCGTTTCCACTTTTTGGCTATTGTAAATAAAGCTGCTGTGAACATCTGTGTACACATTTTTGTGTGGACCTAGTTTTCCTTTTACTGGAGCAAATGTCTAGGAGTCTGATGCTGTGTTACATGGTAAATGTGTTCACTTTTTAAGAAACCGCCTGCCTATTTGCAAGAGCGGCTGTACTGGTGCTGCGTCCCCCCAGCAAGGTGTGGCAGGGCCAGCTTCCCCACATCCCTGCCCTCGTTCGGCTCCAGCTCTAGTTTGACCTGGGCTGTCCTGGGAGGTGTGAGGTGGTGTGCAACACCTCCTCGGGTGTTCATCTGCCATCATTAGATCCTCTTTGGTGAAATTTCTCTTCATGTCTTTGCTCATTTTATACCTAGATTGTATGTTTCATTGTTGTTTGCGATGTGAGTTTTTTCTATGTTCTAGGTACACGTGCCTTGCCAGATGCGTGGTTCACAAACGTTTGCTCCTGCCTGTGGCTTCTTTTCTTCTTGACAGGTCTTTTACAAAGCAAACATTTTACATTCTGATGAAGTTCTGTTTATCAATGTGGTTTTTTTTTTTTTTTGGATTGTGCTTTTTGTGTCATGTCCAAGAATCCCTCCAAGTCCTAGGCCCCAAAGATTTTTCTCCTATGTGTTCTAAAAGTTTTGTAATTTTACCCTTTACATTTAAATCTATAATCCACTTTGAGTTCATTTTTTATAGGTGTGTGCTTCAGGTCCACACTAACCCCTTTGCCTGTGGATGGCCAATGCTCCAGCACCATGGAGTGAACACACAGTCCCCTGGCACCCAAGGGCTCCCCCAGCACCCCCAGCTGCTGCCCTTCTCAGCTCTCCGGGCCACCATGCCCCAGGCAGCAGGTCTGCTGGACACCCCAGCACCCCTGACTCCCACTTGCACCTCTGGACGCCTCACCGTATCCTCAGCCCCTCCCTAAGCCCACCGCCTCGGCCCTGCCCCTCCCCTCCAGCCCAGGAAGAAGGACCCTTTGCAGACAAGGAGAAAGAAGAGAGGGGCAGGACAGGCTCCCAGGCAGCACCTACAGGAGGAGAGTCTGGGGGTGGGTCCCTAGCTGGGCAAAGACTCTGGCAGCAGTCCAGTGGATGCATCTCCCAGGTGTCTGCCGTGGGCCAGAGGCAGAACCCAGACTCCAGGCAGCACCTCCAGATTTGTGTGGGATGTGGGGTGAGGTTAGGGGTGGGGTGGGGGAACATAATGACTGAGATGGGAGAGGGACTGGGGTTCAAATTAAGTTGATTTAAATGAAACTAAGGTAGGCGAGGTTCGTGGTCTGGTTTTCCAGCCACTGCTCCAACAGGCGGAGTCAGCCTCACCCCACCCCACTCCTGGGCCTGGGACAAGTCCAGGCATTGTGTCTCCAGCCTGGCCCAGGGCAGACTCTGTTTTTTTTGTGTTTTTTTTGTTTTTTTTTTTTTTTTGAGTCTCACTCTGTTGCCCAGGCTGGAGTGCAGTGGCGCCATCTTGGCTCGCTGCAACCTCTGCCTCCCAGGTTCAAACGATTCTCCTGCCTCAGCCTCCCAAGTAGCTGGGACTACAGGCGTGCGCCACGACGCCCAGCTAATTTTTGTATCTTCAGTAGAGATGGTGTTTCACCATGTTGGCCAGGATGGTCTCAAACTCCTGAGCTCAAGTGATCCACCCGCCTCAGTCTCCCAAAAGTGCTGAGATTACAGGTGTGAGCCATCACGCCCGGCCAGACAGCCAGACTGTCCTTTCTAACATAGCTCAAAGGCTCTAGAAAGGAGCTCTGTGGCTGGGCTGTGTGGCTCAAGTTCTCTGGAAAACCGACGTACTGACAGTGAGGGGACCGATGGGTGGGCCCCGTGCTGCCCCCAGCGCCGTGAGCTCTGCCAACCCTGGAATCGCCAGCCTCAGTTTCTCCATCAGTAACACCACTTCCTCAGGCAAAGCACGGAAGGAAATGACACAAAACCCGACACCAAAGGCATTCACAAAATGGGAGTCGCTGCCACTTCCACTGCAGACTGACGAGGTTTTAAAGTCAGGACTTCCAGGAAGGGAATGGCGCACGGCGGGGCTAGGAAACCGCTCTAGCAGGCCACTCAGGCTTCTGACAGCTTTCAGAGACAGCCGGTCGGGTGAGCCTTCCCTGCCTGGGTGTGCACCTGCCAGACTCACACCTCCCGGTACCCACACCTCCCGGGGCTCACACCTCCCGAGGCCCACACCTCCCGGGGCTCACACCTCCCGGGGCCCACACCTCTGGGGTCCACACCCGCTCAGGGGTGCTCCCGTCCTCTGCGTACACCCGGGGGTCTGCTCCGAGCTTCAGGAGCACCTCCACAGCTGCCAGGTGGCCCCCAAAGGCTGCACGGTACAGCGGCGTCGGACCGAAAGCGCCCTGCAAGACGGGCCCCCCGAGCAAGATCCAGGCCTTGCCCCTGGGGGAAGGAGGCCCCTGAGGGCCCTGGACCGCGCCCCTCAGCGCGGCGGCCCGCGGCCCACGGCGCCCACCTTGCTGTTGGGGCTGGCGCCGAGCTCGGCCCGCAGCTGGATGGCCAGGGGCTGCCCGCCTGCGGCCGCCTCCGACAGCGGCGTGTTCCCGTAGCTGTCCTCGCACTCCGCCAGAGCCACGCGTCGCTGCAGCCGCCGCGCCTCGCCTGCCTCGTCGTGGCCCACGCCCTCGCGCGTCAGCAGCTGCTCCACCTGCGCAGCTCGCCGCGGTCACCGCTCCCCGCTCCTCCCACTCCCACCCCACCCCCCGCCCTCGTCCTCCTCCCGCCCCCGCTGACCTCCTTCAGCACCGCCCGGATCTCGCCCACGTCCCCGTCGAAGGCGGCGTCCAGCAGGCGGCGGCGACGCTGCAGCTCCTCCCGCCGCTCCCGCTGCGCCGCCTCCTCCTGCTCGCGCAGCCGCCGCGCGGCCTCCTGCTCCCGGCGCACCGGAGCCAGGTAGGCCTGGGAGGCGCCCGCCGAAGTCACCGCCCACTCCGCGCCACCGCCCCGAGCCCCGAGGCCACGGTCCACGCCTCTGAGGTCGGAGCCCGATCTGAGCCTCACCCCCACCACGCACCCTGCTTCGCCATTTCCTCCCCCTGCCTCCTGCCTGGCCCCCGGCTGTTGCGGCTGCCCGTCCTCACCTCCTTCTGCGGCGTCTCCATCTGCTCCAGGTACTCCCGGCGCTCCTCCCGGCGGCGGGCGAGCTCCCTCCTGGCCCGGAGCTGCCGGAAGGCGCCCTGGATCGCTCTGGCCGCTCGGTCCTCGGCCGGCCCTGGGGTGGGGAGAGGCTCACGGGGGCGCGTTCTCGCCTCCAGCCACGCCTGCTGCGCCCCTGGGAGTGGAGCCGGCCCCGCCCCCGCCCCCGCCCCGACAGAAGGACCCAAACGGCTCTCAAAGCCCCCAGCGCGGCCGAGCCGGGGTTCCCGCCCGCAGAGGCCGCACGAGGAGGCTGCGCGAGAGCCCGGGACGCGGAGAGGACCCAGGTCTGCGGGAACCTCCCCCGCCCCACGCCGCCGGGGATCCTGCGAGCCCCGCCGAGCCCGCAGCTCGGGAGCCCCGAGGAACGGTGAGGAAGGGGTGCTGTCCCCCGCGGGACACCCTTCCCTGAAAGCCGAAGGCCCCTCCTGCATCCAGGCCCCAGCGAGCGAAGGCTGGACTGAGCGGGGGGGCCCCAGGCCTGGGAGGGCTCATCACAGCCCCGCTGGACTCAGAAGAGGGCGCGGAGCCCAGGGCCCCAGAGGGAGCTCTGTCCTCTCCGGCTCGGCCTCGCCCTCGCCCCACCGCGGCTGCAACGGAGCGCTGAGCCCGAGCCTGGAGCCGCCTCGCAGTGAGGAGGGGGCGGAGGAGAGGGCGTCGGGCTCAGCGCTGCCCTGACTGGCCTGGGGAAGTCCGGGCACCACTCAGCCTCCCCGGCCTGAGCCCCTTGCTCTAACGTGGAACGATACCTGCAGCTTTCTAAGAGTCCAGCAATGGGGCGCTTGTGGCGCTTCCGCCACAGTGAACGCTCAGCGTGCGCCCCGTGGGTGTGACTTGTGCCAGGGCACGGGTGGCCAGGCGAGGCTGTCGGGCCACGCGGGTACCCAGCAGGGAGCCACGGGAGCGCAGGCCAGAAGCAAGCAGGCAGCGCAGCTGGGTCTCCACAGGTGCGCCCGCTGGGGAGCCAAGTACTATGATTCCCACAACCAAGCTCCCAGGGAGCATGGGCAGAATGGCGGGATGAGGCGAGACTGGGAGACGCGGAAGACCCTGCAGGCCCAGGGCACGGACCGGAGCAGCCAGCGGGGGCAGGGTGGAGAGCTGAGCCCATGTGGGAAAATCACAGCGAAGGAGAATAAAGGGAGAGGCGCCGTCAGGAGGGCGGGACCCCGAGTGGCAGTGGACAGAGATAATACAGTCATAAGAATAACGTGCGTCTAGGATGCAGAGACTGACAATGCAAGCAAAGAGCAAACACTCAAGATAAAACCCAGGAAATCCTGAAATGAATCTTAAGACAAAAGGGGGAAAAATCCCAGAAAACAAAGGGCATGAACAACAGGCATCAGACACAATTCGCTGAAGTTAAGCCTCAAAACAAAATGTTTTTCAAGCACCCGAGGAGAAAGAGCAAAGCACCTATGACAGGAAAGTCCGGCTCTCCTGAGGCTTTTTTCTTTTTGAGACAGGGTCTCACTCTGTCACCCAGGATGCAGCACAGTGGCACAATCTCTGCTCACTGCTGCTTCCACTTCCCCGGTTCCGGCAATCCTCCCACCTCAGCCTCCGAGTAGCTGGGACCACAGGCACACGCCTGTGCACCACGGCCACCTCCGAAGGCTTTTTACAGAAACACTAAATGTTAGAAGAAAATGAAGCAGTGTCCACAAAATTCTGCAGGGAAAACAGTAGGCCAGGAAGAGTATTTGGTTCTGCAGCACAGATGGCAGGGCAGGAGGTGCAGCCTTCCCAGTGACAGCAAGAGAGAAG
The DNA here is from genome assembly GCF_000001405.40 of Homo sapiens. NCBI lineage: Eukaryota > Metazoa > Chordata > Mammalia > Primates > Hominidae > Homo > Homo sapiens. The sequence goes on along the minus strand of NC_000008.11, from coordinate 143,769,793 downwards.
ACAGACGAAATCAAAGTGTTTTTTAAACAAGTGTCTGACGGCATTCAAAGCTACTGAGGAAATGAAGAACGAGGTCTCCAAAACAGTGCAGCAGGGTGGTCCCAACACCAGGCAGGTGGGCCTGGCCTGGCCCAGAGCAAAGGGTCAGCTGCTCAGCAGAGGACGGGCCAAGGGACAGACCTGCATTTAGAGCACTGGGTATGGCTTGGGTTTAGGGTTGCCAGATTTAGCTAATAAACAGGATGCAATTTGGGGGACATACACTAAGTAAATTATTCCTGTTTATCTGAAATTCAAATTTAGGCCAAGCGCAGTGGCCTTGTAATCCCAGCACATTGGGAGGCTGAGATGGGAGGATTGCTTGAGCCCAGGAGTTTGAGGCCAGCCTGGACAACGTGGTGAGACCCTGTCTCTCTTTAAAAAAATATATATAGGGCCAAGTGCAATGGCTCACATCTGTAATCCCAACACTTTGGGAGGCTAAGGTGGGAGGACCACTTGAGCCCAGAAGTTCAAGACCAGCCTGGGCCACGTAGGGAGACCCCTGTCTCTACAAATAACTAAAAATTAGCTGGGTGCAGTGGCGTGCATCTGTAGTCCCGGTTACTCAGGAGGCTGAGATGGGAAGATGGCTTGAGCCCAGGTCAATGCTGCAGTGAGCCATGATCATGCCACTGCACTCCAGCCTGGACAACAGAGCGAGACCCTGTCTCAGTAAAATATATATATTTTTATATTATACATATAGAATATGTATATATGAGAAATTCAAATTTAAATGGATGTCCCGGATTTTGGGAGCCCTGTTTCATCTGGTAGCCCTATTTGGGTCAGAATCACAACCTTCACGAAATAAAATAACCCTGATGGTAACAGGGGCCCAGCTCCAAAGAGTGACAGCAAACAGTCAAAGTCATCTTCATTTGCAGATGATGCACATAAAAATCCAGAAGAACTCATCACAAATGATTATCATCAATAAGCAATCTTGGGAAGGTTCTGAATATAACCTCATACTCACAAAGTGTATTTCTGTACACAAGCAGCAACAGAAAAATTTAATATATTTAGCATCAAAAAACTATCATATACTTGGATTAAGCCCACAAAATAAACGTCAGTGAGTCCACAGTGATACAAATAAAGGATTAAAAACACACTAGAGGGAGTGGAGGGAAAGTAGAATCCCATCAATGGGTGTAGGAGGGGGCAGGGAAGGAGCAGATTCCCATCGGGCACACAAGAAGTGCAGCGGCTGCAGCTGACAGCCACCGACGTATGTCCGCCGGCGCACGTTTCAGTGGGCAGGGGTTTGAAGAGAAGCAGAATTTCTCTTGTCTCAATATATCTCTTCCAAGATAAGTATCAACCACGAAAGGAAAACATAGTACATTTACAAAGGAGAAACCTGGCGGAAACCCCCCCACTAAGTGATCGAGGGCAACGTCACAAGCAGTGAGACATTCGCGGAAACCCTCCTACTAAGTGATCGAGGGCAACGTCACAAGCGGTGAGACGTTCCCGCACCGTAAGCCCCATGACATGATGTACGTCAAAAACACAACATCATTTCTGCTTTATTTTATTTTTAATTTTTAGAAACAGAGCCTCAGCCGGACACAGTGGCTCACACCTGTAACCCCAGCACTTTGGGAGTCCGAGGCAGGTGGGTCACCTGATGTCAGGAGTTTGAGACCAACCTGGCCGACATGGTGAAACCCCGTCTCTACTAAAAGTACAAAAATTAGCTGGGTGTGGTGGCGGCGCCTGTAATCCAGCTACAGGGGAGGCTGAGGCAGGAAGAATCACTTGAACCCGGGAGGAGGAGCTTGCAGTGAGCCAAGATTGAGCCACTGCACTCCAGCCTGGGCGACAGAGCGAGACTCTGTCTCACAAAAAAAAAAAAAAAAAAAAAAGGTCTCGCTCCATCGTCCAGGCTGGAGTGCAGTGGCTCCATCTTGGCTCACTGCAAGCTCCGCCTCCCGGGTTCACGCCATTCTCCTGCCTCAGCCTCCTGAGTAGCCAAGACCACAGGTATACACCACCACACTCAGATTCATTCTTCAAAAGTGTCAAGGTCGTGAAAGAAAAGTCATGACTATAGGAACAGTTACAGACTACAGGTAACTATGCAGAAACAGCAAATAAATGCAATATGGCATCCTGGAAAAACTGGTGAAATTTGAGAAGGTCTTTAGTTAATGGTTTTATGCTAGTGTTGATTTCCTGGTTCTGTTCCTTGTACTGTCTCTATGTAAGATGTTAATCTTAGAGGAAGCTGGGTAAGTTACACATCTATGGAAAATCCCCATACTAATTCTGTTACTTTTCTGCAAGACCAAAACTACTTGAAAATAAAAAAGTAAACAATTGTCAAATACTAGGATTAAATCTGACAAAGATACACACAAGATCTCTATACACATGAGCAAACACACACACACACACTCATAAAACATTTCTGAAGAGCACTAAGACAAAACAGAAAACAAAAGGAGAGATATACCATATTCATAGATTGAGTGGACACTGCTGTAGAGGTGATACTCTCCGCACATTGAGCTATAGGTTCAACGAAATCCTAATGAAGTTCACCCAGCAGGGCTGTTTTGCTTTGTTTGTGTGAAAATTGACCACGTGATTCTGGAATGTATCTGCGAAAGAGCCAAGAATGGCAAATAATTCAAAGAAGAATTCGGTGAGAGGACTTGCTTTTCTTGATATTAGGACCTCATGTCGGTGAAGACAGTGCGATGTTCTCACACGGAGACCAGTGGCCGTGGGTTCAGAAACAGCCCCCGGGCATATGGGCACTTCCTGGCCAGGGGGCCTACAGAGCCGTGGGAAAGAATAGAGATTTCAGTCAGTGGTGGGGTCCAATCAGAAACCCGTATGAGGAGAGGGAGGACAGGTGTCTGCTACTTTACCCCATTCACAACAGGCAATTCCAGATGGACTGGTGATCGCACCGGAAGGCAAAACCATAAAGCTCGTTGAAGATCACATGGGAGAACAGCTTCAGGAACTTGGAGTTGGAAAGATTTATTTCAGAGACCACCACAAAAAATACCCAAAAGAAAACATGTTAAAATCAGTACGTTCTTTTTTTTTTCTTTTTTTCGTGAGACAGAATCTCGCACCGTCACGTAGGCTGGAGTGCAGTGACTCGATCCTGGCTCACTGCAACCTCCACCTCCCGGGTTCAAGCGATTCTCCTGCCTCAGCCTCCCAGGTAGCTGGGATTACAAGTGCCCACCACCACGCCTGGCTAATTTTTGTATTTTTAGTAGAGATGGGGTTTCACCATGTTGGCCAGGCTGGTCTTGAACTCCTGACCTCAGGTGATCCACCCACCTCAGCCTCCCAAAGTGCTGAGATTACAGGCATGAGCCACCATGCCCAGCAAAAATCAGTTAGTTCTATTCACGAGAAGACACCATTGAAAGTAAAAATGCCAGTGAGTGGGAGAAGGTATTTGCAATCCATGTAACTGACAAAAGGTTTGTATTCCGAATATATTGGGAAATACTACAAAGCCGTAAGAAAAAAGGCAGCAGCACAATAGAGAACTAGTAACATACCTGAATGCACACAAGAGCCTACCCAGGTGGCCAATAAATATATGGAAATGTGATGAATCTCATTAGTCACCAGGGAAATCCAATCTAAAACCTCACCTAATACCACGCACACCGGCTAGAGAGAGGCTGCTACTACCCACGGGAGGCTTGCAGAACACCGGTCCCTACACTGCTGTGGGGAGGGAAATCAGAACACCCACGTCAGCAGACGGCTTGGCACACCTGTGCCTTAGCAACCTTTCTCCCAGGTGTGTGCCCCCAAAAATGCATGGATGTGTGCACCAGGAGACACGTGCAAGAAAATCCATGCTAGTGTTATTTTTAAAACCAAAATCTACAAATAATCCAAATGTCTACCAGCAGTAGAATGAATCAGTAATGTTATATGCACATAACAGACACCTAAACAGCCATGAACATGAACCACAGCTACATAAAACAAAGGATGACTTTTAAAATATGTACTTTATATACCACAAAGGAAAAGACGACTAAAGCATGTCAAAATGTAAAACTTCTGCTTATCTAAAAATAACATACCAAAAGTGAAAAACCATATAAATTTGGAAAAGAAATTTGCAACACATAAACCTGTTAAAGAACTTCTGCATATGTCAAAGAAACAGGTAAGTAATCCATAGAGCAATGGGCAGAGAGATGAACAGGCATTTCCCAGAAGAGGAAAATGGATTGGCTAATAAACCTTTGAAAACACATTCCATGAAATGCAAACTAAAATTACCATGGAGGCTCATTTTATATCCAGTAATTTTGCAAAATGTAAAGATAGACATTCTCAGATTGGGTGAGGATGAGAGGATTATATATAATCATAAATATATGATTTTTTTTTTTTGAGACAAGGTCTTACTCTGTCTCCCAGGCTGGAGTGCAGTGGTGTGATCCTGGCTCACTGCAACCTCGGCCTCCAGGGTTCAAGTGATTCTCCCACCTCAGCCTCCCAAGTAGCGGGGATTACAGGCGTGCGCCACCATGCCTGGCTAACTTCTGTATTTTTTGGTAGAGACGGGGTTTTACCACGTTGGCCAGGCTGGTCTTGAACTCCTGACCTCAAGGGATCTGCCCGCCTTGGCCTCCCAAAGTGCTGGGATTACAGACATGAGCCAACAAACCCGGCGCGGCTATATATATGATTCTTGAAATTTTTATTTTTTATTTTTTGAAAATTGTATTTTAAAAGTAAGGGAATGGTGAACACATTTGTAAGAGTGGATTCATCTGCAGGGAGGAGCAGAGTTAGGTGGGGATGCAATAGTGTTGGTGACATGTGAGCTCTTACATTCTATTGTCCTAAGGCACATATATATTACATATGTTCTTTTGTACACAATTTTTAAGAGATTTTTATGCATCCAGCAATTCCTTGAGGTTCACTAATTTTCATTTGTTAAATTTAACATTTTATTTTTAAAATGAAATGTATAAAATATCTCTGCTGTTATAACATTCTCTCTCTCCATCTCTTTCTGCCTCTTCATAATTATGGAAATTTACCCCTGTAAAAATGGAGAGAGAAATATTTGGATTATTTATCAAATGTTTGCACGTTTGTTATTTCTTTTTTCAGTTTTGTTTTGTTTGGTTTTTTTAGAAACAGGGTCTTGCTTTGTTACTGAGGCTGGAGTGCAGTGACGCCATCACGGCTCACTGCAGCCTTGACCTCCCCAGGCTCAGGTGATCCACCCACCTCAGTCTCCTGAGGAGCTGGGACTACAGGCACTAATTTTTTTTTTTTTTTTTGTAGCGACGGAGTCTCACCATGTTGCCCAGGCTGGTCTCAAACTCCTGAGCTCAAGTGATCCTCCCACCTCAACTTCCCAGAGTGCTGGGGTTTAAGGCAGGAGCCACTGCGCCTGGTCTGCACGTTTGTTATTTCTGAATACTGGGATACTGGAATATTGGATGATTTGTGATCTGCAGCTTTTTCCTTTGATTTGGGGGCGTTGCTTACAGGTTGTATGAGTCAGGTTTTGTTCGTTTTTTTTCTGCTACCAAGCAGCTGTCCACCTTTCCTGTGCAGGTGGAATCCTCTGCCGCCGAGTCCTTCCGGCGGGCCCTCCACACAATGTTTCCTGTCTCTGTTCTGTGACTGCTGAGAGTATCAGAGGAATGTAGAACTTTAAACAAGGCATGGTCCTTGAAGGAGAATCATCCTTCTATTCCCAGATCAGCTACATATTTTTAAATTCCCAAATCAAAACTTGAGGGACTTTTTGTGACTCCGTTGAAATGAATTATCATATCTCGTATAACAAAAAATTACCAGCTTAAGTCCCCAGTGTATTCATATGTTAAAAGAGGGTTAACCACTCTGCCTGCCCCTAGGGCTTGTGGATTTTGTTTCTGTTTGGAGGATCAATTGGCTAATGTGTTAGTCTGTTTTTGCATTGCCACAGAGGAACACCTGAGACTGGGTAATTTATAAAGAGAAGAGGTTTACTTGGCTCACGGTTCTGCAGGCTGCACAAGCATGGCACCTGCATCTGCTCTGCTTCTGGGGAGGCCTCAGGAAGCCTTTACTCATGGTAGAAGGTAAAGGAGAAGCAGGTGTGCCCCATGGCAAGTGGCAGAGCAAGATGGATGCCAGGCTGTGTAACCAACCAGCTCTCGTGCGAGCTTGTGAGCTCACGGAGTGGAACTAATGATGGTGAGGAGGGCACCAAACCATTCATGAGAGACCCGCCCCCATGATCCAAACACCTCCCACCAGGCCCCACTTTTGACATTGGGGATCACACTTCAATACGAGATTTGGAGGGGACCAAACCATATCAGCTAATAAATATAAAATACTTAGAGCAGGGTCTCACACACAATAAGCATTCAACAGATGTTAACTACCATTATCATATTCTTACCATCATTATAAGAAAAGCCAGGCCGGGCACGGTGGCTCACGCCTGTAATCCCAGCACTTTGGGAGGCCAAGGCGGGCAGATCATGAGGTCAGGACTTTGAGACCAGCCTGGCTGACATGGTGAAACCCCGTCTCTAATAAAAATACAAAAATTAGCCAGGCGTGGTGGCGGGCGCCTGTAATCCCAGCTACTCAGGGGGCTGAGGCAGGAGAATCTCCTGAACCAGGAGGCAGAGGTTGCAGTGAGCTGAGATCGCACCACTGCACTCCAGCCTGGGTGACAGAGCAAGACTCAGTTTTAAGAAAAGAAAAAGAAAAGGAAAAGAAAGGGAAAAGGAAAAGGAAAACAAAAGGAAAGGAAAGGAAAGAAAAGAAAAGAGAAAAGAAAAAAAAAGAAAAGAGGGAGGGTCATGAATTTCCTACCACAACAGCCTGTCAGAGAAAACACAGCATCACTAGGGGATTGCGTAGACTAATTGCACAGTCTGAGACTTCATTCTCCAGTTTTATTTCAATAGAAAATGATGGTTTTGGGGAATGCCTAGGTCATTGTCAGCTTAATCAGAAGGTGACTCCCCTTGCAGCTGCTGTTCCAAGTGTGTTCTCCTTAATGAAACAAATCAATACAATTTACCACCTGTTATGCAGTGACTGATCTGGTAAATATTTTTTCCTTCCTCAATCAACATTCACCAGAAGCAAGTTGCCCCTCCATGGAAGTGGCATCAGCGTATCTTCCCATCTTGTCATGTCCACAGGGAGCTTGGTGGTCTCAGCACCCCTGAGATGATCTTGACAGTGCAGTATGCTGATGAGGGCACAGGGATAGGACCTGGGAAGCTTTTGGAAGCAGTGGATGCCCTGGCTGCCTAGTGAGATGTCCATGCCTGGCAGATGGGCACAGCTGGCCAAACAGGGCCTGGCTCCTGGGTAAAGCTCTGAACATCCAGCCGTCTACACTGTGGTCCTCAAACTTTCTTTTCTTTTCTTTTCCCTCCCTCCCTCCCTTCCTTCCTTCCTTCCTTTAGATGGAGTTTCACTCTTGTTGCCCAGGCTGGAGTGCAATGGCGCGATCTCGGCTCACTGCAACCACTGCCTTCTGGGTTCAAGCGATTCCCACCTCAGCCTCCCGAGTAGCTGGGATTACAGGTGCTTGCCACCACGCCTGGTATATTTCTATGCTGACATCTAAAGTTCTTCCTAACAAGTTTAAATAGTTACAAAGGATCAGATTTCTGGTATATTGATACATTTTAAAGTAAACTCTTACTTTACGAATGGGATACAAATACCATAAATGATTGGACACCCATAATCACACTTTGTAGACACACAGAAGCTCTACGATAAGTAGAAATGATATACTGTGTTACTCTCCTTGAAATACAATATCTATCCCACTCTCCTTTATATATGTCCTATAGAGGGAGAATGTATACATCATATATGTTAGGATATATTTCTATCCTAATATATGTTATGCTTTTTATTGCAGATCCTATAACACTTCCTGCAAAAAAAAAAAACACTGAAATTTATTTTCTTTTGAAATTTAATTTGTAAAACCTTACATATAGCTATAAGGCTCCATGTTTATGGGCTGGAGTATAGTGATGTGATCTCAGATCACTGCAGCCTCGACCTCCCTGGGCTCAAGCGATCCTCCTACCTCAGCCTCCGGAGTAGCTGGCACTACAGGCAGCTAATGCTTTTTTAAAAATGGTTTTGGTAGAGCTGGGGTCTTACTATGTTGCCCAGGTTGGTCTCGAACTCCTGGGCTGAAGCAATCCTCCCGCATAGGCCTCCTAAAGTGCTGGGATTACAGGTGTGAGTTACCCCGCCAGGCCGAGTTATCATTATGGCTGTCAGTATGTAATTGTTCAAAAACAGATAAATATATTACAAGATTTGGACACATAAAAAACAAAAGTTGGGTCAGAAAGGCAGAAGCAGTGGAGCAGACGGGGTCTGAGTCGGAGGCATCGCGTCCGCGCGCAGCTTCCCGGGGCCGGAGCAGCAGGCAGGGGCCGGGCGTCTCCGGGACTCCCAGGGGAGACGGGAGGCCGTCCCGCCACTAGGCTGGCGCGGGGCCCCGGGGGTAAAGGGTGGCGGCGGGGAGCCGGAGGAGCAGGGCGCCCGCGGGAGATGCTCCGGGTCCCTTCTCGGGCGCGCGGCTCCGGGGACGGCTCCACCTCCAGCCCTACCCCGATCTGCGCCCCAGGAGTCTCCGCTCCGCGCTCTGCTGCTCCCGGCGAAACCCGCATTGACGCCCTGGTTCAGGATGGGTCTTCAGGGCCCGCGCGCCTCCCTGACCGTCTTCGGCTCGCACCAGGAGGTCCCTGGTGCTCCTGCGCTCCGCAGCTGGTCCCGCCCCGCGCAGTCTTCCTAAGTCCAAAGTCGACCCCATGCCACCGCGCTGGGCCGCGCCCCGCCTCTCCCGGGCCCGCCTGCGCGGCGATGACCGGCTCCTGGGAGGGCCCCGCCGCGATGCCGAGCGCAGAAAACCCTCGCTGCTCCTCTGCTCCAACCCGGGGGCATCGCTGCTTCCAGAATCATCTCCGTGGGAGCTCAGGGTCCTTCTTGTTACTTTAAACTTATAATAGCTGTTTGGCCATTCTTCATAAAAACTTTACTATTTATTGTATTTATTTTGGACGCAGGGTCTCCCTCTGTCGCCCAGGCTGGATTGCAGTGACACGCTCAGGGTTCACTGCAGCCTCAGCTCCCAGGCTCAACCGATCCTCCCACCTCAGCCTCCCAAGAAGCTGGGACTACAGGCACCTGCCATTATCAACGCCTGGCTAATTTTTTTTTTTTTTTTTGTAGAGATGAAATCTCACCATGTTGCCCAGGCTGGTCTTGAACTCCTGCACTCCAGTGATCCACCTGCCTCAGCCTCCCAAAGAGCTGGGATTACAGGCGTGAGCCACCGTGCAAGCCCTACAATTTTAAATACTTAAATGTGGTAAGTTTTCTGTTTCCTGACTGTACTCTGATAGATGCAGTACTTGGCACCAGAATGTGCCATGAGACAGACCCTAAAAGACACAGTTGTGCAACTGATTTGGTTGTGTTCCTGTCCTTGTCCTCACCTGTGGTTGACAAGAAAGCCGGGCTCCCTGGGCTCTCAGGTGTGCAGGACTTGCCCTCCCAGCCTTCCCCACGGGAGCCACTGCCCCTTCAGTGGGGTGCTCCAGACAAGGGCGACATCCTGCGCTTTCAGGGCCCACAGAACACTGATTTTGGTGAATGCCAAATTCTGGGGCCCCAAAACACCATGGTGGTCCACCAGTCAAAGTGGTGGCTGACGGTCAGGGATCATGCAACTGTAGTCCAAGTTCATCTCGAGCTGGGCCTGGGAGTTCTGCAGAGCCTGCCTGTGGTCACTTTGCAAGCTCCTGAGTGTGTAGCTAAAAAGACATCCCAGAAACCGGCGGCATTCTCACATCAGCTCTGTGACCCACAGGGTTACGGCTGTCATGGTATAAAAAGTTAAATGGAAGCCCTGCAATTTTTCTTTCCTACCAGGTTAATGAACTCAAATCTGCATGTCTGGTGAAAATGCCAAGGTTAGTGCTACCCCCAAAAGATGTGAACGATGCAGGGCTGGTGATCCCCAGCACAGCCCCCACCTGACTCCCTAGCTGGGCGAGGCGCAAGGCGGGCATCCTTGGAGAACGCCTGTGGATTTTCACAAAGCTCAGCAGGTGGCTATTCCAACTGCACCTGCTGCTACTGATGTGACATATTTTCCAGAGCAAATTGACATGACCCCTGGCACCTGGAGTGAGCCATTGGCCTGGAAAATGCTTTTCTCCCTATAATCATTCACAAGGATGGGGCTGCTGGGCATGTGGGGCCCTTGCCCAGATATCCTCATCCATGTCCTCAGCAGCACCTTCAGGCAGGAAGAGCGGGAGTCAGACATAGGACTCTCCTCCAGGTTCAAGACCACGACCAGCCCAGCCCGTGCAAAGTGCAGGTTAACCTGGGCAGTAGCAGTCACCCGTGGAATCAGTGCCAGAACTCTGTGCAAGGGAAGCTCCTCATCGTGGATGAACCAGGCTATGTTTGCGAGAGGAGGGATTTGCTGGTGCAGGGCTGTAACGTCCACAGCCCTAGTGTGAAGCAGTGCTGCTGTGACGGCTGCTGGCCATGTCTCTTGCTGCCTGCAGCCCAGCCAGGAGCTTCTCCTGGAGCATCGTGGTGTTCCAGAACCTCTTCATGGCAGTCGAAGATCAGTATTGAGTCATGTCCGGCCAAATGCAGGACCTCATCCCAGGGCCTCATCCCACCGATTGGGACCCCATTGCGAAGAATTGCTATGGAGAAAGCCCACCCGAGCTCTTCCCGGCATGGCGGGTGCAGCGGATGCTCTCCAGCTTGGGCGAGGAGCTCATCTCCTGGGGCCCAGCTGCAGCACTCAGGCCAGGCCATGGGAAGAAGACAAAGGCAGCGCAGGGAAACCTTGGCTTTGACCACCTCTCGTGTTGTCATCTTTGGCCTCTGTGAAGCAGCTTGGAAATTCCAGCTGGTCCCATCGGGGAAGGAAGAAACCACAGCGAGGCTCCGGCAGTGCTGGTTCTTGGAGGACTGGACGCTGGGACCTGCACAGGGACCTGTGACTCAGGCTTGTCAGGGGCCAGGTGTCACTGCCAGTTTTGATCCAGGCCCCTTCACTGTAAAATTATTTATTGGATTCCTTTGGAGTAGTGGGAAAATTATAATGTTTTATGTAGGAGAATGCCGTGTCATTCTAGCTGAAAATGTTCAAGGAAAGTATTTTTGTTGTTCTCGTGTTCTCAAGTTTCATGAGTTAAATCATCCCTTCACCCAGATAAAATGTTTCATCTTCTTTTTTTTTTCTTTTTGAGATGGAGTTTCGCTCTTGTTGCCCAGGCTGGAGTGCAATGGCACATTCTCGGCTCATCACAACCTCTGCCTCCCAGGTTCAAGCGATTCTCCTGCGTCAGCCTTCGAGTAGCTAGGACTACAGGCATGTGCCACCATGCCCAGCTAATTTTGTATTTTCAGTAGAGACGAAGTTTCTCCATGTTGGTCAGGCTGGCCTCGAACTCCTGACCTCAGGTGATCCACCTGCCTTGGCCTCCCAAAGTGCTGGGATTTTAGGCGTGAGCCACTGCGCTGAGCCTGTTTTGTCTTTTAGAACGTGAAAAATAATAATTTGCAAGGATAACCAGAAACACTTTGCTTTTACATAATAGGGCCGACAAAACACCCTCACATTCTTGTCTCACTGCTGGGTCAGTGCTACCACTCTCTGAGGTAATCTAATCCAGAGATCTTTATTGTCTTGACCCCCAAAAGCATGAACTGATACACTATATTGGTGAATTTATCCTGATTGGACTAAATGAACACAGAGTAGCAAATACCTTGAATGCCTCAGTAAGAAATGACATTTTCATGCAAGCCATGAAAATTCAGGGTCCTACAATGTCAGTGAAGTTTCTAGGAATCCAGTAGCCTGGGGCATGTTAGAATATCTCCTAAAAGATGAAATACACCAGGCACAGTGGCCTGTAAAATCCTAGCTACTCAAAAGGCTGAGGTGGGAGAATTGCTTGAGCCCAGGAGTTCTAGGCTGCAATGAGCTATGATTATGCCACTCCAGAGTGGGTGACACAGTGAGACGCCATCTCTAAAAAAAAAAATTTTAAGATGAAAGACACATTGTGGCCAAGCGTGGTGGCTCATGCCTGTAATCCCAGCACTTTGGGAGGCCAAGGCAGGCGGATCATGAGGTCAAGAGATCGAGACCATCCTGGCTAACATGGTGAAAACCCCTTCTCTACTAAAAATACAAAAAATTAGCTGGGCGTGGTGGCGGGCGCCTATAGTCTCAGCTACTTGGGAGGCTGAGGCAGAAGAATGGCATGAACCCGGGAGGCGGAGCTTGCAGTGAGCCAAGCTCGCACCACTGCACTCCAGCCTGGGTGACAGAGTGAGACTCCGTCTCAAAAAAAAAAAAAAAGAAAGACACATTATGTACCTTACACTACCTGCCACTATAAACCGGGCGTATCTGCAGGCCTATGTGCTTTTTCAAAGGCGACCCTGGAGCCCTGCAACCCATTCATCAATTAGTTCATGGTCTGGTGGCTTTGAGTTGGCCCCTGGGCAAGAAGAGCCTCTGCAGTTAAGACCAGCATTCAATGCCACCTGCTTCACCACTTAAGCCTTGTGTCCCAATAGATCAGTGACACTCTGACTGTCAGTTGCACATATGAATATTGTTTGAAGCTTCTGGAGAAACCCAGTAAGAAAATCACAGCACAGAACCCTAGCGTTTTAGAGCAAAGTCATGCTCTTTTCTGCATAAGACTTTTTTTTTTTTAGACAGGGTCCTATTCTGTCACCCAGGCTGGAGTGCAGTGGCGCGATCACAGCTCACTGCAGCTTGACCTCCCAAGACTCAAGCAGTCCTCTTGCCTCAGCCTCCCAAGTGGCTAGGACTAAAAGTGTGCACCACCACACCCAGCTACTTTTTTTTTTTTTTTTAATTTTTTTAGTAGAGACACTGTTTCACTGTGTTGCCCAGGCTGGTCTGAAACTCCTGGGCTCAAGCAATCCTCCTGCCTCAGCTTCCCAAAGTGCTGGGATTACAGACGTGAGCCTAAGCTATTCTTTTGAGAAAAAAACTCTGGTTTGCTATGGGGCCCTGGCAAGCACTGATGCCTAATCACAAGACACCCAATAACTACACCATTTGGGATAGTCATCATGAACCGATGGCACCAGACCCACCAAGCCACGAGGTTGGGCGTGTGTACCAGCAATTCATGGTACACCGAGTACCATGAATGAAGATGAAACATAAGAAACTGGGTGTGCGAAGGTCCTGGCGGCTCAGATGCCTGTGACACGGGGTGCTCCTCCATCACCTCCTCCCTATTGATCCACACCAATGGCATCCTGGGAAGCTCCTCATGGTCACCTGACAAGGAAAGAAAAGCAGCCCTGGTTCTCAGACAGTCCCTCGTGGTGTACTGAGCTCCAGCCTTAAGTCAGGAGTGTGCCTGGCAATGAGAAGCACTTTGAGCTGTGAATTGTGTTGTCCACTTTGTCGGGACTAAGAGATCCGTGGAAGAAAATATTGACTTAGTTCCTGGTGGTAGTTAATGCTTTGGCTAGATACCAAAAAGAGCAGGCTTGGGAGACTGGTAAGAAGCATATCTGGGAAAGAGGATGTGGGTGGACAGCACAGAATGTGAAGATGTTGTGCACCTTTGCAAATGTCCACCAGAGTCATGCATTTTGGGGAGATGTACCAAGAGGGATCATCAGGAGGTTGAAACCATGCACTGTGGATGGCAGTCATGCTTTCCAGCCACCTTCATGCTTTATCAATGAGCAGCAGCAGAGATGGGGGCTTTGCATGGGCTCTACAACATAGATTAGATCTTCCTCCCCCCAAGGCTGCCACCACTGAATGCTGAACCTTCCAGCAGCAGAGATGGACACTGAGCCCCCAGCATGGCTCCACTTCCAGGGGCTCAGCCACCTGCCAGCAGGCTGACCACACTGAACCCTTTCCATCATGAAGGGGCACTGCGTGTCCTCACTGGAGGAATGGATTCTAGATATGAATTTGTTCTTGACTGCAATGATGTTGCCCGTGCCACCATGAGTTTATAAAATATTTATTCTGGCCAGGCACAGTGGCTCACACCTGTAATCCCAGCACTTTGGGAGGCCAAGGCGGGAGGATCACTTGAGGTAAGGAGTTTGAGACCAGCCTGGCCAACATGATGAAACCCCATCTCTACTAAAAATACAAAAATTAGCCTGGCATGGTGGCAGGCGCCTGTAATCCCAGCTACTTAGGAGGCTGAGGCACAAGAATTGCTTGAACCTGGGAGGCGGAGGTTGCAGTGAGCTAAGATCACGTCATTGTACTCCAGCCTGGGGACAGAGCAAGACTCCGTCTTAATAAATAAATAAATGAAATAAAATATTTATTCCACATCATGGTAACATACACAACATTGATGCGGACTAAGGAACTTATTTTCCAGCTAACTTCTTTCCCATGGAATGCACTGGTCTTGCTAGGTGTCCTGGCTCAAGAGGAGCTGGCGTGATAGAATGTTTAGTGGCCTTAAGACCTGGTTGCAGTGCCAGTTGGGAGATTGTATCCTGAGAATATATCACTGTATCTTATGGGATGCAGTATATGCTTTGAATCAGTGACTGATTTATGGTGCTGTGGGGGAAGCTCTATAATGGCCCTGGCTATCCTTTCTCCTGGTATTCATGCCTTGTGTAATTCCTTCCCCTTGAGTGTGGGTGGGACCTGTGACTTGCTTCTAACCAAGAGAACACAGTGAAGGTAATGGGATGTGATGTCCATCATTCCTGTAGTTACGTTACAGAAGATTGCTACCTGGCTGGGCGCGGTGGCTCACGCCTGTAATCCCAGCACTTTGGGAGGCCGAGGTGGGCGGATCATGAAGTCAAGAGATCGAGACCATCCTGGCTAATGCAGTGAAACCCCGTCTCTACTAAAAATACAAAAAAATTAGCCGGGCGTGGTGGTTGGCACCTGTAGTCCCAGCTGCTCAGGAGGCTGAGGCAGGAGAATGTCGTGAACCCAGAAGGCGGAGCTTGCAGTGAGCTGAGATCAGGCCACTGCACTCCAGCCTGGGCAACAGAGAGAGACTCCATCTCAAAAAAAAAATAATAATAAAAATAAGATTGCTACCTTTGTCTTGATGGCAGACTCTCTCCCTTGCAGGCTTTGATGAATTCAGCGCCATGTTGCAAGATGTCCTAGGCAGAGGCTCATGTAGCAAAACTGAGCTACATGGGGGCCCCTCAGCCCAACTGCCCACAAGGAACTGAATTTCATCAACAAGCATGGGAGCTTGCAGGCGCATCCTTCCCCAGTCGATCCTTGAGATGAGAATGCAGCCCTGGCTGAAACACCTTGGCGTTAGCCCTGGGAGAGGTGCTCAGCCAGAGGACCCATTTAGCCTGTGCCCGGACTCCTGACCCACGGATACGGCCGAATGATAACATAGTCACGAAGTCTGTAACCACTTGTTAAGCAGCAATGGCTCCTGAGGGGCAGACAAAGCAGCAGCAGCCATTGTCATGGCCCCTCCCCACATTGCTGCAAGCCCCTCCCCCTCTGGCTGAAGTGACTTCCAGGGCTTTAAAGAGCTGGTGCCTTTTTTTCCCTCTTGATTTTTCTCTTTTTCTCTTCTTAGGAGCCAAACATGAAAGGCTAGGACATTCAAAACAACTGTATATACTGGGGAAATTAGAAAGTGACCATAAATGCCAAAGAAAGGCTCAGAAGAGTCCCAAGAAGACCGTAAGTTTATACCCCAGCTGAGCCTTGGAAAGAGACAGCCTACAACAGTAGAAAAGAAAAAAAAACAAACAAAACCCAGCAAACCCTGGGGAAGGAGGAGAGTCTGATTTCCAGAGTTACCACATTATTAGATTCAAATGTCCAGTTTTCAACAGAAGTTCACAAGGCATACAAAGAAACAGGAAAGTATGGCCAATTCAAAGGAAAACAAAAATAAATCAACAGAAACTATCTCTGAAAAGCTGGGCGTGGTGGCTCACACCTATAATCGCAACATTTTGGGAGGCCGAGGCAGGCAGGTCACCTGAGGTCAGGAGTTCGAGAACAGCCTGGCCAACACGGTGAAACTCCCATCTCTACTAAAAATACAAAAATTAGCCAGGTATGGTGGAGGGTACCTGTAATCTCAGCTACTTGGGAGGTTGAGGCAGGAGAATCACTTGAAACCGGGAGGCAGAGGTTGCAGTGAGCCGAGATCATGCCACTGCACTCCAGCCTGAGACAGCGAGACTCCGTCTCAAAAAAAAAAAAAAAAAGAAACTTTCCCTAAAAATAACCTTGATGGCATGGCTACTAGACAAAGACTTTAAAACAATTATCTTAAAGAACTCAAGCACTAAAGGAAGACATGGAAGAAGTCAAGAAAATAATGTATGAATGAAATGGAAATATTAACAAAAAGGCCAGGTGCGGTGGCTCACACCTGTAATCCCAGCACCTTGGGAGGCTGAGGCAGGTGGGCCACTTGACCCCAGGAGTTGAAGACCAGCCTGGGCAACATAGCAAAACCCTGTCTCTACAAGAAATAAAAACAAAAACAAAAATTAGCCAGGCATGGTGGCACACACCTATAGTCCCAGCTACTCAGGAGGCTGAGGAGGGAGGATTGCTTAAGCCCAGGAGGTCAAGGTTGCAGTGAGATGTGACTGTGCCACTGCACTCCAGCCCAGGTGACAGAGTGAGACCCTGTCTCAAAAAAAAAAAAAAAAAAAAAAAAACGAACAGAGAGTAAGGGACCTGTGGGACACCATCAAACGGGCCAACATATACATTTTAGGTACCTCAGAAAGAGAAGAAAGAGAAAGGGGCAGAGAGAATACAGTCATGCATCACTTAACAACAAAAATATGTTCTGAGAAATACATCCTCATGTGATTTCAACATTGTGTGAACATCGTAGAGAGTACTTATACAAGCCTACATGGTATAGCTACTGTATACCTAAACTATATGGTATATAACTTATTGCTCCAAGGCTACAAATATGTACAGCATGTTACTGTATTTAATACTTAGGCAATTATAACACAATGGTAAGTATTTGTGTATCTAAGTACATATAAACATAAAAAGTACAGTAAAAATACAGTATTATAATCTTTGAGGACCACCATCATATATGCAGTTCATTGATGACCAAAATGTCATTATGCAGCTTATGACTATGTTTGAAGAAATAATGGCTGAAAACTTCCCAAATTTGATGAAAGACATGCATATAAACATCCAAGCAGCTCAAGTAACTCCAAGTAAAATGAACTCAAAGAGACCCACACTGAGACACATTATAGTCTAACTTTTGAAATGCAAAGTTAGAATCCTGAAAGTAGCAAGAGGGAAGAAACTTGTCACATACAAGGGATCCTCAATAAAATGACAAGCAGATTTTTCATCAGAAACTTGGAGGCCAGAAGGCAGAGGGCCAATATATTTAAAGCACTAAAAGAAAGGCTGGGTGTGGTGGCTCACGCCTGTAATCCCAGCACTTTGGGGGGCCAAGGTGGGCAGATCACCTGAGGTCAGGAGTTTGAGACCAGCCTGGCCAACATGGTGAAACCCTGTCTCTACTAAAAATACAAAAATTAGCTGGGCCTGGTGGCAGGCGCCTATAATCCCAGCTACTCGGGAGGCTGAGCCAGGAGAATCGCTTGAACCTGGGAGGCAGAGGTTGCGGTGAGCCAAGATTGTGCCATTGCACTCCAGCCTGGGCAACAGAGCAAGTCTCTCTCTCAAAAATAAAAAAATAATAAGAATAATAAATAAAGTGCTAAAAGAAAAAAAAAACTGGCAAAAAAGAATCCTATATCCAGCAAAACTATCCTTCACATGTGAGGAAGAAAATAAGACATTCCCAGATAAACAAAAGCTGAAGGAGTTTGTTACCACTAGACCTGCCCTGCAAGGAATGCTCAAGGAGGTCCTGCAGGTTGAAAGGACACTAGATGGTAACTCAAAGCTGTTAAGAAGAAATAAAGATCTCAATAAAGATAAACATGTGGGTAACTTCTAAGTCTATGTCTGTTTTGTATAGGATTTTATATATATATATACACACACACACACACACACACACACACACACACACACACTTTTTTTTTTTTTTGAGATGAAGTCTCGCTCTGTTGCCCAGGCTGGAGTGAAATGGCATGATCTTGGCTCACTGCCACCTCTGCCTCCCAGGTTCAAGTGATTCTCCTGCCTCAGCCTCCCAAGTAGATGGGATTACAGGCACCTGCCACCACACCCGACTAATTTTTGTATTTTTAGTAGAGACGGGGTTTCACCATATTGGCCAGGTTGGTCTTGAACTCCTGACCTCAGGTAATCCACCGATCTTGGCCTCCCAAAGTGCTGGGATTACAGGCCTGAGCCACCATGCCCAGCCCATATTTTTAAATTATTATTTTTAAATTATTTAAAAGCTACTATTACTATAATTTTGGTTTGTAACTCCACTTTTTTCCTAGATAATTTAAGAGACCAGTGCATTTATAAGAATTATTTATGTTTTGGAGTACACAATGTATAAAGATGTAATTTTGTGACATCAGCAACTGAAAGGAGTGGAGACAAAGCTGTAAAGGAACAGAGTTTTTTATGTCGTTGAAGTTAAGCTGGTATAAATTCAAATTGGAGAGTTAGAACTTTAGGGTGTTAAATGTAAACCCCATAGTAACCACAAAGAAAACCTATAGAATATATACCAAAGGAATTGAGGAAGAAATTGAAACATTTCACTACAAAAAAACACACACACACACACACACACAAAAGAAGACAGTAATTCAGGAAATGAGGGACAAAAAAAGTTATATGGCATATATAAAACACATAGCAAAATGACAGACGTAGGTCCTTTCTTGTCAGTAATTATTAATTTTATTTTATTTTTTGTTTTTTAGAGGTGGGTTCTTGCTCTGTCACCGAAGCTGGAGTGCAGTGGTGCAATCATAGCTCACTGTAACCTCAAACTCCTGGGTTCAAGTGATCCTCCCATCTCAGCCTTCCAAGTAGCTAGCACTATAGGCACATGCCACCATGCCTGGCTAATTTTCTGTAGAATGTGGCCCAGGCTGGTCTCCAACTCCAGGCCTCAAGCAACCCTCTCATCTCAGCCTCCCAAAGCACTGAGATTACAGGCATGAACCACTGTGCCCAGTCTCTCCTTATCACTAATTACTTTAAATGTAAATGGATTAAACTCTCCAATCAAAAGACAGAGATTGGCAGGATGAATAAAAACCCCTGATCCAAGTATATGCTGTCTACAAAAGATTCACTTTAGATTGAAAAACACAAACATTGAAAATGAAAACATAGAAAAAGATATTCCATGCAAATAGAAACCAAAAGAGGAGGAATGACTGTACTAGTATCAGACAAAATACATTTTTAAATCAAAAAAGTTCACAAGGGAGGTCAGGGACGGTGACTCACACCTGTAATCTCAGCACTTTGGGAGGCTGAGGCGGGCGGATCACCTGAGGTCGGGGGTTCGAGACCACCCTGACCAACATGGAGAAACCTCGTCTCTACTAAAAATACAAAATTAGCTGGGCGTGGTGGCGCATGCCTGTAATCCCAGCTACTTGAGAGGCAGGAGAATTGCTTGAACCCAGGAGGCAGAGGTTGCAGTGAGCCGAGAACGTGCCATTGCACTCCAGCCTGGGCAACAAGAGCGAAACTCCACCTCAAAAAAAATAAAAAATAAAAATAAAAATAAAATTTAAAAAAAAGTTCACAAGAGACAAAGAAGGACATTATATATCAAAAAAAGTTCAATATAGCAAGAATATATAATAACTATAAATATGTATGTACCTAATGTCTGATCATCAAAATATATGAAGCAGGCCAAGCATGGTAGCTTACATCTGTAATCCCAGCATTTTGAGAGGCTCAGGTGGGCAGATCACCTGAGGTCAGGAGTTTGAGACCACCCCGGCCAACAGGGCGAAACACCATCTCCACAAAAAACACAAAAATTAGCCAGGCATGGTGGCAGGCACCTATAATCCCAGGTACCAGGAGGTGGAGATTGCAGTGAGCCGAGATCATGCCACTGCACTCCAGCCTGGGCAACAGAGTGAGATTCCGTCTCAAAAAAAAAAAAAATAAATAAATAAATAAAATATATATATATGATTGATATATATGATATATATCATATATATCATATATTTTTATGTGATATATATTTTTATATATTTATATGATATATATTTATATATTTATACATATATTTATATATTATATATGATATATAATATATAATTATATATGAGATATATGTATATATTATATATGATATGATATATAATTATATATTCACATATTTATATATATTTATATATTTTTATATATTTATGTTTTTATATATTTTATATATTTTTATATATATTTTTATATTTTTATATATTATATATTTTTATATATATTTATATATACATTTATATCATATATAACATATATGATATATAGGTATATATTTATATATGATATATATGATATATTTATATATGATATATATTTATATATTATATATATTGATATATACATTTATATCATGTATGATATATATCATATATGCTATATATACGTTTATATCATATATGCTATATATTTATATACATTTATATCATATATGATATATATTTATATTTAATATATGATATATATTTATATTTTTATATTTTATATATGATATATATTTATGATATATATTTATATATGATATATTTATATATGATATATATTTATATATAGATATATGTATATATTTTTATATATTTATATATAGATATATATGTATATTTTTAAGTATTTATGATATATATATTTATATATTTATATATGATATATATATTTATATATTTATATATGAAATATATATTTATATATTTATATGATATATATTTATATATTTATATATGATATATTTATATATTATATATATTTATATGATATATATTTATATATTTATATATGATATATATGATATATATTTATATATTTATATATGATATATATGATATATATTTATATATTTATATATGATTGATATATATTTATATATTTATATATGATATATTATATATTTATATATTATATATGATATATATCATATCTATATTTATATATTATATATGATATATATATCTATATTTATATATTATATATCATATATATCATCTATATTTATATATTATATATCATATATATCATCTATATTTATATATTATATATCATGTATATTTATATATGATATATATATTTATATATACATATATGAAGCAAAAGCCAACACAATGGACTGAAGGGAGAAATAGTTTTACAATAATAGTTGGAGATAATACCCGCCCCCATATGGATAGAACCACCAGGCAGAAGATAAGAAGATAAGTAAAGAAATAAAGGACTTGCTGGGCATGGTGGCTCACACCTGTAATGCCAGCACTTTGGGAAGCCAAGTCGGGTAGATCACTTGAGCTTAGGAGTTCAAGACCACTCTGGGCAACACGGTAAAGCCCTGTCTGTATAAAAAATACAAAAATTAGCCAGGCGCAGTGGTGTATGCCTGTAGTCCCAGCTACTTGGGAGGCTGAGACAGGAGAATCGCTTGAGCCCGGGAGGCAGAGGTTGCAGTGAGCCGAGATTGTGCTGTTGCACTCCAGCCTGGGTGACAGGAGTGAAACCCTAAGAAAAGAAAAGAAAGGAAAAGAAAGGAAAGGGAAAGGAAAGGGAAAGGAAAGGAAAGGAAAGGAAAGGAAAGGAAAGGAAAGGAAAGGAAAGGAAAGGAAAGGACTTAACACAATCAACCAACTAGATCTAACAGACATACAGAACACTCTAGCCAATAATAGCATATACATTCTTCTCAAGTGTACATGGGATATTTTCAAGGGTAGACCATATGTTAGGCCACAAATTAACTCTCAATAGATTTTTTAAAATCACGCTGCGCAAAGTTTCTTCTCTGACCACAGTGGGATGAGGTTAGAAATCAATAACAGAAGTAAAAGTGGAAAATTCACAAAATGGTGGAATTAAACAATATACTCTTTTTTAAAAAAAAACACCCTTCAACAGTCAATGGATCAAAAAAGAAATCACAAAGAAAATTAGGAAATACTTAGGAACAAATGGAAGCAAAGACACAACATACCAACCTTAGGAGATGCAGCAAAAGCAGTGCTAAGGGGGAAACTTACAGCCATAAACGCTGAAACTAATACATAAGATTTCAAATCAATAACCTACCTAACTTTATAACTTAAGGAAATACACAAAGAAGACCAAACTAAAGCCAAAGCTAGCAGAAGGAAGGAAATAATAAAGATTAGAGATAGACAAAATAGAGAATATAAAAACATGGAGAACACAAATGAAACTAAAAGTTGGTTCTTTGGAAGGATCAACAAAATTGACAAACTTTTAGCTAGATGGACTAACGAAAAAAGAGAGAAGGTTAAAATTTACAAGACCAGAAATAAAAGTGGGAACATTACTACTGATTCTATAGAAATAAAAAATATAGGCCGGGCGCGGTGGCTCACTCCTGTAATCCCAACACTTTGGGAGGCCAAGGCGGGTGGATCACGAGGTCAGGAGATCGAGACCATCCTGGCTAACAGGGTGAAACCCAGTCTCTACTAAAAATACAAAAAATTAGCCGGGCGTGGTGGTGGGCACCTGTAATCCCAGCTACTTGGGAGGCTGAGGCAGGAGAATGGCGTGAACCCAGGAGGCGGAGCTTGCAGTGAGCTGAGATAGTGCCACTGCACTCCAGCCTGGGCAACAGAGCAAGACTCCATCTCATAAATAGATAAATAAAATAAAATAAATAAATAAAAAATATCATAAGAGAGTACTCTGAACAATTATATGCCAACAAATTGAGTGACCTAGATGAAGTGGACAAATTCCTAAAAACACAAAACTTATCAAGACTAAATCATGAAGAAATAGGAAATCTGAATAGACATATAACTAGCAAGGAGATTAAATCAGTAATCAAACATCTCCAAACAAAGCCTGGGCATGGTGGCTCACACCTGTCATCTCAACACTTTGGGAAACCAAGGTGGGAGGATCACCTGAGCCTAGGAGTTCAAGAGCAGTCTGGACAACATAGTGAGAACCCATCTCTACAAAAAATTAAAAATTTAGCCAGACATGATGGCACACACCTGTAGTCCCAGCTACTTGGGAGGCTGAGATGGGAGGATGGCTTGAGCTCCAGAGGTCGAGGCTGCAGTGAGCTGGGATTACACCACTGCACTCCAGCCTGGGTGACAGACTGTGCCCCTGTCCCCTGCTCAAAAAGAAGAGAGTGAGAGAAACCAAAACCAAAATAAACAAGGAACACTCAACAAACTAGAAATAGAAATTTATTCAGCCTGATATAGATCATTTATGAAAAACTAACAGCAAACATCATCCTCAATGGTAAAAGGCTGAAGGATTTTTCTCTAAGGTTAGGAACAAGGCAAATGCCTGCTCTTGCCACTCTATTCAGCATAGTGCTGGGAGTTCTAGACAGAGCAGTTAGGCAAGGAAAAGAAATCTAAGGCATCCAAATTGGAAAGGAGGAAGTAAAATTATCTCTGTTTGCCAATGATATGATTTTATATGTATGAATAGAAAACCCTAAAGATTCCACCAAGGGCAAGGTACGGTGGCTCACGCCTTTAATCCCAGCACTTTGGGAGGCCGAGGTGGGAGGATTGCTTGAGGCCAGGAGTTCAATACTAGCCTGGGCAACATAGTGAGACCCCATCTCTACAAAATAAAAAAATAGCCGGGGCATGGTGCTGTGTGCCTATAGTCCTAGCTACTCAGGAGGCTGAGGTTGGAGCACTGCTTGAGCCCAAGAGTTTGAGGCTGCACTGAGCCATGATCGCTGCACTGAGGCATGATCACAACACTGCACTCCATCCTGGGTGACAGAGAAAGACCCTGTCTCAAACAACAACAATAAGAAATGTATGAATGAGGCTGGGTGTGGTGGCTGAAGCCTGTAATCCCAGCACTTTGGGAGGCTGAGGGCAGATCACCTGAGGTCAGGAATTTGAGACCAGCCTGGGCAACATGATGAAACCCCATCTCTACTAAAAATACAAAAATTAGCTGGGCATGGTGGCACACACCTGCTATCCCAGCTACCTGGGAGGCTGAGGCAAGAGAATCGCTTGAACCCAGGAGGCGGAGGTTGCAATGAGCCGAGATCGCTCCACTGCACTCCAGCCTGGGCGACAGAGCGAGACTCCATCTCAAAAAGAAAAAAAAAAGGAAGAAATGCACGAATGAGTGAACTCCTGGCAGGAGCTCTGTGGTGACTGTCTTCTGTAAGCCCGGGTTGATATTGGGGAAAACAGCCAGGAAACTGATTGCCCTGATATCAACTGGGATGTGGGATTCTGGACAAGGTCAGTAGGGTGTTGCTGACCCAGTGAGTATGATCAGAGACACGTCAGGCTCTGCCAGCCGGACAGCAGCTGCCACAGTCTCTCACCCAGTTTCCAGATTTGAGTGAAATTCAGACTCACAGCTGCCAAACTGAAGAGGAGGCTGGAAGCCCTAGGGCGTGCGGCTCTCCCAATACAAAGCATGCCAACCACTCCCACCAGTTACGCTCCTACTCTGTCCCCAAAGGAGTCTGTGGCCATTTGCCAGGGTTGTGTCACCAACATAGAGGGGTACAGAGAGGCTTTTCGAGGACGGGAACATGGTGTGTAGCCGGACACTGACATTGACGCCAGGACTTTGACAAGATCACCACACCCCTCTGTTTACTGAAGTCATGGAAGGCACTGTGGCCCAAGTCCATCTCTAGTGGGTCCAGTGGGTCTGTAGGTCTGCCCTGTTTATTGGGATACACATTCTTAGCTGCCAGCTGAATGCTCACATTGGCTCCTTGGCCGGAGGAGTAAGGGTTGTTACGGCAGAAAGAACCAAGTGAGAGCCTGTGGAACTTCCTCCCTCCAGCAAGACAGTGAGCCTGATAGAAGGAGTGCTTTGCTTGAGGAATTGCAGAGGTTAACACCAACATCAGAGACCAGGGAAGCAGGTGTGGTGGTTTCCATCTCCATTAGATTCACCTGCCTGGCCTTTGCAAAAACAAATTAATAATGACCGTGGGTGATGGACTGCAGTCAACTTGAAGAGGCAGCAGGGCCAGTGAGAGCTGCCACGCCGCGAGTGGTCTTTTTGCTGCAGCCGACCAACATAGCCTCTGTACTTGGTGTGTGACTAGCATCTTGGCAAATTCTTTCTTCTCAATATCCTCGCTCGGGAGGGTCAGAAGCAGTTCATCTTCACCGGCAGACAGCAGCACTCCTTCCCTGCCTCGTCTTGGGGCTGTGGCTGCTCCTGGGTTTTCTGGTGGGCGGAATAATGTCCCCCAAAGATGTCCACCTCCTGCCCCCTGGAACTTGTGAATACTTGACGTGATTCAGCAAAAAGAGAATGGAGACTGCAGATGAACTAAGGTTGCTAATCAGCTGACCTTAGGCCAGGAAGAACATCCCAGATTACCCGGGGAGATCCAATGCAATCACGAGGGTCCATGAAAGTGGAAAAGGAGCCAGGCCTGGTGGCTCACGCCTGTAATCCCAGCACTTTGGGAGGCTGAGACGGGCGGATCACAAGGTCAAGAGATCGAGACCATCCTGGCCAACATGGTGAAACCCTGTCTCTACTAAAAACACAAAAACTAGCTGGGTGTGGTGGTGGGTGCCTGTAGTCCCAGCTACTCAGGAGGCTGAGGCAGGAGAATTGCCTGAACCTGGGAGGCGGAGGTAGCAGTGAGCCAAGCCCCAGTGCACTCCAGCCTGGCAACAGAGCGAAACTCCATCTCAAAAAAAAAAGAAAAAGAATCCAATAAGTATTCAGAAACTAAAAACTACAATATATGAAACTAATGTTTCTGATCTCACTTATCTGTAGATGGCAGCATAATTATTCACACAACAAAATCATTTTTTAAATATGCACTGTGAGGCAGATGCCGTTTCAGTCACTTCTGAAGCAGGCTTCGTGTTCTGGTGTTAAATGTCCTGCCAGATCTACGGAAGTTCAGCTTAAGGAACACACCCAACACGATACATTTCCAAGTGCAATCGTAATTCCACTGAGCAAGCGAGGAGGGGACGCATGTCTAAATGTTAACAAAGATGCACTCTCGAGGTGTTCCATCTTATCAGCAAAATCCAGACTGGAAGACTCAAGTCAAACAGCCCAAGTCCTTGAGAACAAAAATTGTAAAGACGAAAAAAAGATGGAGAAAAACCCATACAGTTATACTGAAAGAGGCTTGCCAGACGTGGGAGCACACACCTGTAGTCCCAGCTACTCAGGCTGAGGCAGGAGGATCACTTAAGCCCAGCAGTTGGAGGTTGCAGTGAGCTAGGGTTACACCTGGGAATAGCCCCTGAACTCCAGCCTGGGCAAGACAGCTGACCCTGTCTCAAAAAAAAACAAAACGGAACAAAACAAAAACCCAAACCAAAAACAGTGGAAGAGGGAGGCAGAAGTGGAGAGCCAGAGGGAAGGAAACCCACAGCACGGCTGGCTTTCCTCGACGTCAGCCTGGCAAGGCCGTGCCCGGTGGCTACCCTGCAGAGCTGGTAGATGTGGTGGCTGCTATAGCAGCAACGGGACACAGGCACAGGGCCCCCCCATCTCCTGGGCATCTCAATGGTCCCAGGAGTTCTGGGGGGTGGGGGATAAAGCACCCGGTGAAGGGGTCCATAGATCTAGGCTGTGCCGGGACACTGTAGGGCAAAAGATAGATTCTGGCACCTGTGCCTCCGTCCAGCAAGAAAGACCCCGTGCTTGCCAGGCCCCTTAGCACCGTGACAGCAGCACAGGCCATGTTTGGGACCATCCCCAGTGTGGCCCAGGGCTGCTGGCTAAGGTGAAAGTAGCCAGGCTGCTTGGGCCACACTGTCTGGTTGGAGGATCCCGTGTGCAGGAGGTAGGGTGGTTGTGTATCCTCTGGCAGGCCCCCCTTTGGAGCTTCCCGCAGGTTTCTGGGGCTCTGGGGCTCAGCCACACCTTCCTGGTGGAGGCTATTCTTCTTTTGGAAAGCAGCTCCTGGAATGCTGCCTTCCCAGGCTGGGTTTCCCAGCTCCACATCACACCCCTGGGCAGCCCAGCAGCCATCTATTGCGTGGTGGAAAAGGTGTTTGTGGTGTTTGTGGGGCCCAGCCCAGATGACACAGGCGAGTCCCGGGGCCCAAGTGTCTACATCGCATTCGCCCCTTTTGCAGCTCAGATGCCTCCTGGGGAGGGCACCAATGCAGAGGAAAGGCTGGGAAAGGCTCCCACACCAACTCCAGCCTGACCTCCCCCGCATGCTGTAGTCCCAAGCAGGGAGATCCTGGCGGGCAGCAGCAAGGGAAGCCCCCGGGGGGCACCTCATCACCCACTTCCTGTGGGTGGGAAGAGTCACTTGAGCGCTGTGTATCACTGACTCCGGACACCAGTGAGGGCTGGGCTGGCTCTCCAGGGCCTGAAGTGAACGAGCCCGGGACAGTGGTGATGCGGACAGCTGGGAAAGGCTTGGGGGTGGCTCTGTGAGGAGCAGGGAACACCGAGCTCAAAGGGAGGTTCTGCATCCTGTGGGGACGCTCCTAGAGAGAGTCGGCCGCAGCGAGGGCACAGACAGGCTCGTGGACATCACGACTGCACCATGGACGTCAGCCAGCAGGCCCCGGGGCAGAGTGGCATGGGGGCAGGAATGGTGGTTACACCAACGGCATGAGCTCATTTTCCAAGATGGATCTAGAGCAGGTCCCACCCACGCAGAACAAGCCCTCTTTACAGATCACCAGACGTGGGGAGAGCAGGGCTGCAGGCCAATAAGAGGAGGCTGGGGAAGGCGTGCTCTGTCTGGATGGACTTCCTGGAATAGCCTCGAGTGCAAAAATAGCGTGTCCATGTGATGGCGACCAGGTGTCCCTGCGGCACAGAAAGCGCTGAGTCAGCGGCATGGACTCCTCCGAAGGCATGTCAGCTGGGTGGCCACCGCTGTGGGCTGGAGCCTAGCACGCCCTCCACGCTAAGTGCCTCGCCCTGAGCCCGCCGTCTGGAGGCAGGGCAGTTTCACTTCACACCTGCTGCTCTCAAGGGACACAGTCTGTTCTGCCTGAAATAGACTCCCAGGCACATGTGTAGAATCCCCCCTGCCAACCCCACCTGTGCGGTCCTAGCACCCCCGGCAGCCCTGCTTCTGAGCTGGAAACCCACTTTGTAGCAAAAAGAGGCACCATGGCAGGGGTCATGGGGCTCCCTGTGTCTTGGTGTCACCTTCTCCAGGTACAGGCTCCTGATGGGAAGGCCTGAGGGTCAGTGTGGCCAGGATGCAGCTCCTGGCTCTGTGGCCTGCAGTTTGAGTTTCCCTCGACAAGATGGAGCTCCCTGGTCCTGTCTGCCCCACACCCCGCAGAGCGGCTGAGGCCCCCAGACGCCTAGCCAGTGAGGCGGGGCTGTCCTGGAGGAAGGCTAGGAGTCCACCTCAAACTACAGAAAGCAAAATGGGGGCGTCCCTGCCTTTCCCTGACACTGAGAGCAGAAGAGCGGCCTCTTGGTTTCCCACCAGGAGCCTGCACCTGGAAAAAGTGACACCCAGACACAGGAATGATTGGAGACGGTCCCGGGCAGAGCCTCGGTGCTGGCCTTCAGTGACAGAAGGGACATCCTCCCCAGAGTTCCCTAGAGTCTGGCCTTGCTTGTGTTCCGTGCTTCCTCTCATAGCTGCCTCTTGCCAAGGCCAAATCCCCAGCTACTGGACACGCTCCACCACTGACATACCACGGGGCCTTCCGCGGAGGTGCTCCCGCACCCCTGAGGCTCTTATCAAACAACTGCCACTACTCCCGTCCTCAGGACAGGGTCAGGCTCCTTATCCTGACACCTGGGGCGGGGTGGTGGGGTACACAGGCGATCAGGCGATGGGCGGTGCCGGGCCTGGGCTGGGGAGGACAGGTGGCTGCCGGTGCCAGGCCTGCATCTGGAGGCTGCGGCCAGCATGGCCCATGCCCAGCAGGGGCGCACCAGGGTCAGACCTGATGTGGCCGCGAGGCCCCGTCGGCTCCGCGGAGAGGAGCCCAGGGAAGAGCAGGCGGAACCGTGGGTGAGGCAGTCCCGCGGCACCAGCGCAGAAGCAGGAGGGCAGGCAGCGGCGAGGACAGAATGAGCAGTGAGGGAGGCAGCGGGTGCGTGGAGACCGACGACGAGTTCGCGTTGGGAGGCGCTGCTGAGCCTCAGGGCGGTATCGGGCCCGGAGGAAGGTTTGAGCGGCCGACACCGGTCGGGAACAGCGCAGGGTCGGAGCTGCAGAGCCTGAGAAGGCGATCCGGGCCCAAGGCGACGCGCAGGGCCCCGTTTCCTGCCACCTGAGGGCGGCGCGCGCGGGGCGGGCACGACGCGGCGGACCCGGGATGGAGGCGGCCCCGACCCCCGCGAGGGCGAGTGGCGCAGGGTAGGGTCTTCCCGAGAGGCCACGCACCCGGGCGGCGGGGAGGTGGAGCACCAGGAGGTGGGCGAGAGCGGGGCGCGGCGGGAGGGGCTCGGGCGTGTCGCGGGCCTGCGCCGAGCGCTCACAGGTGCGCGTACACGCGCACTCCCACACGTGCGCGCACAAGCACATGTGTACATGACACGCAAGCGCGCGCCCACACTGAGCGTGTCCCGGGCCAGGGCACCCCCCTGCCAACAGCTCACCCGGTCACCCACAGCGGCGCGGGACGTGCGGGCTCTCACCTGTGGGGGCCTGTGGGCTCTCAGCCGACGCGGGCTCCCTCGCCTGCCAGCCCGCTTTCCTCTGCGGCGGGCGGTTCTCCCCGGGCTTCCCTAAGGGAAAACGACCGTCAGTGAGCTTGGGATGAGAGACCCCCATCCCCATTAGCCTCAAGAGACACTTATGGGGCACCGAAAGGGCCGTGCGTCCTGGCAGACAGGGAGCCCCCCACCCGGGCCTCCTCCCGAGGGAAGCACACGGACAACCTTAAGGAGCACGGGCTCCTCCAGCAGCACATACTCCACTGCACAGGGGGCCTCAGGGAGGCACAGGCGAGAGCCAGCCCGCAGGAAGGCACCTGGGCTCTTGTGGGCCCAAGGATGGGCAGGTGGTGCCTCTGCTAGAAGGACCCTGTGGGCTGGCAGTGCCGCCTGCTGGCCCTGCCCCACCCCTGACACTGTCCCCCACCTTGTGCCACGTCCCTCCCCCAGGCCCTTTCCGGTCTCTGTGTGTCCAATTCGGCACTCCCCTGGCAGGTGGCTGTCCCTCTGCTCCTGAGCTTCTGGGACTAGGACTGAACAGGAGCAGGAGCACTGCTTCAGGCAGGGTTGCGCCAGGCAAACCAGTCCGGCCAGTGTGGCTGAGCCGGCTGGGATGGGGCCCTGGGCGTGGGCGTGAGTCAGCAGCCCCGGGCTGGGGAAACGCTAGGGAGGAGGCCACCTGG
The DNA here is from genome assembly GCF_000001405.40 of Homo sapiens. NCBI lineage: Eukaryota > Metazoa > Chordata > Mammalia > Primates > Hominidae > Homo > Homo sapiens. Next base: position 143,739,247 of record NC_000008.11, on the reverse strand, counting down.
AGCCCACCCTCCCAACAAGAAGCCCAGAGGACGCCGGCATTTGGGGCTAGCCCTGCACCCCCACCTCCAGCCTGGAGACCCAAAGGCAGCTCTGATCCAGTCAGGCCCTTGTTGCAGTGCAGTGCAGGACAGCCAGCCCCCAGCCAGGATGGCACCAAGAGCCCCCGCCCCACCTCCATGACCGCCAGGACTTTCCTCGGGGCCCCACATCAGTTCACAAAGTGCCACGCAGGGCTTTGAGGGCCCAGTCTCTCCAGCCAGCCGCAGTGCAGTGGCCCGAACCCTGCCCTAGCTCCCACCGGGTCCCTGGGTCCTTTGTCTCCACCAAACCCCAGCGGGGCTCCTGTGGGCGTGCTAGCTGCCCTGGAGCCCTCCAGAGTGCATGGGCTGCGGGTTCCCATGGCCAGCTGGGCTCAGGTTGTCTGTGGCCAGGGAGGGTCTGGGCCCTGAGGGTCAGTGCGACCAGGATGCAGCTCCTGGCCCTGTGGCCTGCAGTTTGAGTTTCCCTCGACCAGCTGTGGGACCGGGGGAGCCGGGATGGGGCGGGGGCGGGGGGCATTGGTGCCGCCCAGGGCAGGACCAGGCACGCCCGTTGCTGCGCACAGCAGGCACTCTGGCTGCTGCGCTGCCTCCTCCAGCTTCTCAGCCTCCCTCCCAGTCTCGCCGGCAGGGCCCGTGGCCTGTAAAGCCCCGTGCCGCCGTGTCAGCGCGTTAGTCAGCCTCTCAGCCCAGGCGAGCCACCGCGCCGTGGAGTCCCTATAAACTCCCTGGCGTGGCCTGGCCCCACCGAGTGGGGTCAGTGAGGCCCATAGGCAGAGCCAGAGTCCCGAGCTGCGGTGCTGCGGGCTCCAGCAAGGGGCAGGACCTGGAACAGGGGGCCAAGCCTGGCGTGGGAGCACACGGCCACTGTAGCCTCCAGGGACGCCCTCTGAGCTGGCCTGAGGCCGGCTGGTCCATGAGCCAGGGCCCCTGGGGAGCAGACACCTGGTGAAGGAGGCGCTGGATCCAGGGCCATGTCTGGGAAACGAAGTCGAGTTCGCAAACCCCGGGCCAGGAGGGCAGGCAGGGCCCAGCCGGCAGCTGGGCAGCAGGGCCCTGAGGTCGAGCCCCCGCCCCCCACCCCAGGGGGCCCTCAGGGTGAAGCGGGGGTGGCCCCTACAGGGCACGTGACCAGCATCGAGCCAGCACCTCAGGGACACCCCAGGGTGGCCAGGCCAGAGCAGCCACAGGCAGCCTCGAGACCGGTGCCGGCCACTGCTCCGGGGTCTGAGCTGGTGCTGGTCCTTGCTGGGCACATGGAAGGCTGTGGAGCAGGGGACCCCATGCCGGCCCTGGGCCCCGAACTGCTGAGGCTCCATGAGGTCCAGCTGTGCCTGGCCCAGGAGCAGCTGCTGCTGGAGGACCGGTGGCGGCAGGTCCAGCTGCAGATGCAGCTGTGGCGGGAGGAGCAGCTATGGCTGCAGCAGCTACAGGAGGAGCAGCTGTGGCTGCAGCAGCTACAGGAGGAGCAGGCCTGGGTACACGTGGAGGGGCTGCAGCTGGCCGTGGCCCTGGAGCAGCTCCGGAGTGAGGGCTTCGAAGCACTGCAGACCCAAGGCCAGGTAAGGCCTGGATGGGGTGGCGGGAGGGGTCCCGGACTGTTGTGTTGGTGCGGTGGCCACTGCAGCAACCTAGGGATGCCTGTGGAGGCCCAGGAAGCCAGGCTGGATGCAGGGTATCTGTGGGCCCATCTTCACATCTGCCAAGTGAAGCCGGTGCCCGCCACACAGGGCACTGCAAGACCAAGGGACAGCAAGCCTGCCCAGGCTGGCCCAATGCTTGGTGGAAATGGGCACTGAGGGCAGATACTTGTTCAGGGACAGAGGTGTCCCTGCAGCAGACCCAGGCATGCTGGGCCAGAGCCGTCCAGGGCAGTGTATGGGCTGCGGTGCAGGGCGAAGGCCTGGGTGTGCAGTCAGTAGGTAGCAGAACTGAAGAGCACAGCCCCCACCCCTGCAACCCAGTTTCCTGGCTGCCTTGCTGGTCCACCTGCCCTGCCCCCCGTTTATTGGAGTGCAGTGTACTCAGGGCTAGAGATTGCGGAAGCAGCATGCGGCACCTGTGCCCATTATCCTCATTCCAGGAGGGCGGCTGGCCTCAGACGCAGCTGGGGCTATTTTGGGGAACTAGGATCTAACCCCAGCCTGGCGTGGAGGAGCGGTCACCATCATCCCACCTGCTCCTGTGAATCTGGGAGCTCTCTGGCAACCAGGGGTGTTAGGCCAGGCCCACTCTAAGCAGAGGGGCAGTCTGGGGAGCAGGATGGGGTGCTCTCTTAGCAAGCACAGACCCCAGTGCAGGCCTGGGTGCTGAAGGACCCCAGATTTGCAACCTGGAATGTGTTCACAGCCAGCATAGAGAATAAATGGGAGCTGGAGCAAGGGAGTGACAACAGTGAAGGCGGGGCTGGGGTGGGGGAGGGTACTGGGGGAAGTCTCCTTCCTGACCCACAGGAAAACCCAGCCCAGGTGAGCTGTCACCATCCAACCTGGAAGTGACTATGGAGAAGGTGACTGGGAGCAAAGCCGCAGGCAGAGGGCAGCACAGGATGGCCCAGATGGAGCAGAGAGTCAGAGAACACATGCTTAGACTGAGAATCCCCAACTTGGACTCAAACCCTCCTGTTTCAAAACCCATTTTTGGCCATCTAGGCGCCTCCCACTGGCTCCTGCCCCCTTCCCACCTCCATGTGTTCCAAAGCTGGGCTTCTCTGAGTGCTACCCCTAGGCCCCCACCCCAACCCCAGGGGTATAAGATTCAGGCTTGGCCGGGCATGTGGCTCAAGCCTGTAATCCCAGCACTTTGAGAGGCCGAGGCGGGCGGATCACCTGAGGTCAGGAATTCAAGACCAGCCTGGTCAATGTGGCGAAACCCCGTCTCTACTAAAACAAAAATACAAAAATCAGCAGGGCGTGGTGGCGCACGTCCATAATCCCAGCTACTCGGGAGGCTGAAGCACAAGACTCACTTGGACCCAGGAGGCGGAGGTTGCAGTGAGGAGGGATTGCGCCATTGCACTCGACTGGGTGACAAGAGCGAGACTCCGTCTCAAAAAAAAAAAAAAAAATAGATTCAGGCTCAAGGTCTGAGATGAATGAATGGGCTCTGAACCCTCAGTCAATCACACCTAATCCCAACTCAGAGGTCCCCTAAAAGCCACTCTTGGAAGAAGGGCTCTCCTCAGAGGGGGTGTCTCTCGGTGGCTACATAGAAGGTCTCACAGGTCAGTGTCTGGGTGACAGTGCTCTGGAGGTCAGAGGGTGCACTTACCAGCAGCAGCTCTTGTCTTGGGCCCAGGGTGGAGCGTCTGCCACTTCCCAGCTGCAGCTTTGGGTCTCCCCTTCTTACTGTCCATTCTCCTGGGGGGTGGGTAGGGAAGGACCAGGGAGAGGGTGCTCAGAGTGGCAGAGGGCAGGGGCAGTGGCAGTGGGGAACAGGGCACACCATGGGCGCCTGAGTGGATGACAGCAGGAACATGGGCTCCCCTGAGGCTTCCCAGCTGGTGTCCTGTCTGCCTGCCCGCCCCGGGTGTGTGCCCAGAAGCTTGAGCCGGGATGCCTGGCAAGAGCACTTGGCCACCTCCCGTCCCCCTGGCCGTGGCTTGCCTGCCCCTCCGCCCCAGGCTCAGCCCATCCTGCCGGGCGCAGGATCTGGAGTCTAGCACTCTTCTCCCTGCCCCAAGCTGCTGGGTTGCCAGTGGGCCGGTCTTTGTTCTCACCGTAATCATGAGCATGGCCCTCTCTGCTGAAGCCTCCATGCCTCTCCACTGCCCTGGGAAGCCAGCCCACCCCTGAGCCTGCTCCCCAGCCCACCCAAGGCACTCACCCCTCCACACCCTCAGACCTTATGTGGTCCCGGCTCTGGCAGATGGTGGTGTCAGGCCCTGGAGCAACACCCCTCTCCCTAGTCCACACAGCTGACCCCCAAGTTCATTTCCCTGGGAGGCTCCTCCTGCCTGCCCCAGCCTGTCCGGGTCCTCCCCGGTGCCCCATGCCCCTCACCCGCTGCAGCACAGTTGCCTGGGCACTGGTCTGACCCCCCACCCATGTTTCCAGCATGCTGGTACCAGTGGGGTGGCACTGAGTGTTTGGGGAAAGAACAAATGAAACTGGGACTGACCCTGAAAACAGAAAATAGGATCACATGGCAAGAGGAACAAAGAGAAAGGCGACTGATGACCATCAGAAAGGGTTGAGGCAGGGCCAGTCCTTGGGGTGGGAGTGGCAGGGGCGAGGGGTGGTGGTTTGGACAGATGATCCAGTGTAGGGCAGGGCCTAAGAGGGGGAGGGGCCCTAAGTGAGGGCCTGAGGGGGACCTGGGGGACTGGAGCACCCAGGGGCAGCTCGGGGTGGTGTGTGGGGGTTGCTGTGTACATGGGGGGGCGTCTGGTATGAGGCTTGGTGTGCACACTGGGTCCCTTGTCCGTTGGGGCTTGGTTTTTGCAGAGTCCCTGTGTGTACACAGGGTTCCGTATGTGAGGGAGGTCCCCTGTGCTCTCAGAGTCAGTGTGAATATGGCATCCCCTGTTTGTGTGTGGGGTTGGTGTCTGAGAAATCTCATATGCAGGTGGGGTTCCCTAGGTGTGCGGATGTCAGCGTGTTCGTGGGTGACTGGCATGGGCAGGACTCGGTGTGCTTGTGGCTTCTGTCTTCCTGAGGAGTCTCCTGTGCTTGGGGGTTGGTGTACATGAGGCACAGGTCATTCGGGGTCCGCATGTGCATGGGGGGGTCACTGCGGCAGAGTCCCCTACAAGTGTGGGCATCGGTGTGAGGGGGTGAGGGAGAAAGATGGGGGACCCCAGGTACTTGTGGGCATCAGTGTGTGTGGTGGGGGTTGGGGTCTGGGGGTCCTCTGTGTGGGCGGGGTCCTCGTCTACGTGTGGGGCGCTGGTGCGGTGGGAGACCGGTGTGTGGTGAGGGGATCCCCTGTGCTCTCGGGGCTCCCAGACCCGGCCCCGCCCGGGGCTCGACGCCGCCCCACCGTCCTCACCTGTCGCACCTGCCTCCCCCAACTCGGCGAGGAGGCCAGAGCTCCGCCCCTGGCGTCGGGCTCGCTCGTTTCCTAGCGACTGAGCCGGAACTTCCGAGTCACCCCGACTTCCGGGGCGAGGGTCAGGGGTCAGGCTGGGAACTTTGAGCCTTGGGTCAACAGTTGGGCTCCCGGGGGTCGGGGTCTTTGAAGTGCGGGCCTCACGGTCTCCGGCGGCGCTGGGCCGGGGTCTCCGGGCGCGCGGCCGCAGGGCACGGGCGGGTCGGGGCGCGGGCCGGGGGCGCGGGCTGGGGCTGGCGGCGGGCGCGGGGCGCAGGAATGCGGGCGCGCCGCGGGTGGGGCTGCCCCGCCCCCAGGTGCTGCCCGGGCAGGCAGGAGGCAGGAGCGACGGGCGGGGCGGGGGCGGGCGCGTGAATCAGGCCGGGCGGGCCGCGGCAGGGAGTGGCTGCCGGACCGACCGGACCGCGAGGCCGCTGGGCGGCGGTCGGCTCCTGCTGCCCCTGTGCCGAGACCCCGCGCACCTGGCCAGGTAGGGCCCCCCTCCCCCGGCCCGAGCGGGGCGGGGCGAGGCGGGGGGCGGGCGCCCCTTGGCGCGGTCCCACTTGGGCTACCCTTGCGCCCACACCTGGGCCGGGGCCGCGCGACCCAGAGAGGGGCGGTGGGAGTGGAGCGCGGCCGCGTGCGCGGGGCCGGGGTGGCGGGGCTGCTCGGACAGGGGGCGCCGCTGTGCGGATATGGACGCGAGCGCCCCCGCACGACGCCGGCCCGAAAAGAGCCGAGGGGGAAGGGGCCCGGGATCCGGGTCGAGCCTGCCCGGCCGTCCCGACTCGCTCCCGCCCTCGCGGCCTAGCTGGAGTCTGGGTGCTGGGCACGGCCTGGACCCTTCCCTGGGGACATCCGCCCGGGCCGCCGTGGACTGGGGTGGCCAGGGTGCGGCCTGGATCCCCGCGTGGCGAGCAGGGCGAGTGATGGGAGTGCTGCCCCTCGCGCCCACGTTCCTGGGCTGGGGTGGGCGGATAGGGCACCCAGCGGCCGCAGCCGCGAGCTCGTAGGGTGCACTGACCCCGTTGGGGGCTGGGGTGCCCACTCCGCAAGTTATCACTGAGCGACTTCCGGTCTGTGAGCCCCGTCCTCCGCACCCCACCTTTCCGCCGCCTAGAGCCTCCGCGCCCTCCTGCGCCCATCGGAACTTGGCACAGGTTCACCCCACTTTGTGTAGGAACTCCAGATCCTTCCATGGGGTCCTCCTTCCAGATACTCAGGAACCCCACTTCCTGCCAGGGTGGAGAGGATGGGGTCCTTGAAGGCCAGCTGAGGGCCCTGACTTCGAGTCAGAGGTCAGGGGTCAGCAAGCAGAAGAGTGGATTCGTGCTGAGTCATTGCCCATGGGTGGGTTCCGCGCCCTCCCTCCCTTGGGCAGACGTTTGGTAGGCAAATGTGTGGGCATGCAGGCCACTGGGGTGCTCCATCTTGGGCTCGGGAGTGGCTGCAGCCCCGTCCATAGCCCAGGAGACACGTACCCATGAAAGGAGACGACGTGAGGAATGAAGCAGTTGGAGGTCTGGGCATCACCCTGTGAGGACGAGGCATGTCTGCTGGGAGGGCTCCTGGCCACGGGGGCTTCCACTGTCTGGATGGTCCCTGCCCCCATTACACACAGCCTGGAGCCTGGACACTGAAATCCAAAGGGACAGTGGGGGTCCTTTCTAGAGTGTCCCCCCAGTGTCGGGAAGTACCCTCAAACAACATCAGCAGGGTTGTTCCCCCTGCCCTGTATGGTCAGACACCGCCCCTACAGACAGGCTGGCAATGGTGAGTGGGCTCCTCGGCCCAGCCAGACAGGCCTACACCTCACCCCCATGTGGTTGGCCTCGATCTGCCCCTGGCACAACCAGAGCGGTGTGCCCTAACCAGCCCCATATGTCAACCATGAGGACGGTGCCCCAACAAAGAAATGTTGGGACAGCTTCTCCCAAGCCGGTTGGCATCTAGGGCTGTTGAGTGGCACCAGGTATTTCCCATGTCTCAACTCCATGTCACCCCCAGGGGCACCAGGCAGGACGGCTGCCTCCTGACCCCAACATTCTCAGCCAAGTGGCTCCGGCTAGCACCCATGTAGTCCAGCTGGCCGGCATCCATCCTGTCAGCGCCCAGGGGCACGCTCCTCTGGGCACCTTCCTAGCCAGGGCCAACATTCAGGAACCTGTGTGCTAGGCGGGGACAGGTGTCCTGCCTCCCTCCCCAACCCGAGGAGCAGTGGGATGGACTGAGCAGTCCCTAGGGCTCTCCTTCCAGGGAGAGGTACCCAGGTAGCTCAGTGACCCTGTGTGCGTGGGCCCTGGGCGCTCCCCATCTGACACCTTTCTGGAGAGGCCAGGCCCCCGCAGGGACCCTTTGGAGAACAGAGTGGGCTGTGGGGCAGCCAAGCATGGATGGTGGTGGCGAGCCCAGGACCTGGAAAGGTCCCTGCTGCCCTGGATGGGGGCTGGTGGGGACAGGACTCTGAGCAAGTGGAGAGCCAGATTTGGGCGATGTGGAGTGCAGGCCCTGCAGGGCCCTGTGGGCACCAAGGGGCTGTGGCCCAGGGAGGTTTTATCTGAGAGGGACAGTGACAAGAAAGAGGTCAAAGGTAGGCCAAGGGAAGGAGGGGGTGCTGGGAGACAGGGACGGAGTCTAGGGATCAGTGTTCCAGGACTGGGCGGTCATAGAATGGGCTGTGGGAGCCCAATTGTGAAACCCTGAGGATGGGGAGGAGGTGTGGCCCGGGACTATGTGTGGGGCTTAAGGTTGCCATTCCAGGAGGAGGGTAGTCACAGCCCTGTTTGCTGCGCTCACCTTGGGCTAGGCGTGGTGTCATGTGGACCCTCAGCTGTGTTGTGCAGTAGAGGTAGGCCAGAGAGGTGCAGTGACCTACCCACAGTCTCCCAGGCAGTCAGAGACGGACACATGGGCAGCATGGGCGGCACCAGCTTGTCCAGTAGGCACAGTGCCAGGGGTCCGTGAATGTCTTAAAATAAGAAAAAAGTGAATATTATAATGATGAATGCAGCCTGGATTGTTTGTCTTTAAGCCAACAGTCATGAAATATTTGGGGGGGGGGGTTCGTTTTATTTTTATTTTTTGTAGTGATGTGGTCTCACTCTGTCACCCAGGCAGGAGTGCAGTGTCACAATCATAATTCACAGCAGCCTCCAACTCCTGGGCTCAAACAATCCTTCTGTCTCAGCTTCCCAAGTGCCTGGGACTATGTGTGCACGCCACCATGCCTGCCTAATGTTTAAAATTTTTTGTAGAGATGGGGTCTTGCTGTGTTGCCCAGGCTGGTTTCAAACTCCTGGCTTCAAGCAGTCCTCCTGCCTCAGCCTCCCAGAGAAAGGAGAGACAGGGCTGGGATACCTGTGCCCCAGCCCTCTGCCAGTGTCCCCTCAGCTAGGGGCATCCTAGGGTCTGGGTTGCTCTCTGTGAGCCTGGTTCGGCTGGTGCCCTGGAAGGCCTCCTGGGCATGGGCTAAACTCCAGCCTACCCAAGTCACTGACGGCCCTTTCCACAGTGTGTCCATGCTCGAGGGTAGGAGTGGTCCCAGTGCCCCCACCCCTAGTCATGTGTCTCCCTGCCCCTCCAGGCCCCTGGCCCCAACATGGCCCGTCGCTCTCAGAGCTCCTCGCAGGGGGACAACCCACTGGCACCCGGGTACCTGCCGCCTCACTACAAAGAGTACTACCGCCTGGCGGTGGATGCACTGGCCGAGGGTGGCTCGGAGGCCTACAGCCGCTTCCTCGCTACCGAGGGGGCACCAGACTTCCTGTGCCCTGAAGAGCTGGAACATGTGAGCCGACACCTTCGGCCTCCGCAGTATGTTACCCGAGAGCCACCTGAAGGCAGCCTTCTCGACGTGGACATGGATGGCTCCTCGGGTACATACTGGCCAGTGAACTCAGACCAGGCCGTGCCTGAGCTTGATTTGGGCTGGCCTCTGACCTTCGGCTTCCAGGGCACCGAGGTGACCACCTTGGTGCAGCCACCGCCCCCCGACAGCCCCAGTATCAAGGATGAGGCCCGCAGGATGATCCGTTCCGCCCAGCAGGTGCGCCATCTTGGGCTTGAGGGTAGTGGGGGAGGGGCCTGGGCTAGAGGCACGGGGGTGGAGGAGATGCATGAGCATGATCAGCTTGAGGGGTGAGCCTGAGCTCCAGCTGGAGTGGGGGTCCCTGGCAAAGATCTTCAGGGCTGCCAGGTCTCGGTCATCAGGGGCTGCAGGCTCTGCACAGGTCTGCTTGCCTGTGGTCATGGCCAGTGCCCAGAAACTCGGGGGCTCTGGGGATGGGTGGGCACCCCACCAGCCTGGGTTCATTGTTCAGATAATTACCTCTCATCCTGCCCGGTGGCCCTTGGCCAGCTGAGGGCTTCTAACCATCACCAAACAGCTAGCAGACGGCGGAAGGTGCTGTTAAACCATAGCGACTGAGGCATGAGGTCCAGACGCTAAAGGCTTGTGACTTTCTCCCCTGCCCAGGGCAACAACCCCGTCCCAGGGCAGAACTGGAGCCTGGCACTTGGCCCTGACAGCTGCCCTGGAATGGGGGCAGCTCAGCCGTCTGTAGGGTGGAGGGGATTGAGGGGCCCTTGCCGTGCCCCAACCTGGCCCACCCTCATCCAGGGTTCTCTGCCCTGCACCTGCCTCGGTTTCCCCCTTATGGCCAGCCGTTCCACACCTCTTCTGTTTGGTCCCTTCTTCCTGCCCATCTTCCCAGATGTGGCGCCAACTCCCTAGGATGGACTAGCTTGTTTCACAGTGGTCGTGGGTGATCCAGACACCTCCCGGGTGTGGAGGGGAGGCTGGACAATGGTGTGGGGACAGCAGGGGCCTCTCCTCTCCGTCCTGACCCGCCCCTGCAGGTGGTGGCCGTGGTGATGGACATGTTCACTGATGTGGACCTGCTCAGCGAAGTGCTGGAGGCCGCGGCCCGTCGGGTCCCAGTCTACATCCTGCTGGATGAGATGAACGCGCAGCACTTCCTGGACATGGCCGACAAGTGCCGTGTCAACCTGCAGCACGTGGATGTGAGTTCCCGGGAGTGGGAGATTGGGGAGGACCCGTGGGAGAGATCTGACTCCCCTCCCTCCCCAGTTCCTGCGCGTACGGACTGTGGCGGGCCCCACCTACTACTGCCGCACTGGGAAGTCCTTCAAGGGCCACGTCAAGGAGAAGTTCCTGCTGGTGGACTGTGCCGTGGTGATGAGTGGGAGCTACAGGTGCGCCCGCGGGGCTCCCTCACCCCCTTCTCTGGGGCCTCCTCCTGTAACCCCAGCACCCCCTTTCCACACCAGGGCCCTCCTCGCCAGGAGCCCTTGTCCTGTAGACCCCTGCACAGCCTAGCCGGGCCCAGGTCCTTGCAGACCTCACATCCCTGCGTCCTCCGCGCCCCACCCGCTGCCCACGGGGCTGCAGTGCCCTCGCTCCAGCTCGGTTTGACTCTGGCCCTGACCCCCCCACAGCTTCATGTGGTCCTTTGAGAAGATCCACCGCAGCCTGGCGCACGTGTTCCAAGGAGAGCTGGTCTCCAGCTTCGACGAGGAGTTCCGCATCCTCTTCGCGCAGTCCGAGCCGCTTGTGCCCTCGGCCGCGGCCCTGGCCCGCATGGACGCCTATGCCCTGGCTCCGTATGCCGGGGCCGGGCCTCTCGTGGGCGTCCCTGGGGTCGGGGCGCCAACCCCCTTCTCCTTCCCTAAACGAGCGCACCTCCTGTTCCCGCCACCCCGGGAAGAGGGCCTGGGCTTCCCCTCCTTCCTCGACCCGGACCGCCACTTCCTGTCGGCCTTCCGCCGGGAGGAGCCGCCGCGGATGCCGGGGGGCGCGCTGGAACCGCACGCGGGGCTGCGGCCGCTCTCGCGGCGCCTGGAGGCCGAGGCCGGGCCGGCTGGGGAGCTCGCGGGCGCGCGGGGCTTCTTCCAGGCGCGGCACCTGGAGATGGACGCCTTCAAGCGGCACAGCTTCGCGACCGAGGGCGCGGGCGCCGTGGAGAACTTCGCGGCCGCGCGGCAGGTGTCGCGGCAGACGTTCCTCAGCCACGGCGACGACTTCCGCTTCCAGACCAGCCACTTCCACCGTGACCAGCTCTACCAGCAGCAGTACCAGTGGGACCCGCAGCTCACGCCGGCGCGCCCGCAAGGCCTGTTCGAGAAGCTTCGCGGGGGCCGCGCGGGTTTCGCGGACCCGGATGACTTCACCCTGGGCGCCGGGCCCCGCTTCCCGGAGCTCGGACCCGACGGGCACCAGCGGCTGGACTACGTGCCGTCCAGCGCGTCCCGCGAGGTGCGCCACGGCTCGGACCCCGCCTTCGCGCCCGGACCCCGCGGCCTGGAGCCCAGCGGAGCCCCGCGCCCCAACCTGACCCAGCGCTTCCCATGCCAGGCCGCGGCGAGGCCGGGCCCAGACCCCGCTCCCGAGGCGGAGCCGGAGCGCAGGGGCGGGCCCGAGGGGCGGGCAGGGCTGCGGCGCTGGCGTTTGGCCTCCTACTTGAGCGGCTGCCACGGCGAGGATGGGGGCGACGACGGCCTACCGGCGCCCATGGAAGCGGAGGCTTACGAAGACGACGTGCTGGCTCCCGGGGGCCGGGCACCTGCCGGCGACCTGCTCCCCTCGGCCTTCCGCGTCCCAGCAGCCTTCCCCACCAAGGTCCCGGTGCCAGGCCCGGGCAGCGGCGGCAACGGCCCAGAGCGCGAGGGCCCGGAGGAGCCTGGCCTGGCCAAGCAGGACTCATTCCGCTCGCGCCTGAACCCCCTGGTCCAGCGCAGCTCCAGGCTGCGCTCCTCGCTCATCTTCAGCACGTCACAGGCCGAGGGCGCGGCCGGGGCTGCGGCGGCCACTGAGAAGGTGCAGCTGCTGCACAAGGAGCAGACGGTCAGCGAGACGCTGGGGCCCGGCGGAGAGGCCGTGCGCTCCGCGGCTTCCACCAAGGTGGCGGAGCTGCTGGAGAAGTACAAGGGCCCAGCCCGTGATCCCGGCGGCGGCGCGGGCGCCATCACCGTTGCCAGCCACAGCAAGGCCGTCGTGTCCCAGGCGTGGCGGGAAGAGGTGGCGGCCCCAGGTGCCGTGGGGGGCGAGCGCCGCAGCCTCGAGAGCTGCCTGCTGGACCTGCGCGACTCCTTTGCACAGCAGCTGCACCAGGAGGCGGAGCGGCAGCCGGGAGCCGCGTCGCTCACCGCGGCGCAGCTGCTCGACACACTGGGCCGGAGCGGCTCCGACCGCCTGCCTTCCCGCTTCCTCTCTGCCCAGAGCCACTCAACGTCCCCGCAAGGGCTGGACAGCCCTCTGCCGCTGGAAGGGTCCGGAGCGCACCAGGTGCTCCATAATGAGTCAAAAGGGAGCCCCACCTCGGCTTACCCTGAGCGGAAGGGGAGCCCCACGCCTGGGTTTTCCACTCGAAGAGGAAGTCCAACTACAGGATTTATCGAGCAGAAGGGGAGCCCCACCTCAGCCTACCCCGAGCGCAGGGGTAGTCCGGTGCCCCCCGTGCCGGAGCGCAGGAGCAGTCCGGTGCCCCCCGTGCCGGAGCGCAGGGGCAGCCTCACCCTTACCATCTCCGGGGAGTCCCCGAAGGCCGGGCCCGCGGAGGAGGGGCCGAGCGGCCCCATGGAAGTCCTGCGCAAAGGCTCCTTGCGTCTTAGGCAGCTGCTGAGCCCCAAGGGCGAGCGGCGCATGGAGGATGAGGGTGGCTTCCCAGTGCCGCAGGAGAACGGCCAACCCGAGAGCCCGCGGCGTCTGTCACTGGGCCAGGGTGACAGCACGGAGGCTGCCACAGAAGAGCGGGGTCCGCGGGCGCGCCTGTCCTCAGCCACGGCCAACGCCTTGTACAGCAGCAACCTTCGGGATGACACGAAGGCCATTCTGGAGCAGATCAGTGCCCACGGCCAGAAGCACCGTGCGGTCCCTGCCCCGAGCCCCGGCCCGACCCACAACAGCCCCGAGCTAGGCCGTCCACCGGCTGCTGGCGTCCTGGCCCCAGATATGTCCGACAAGGACAAGTGTTCAGCCATCTTCCGCTCGGACAGCTTGGGGACCCAGGGCCGGCTGAGCCGCACGCTGCCAGCCAGCGCGGAGGAGCGCGATCGGCTGCTGCGCCGCATGGAGAGCATGCGCAAGGAGAAGCGCGTGTACAGCCGCTTCGAGGTCTTCTGCAAGAAAGAGGAGGCCAGCAGCCCTGGGGCAGGGGAAGGCCCCGCGGAGGAGGGCACCAGGGACAGCAAGGTGGGCAAGTTCGTGCCCAAGATCCTGGGCACGTTCAAAAGCAAGAAGTGAGTCTTCTGGCCTGGCAACCCAGGCCAGGGTGCCCGCATCGCTGCCCCGGTCATCCAGAAGCCCCGCGGAACAGAGAGCCCTGCTCATCTGCTTGAGCAGCGGCTGTCAGGCCACGGCCGCTTGGGGCTTGGCTGAGTGCGCCAGACCTCGGCTCCACTGGAGGCTCACCTGGCAGCTGCCGTCTCTGCCCCCTGGCCTCCCCAACGCTGGGGCTGCACCCCTCGCCACCAGTGCCTTTCTCCCCTCAGCACCTTCATCTCTGCACCGTCAGCCTTGCGTGGCGCAGCGTCTGGCTCCGCCATCTCTTTGTGCCTCAGTCCCCCCCGCCCCCTTTATTTTTTTGAGACCTAGGGCTGGAGTGCAGTTGAGCGGTCTGGGCTCACTGCAACCTCTGCCTCCCGGGTTCCAGCGATTCTCCTGCCTCAGCCTCCTGAGTAGCTGGGATTACAGATGTATGCTACCACGCCCAGGTAGTTTTTGTATTTTTAGTAGAGACAGGGTTTCACTATGTTGGCCAGGCTGGTCTCCAACTCCTGGCCTCAAATGATCAGCCCGCTTCAGCCTCCCAAAGTGGGGGGATTACAGGCGTGAGCCTTGCACCCCGCTAAGTCCCCTATCCTCTTGCAAGGGTCTCGCCTCTGTGCCTCAATTCCTCATTCTCTGGGCCCTTCTCCTCCTCAGGGCCTCCTGTTCTCAGGGCCTCCCCCCTCCCCGCTCCCTCCCTCTCTCAAGGTCTCCTCCTTCCCTCCCCCCCCCCCCCCCCCGTCTCCCCCCTCCCCCGCCTGGGCTTCACTTCCTTTCCTACTTGGATTCTCCTGCTCGCTGCCTCCCAGCATCTTTTTTGGAGGCCCGTCTCTTGCTGTGGGGAAGACTGGGCTGGCTGCGGGCAGTTTGCAAGGGGTGGGTGGGGCAGGGGGGGGGGAGCTGGACCAGAAGATGCCCCTTGGAGTGGCAAGGAAGCTGGACAGGGCAGGCCTCTGGGGACGGGACACAGGGAAGCCCGAAGGGGCGCCTTGGCCAGGTCTGCCATCTCCTCCAGCGAGGCTCTGGCCAGCACTGGGTGAGAGTGGGGAGGGGGCATTGGCCTTTGCAGCACAGTAAAACATGGTCCAGACAACCTGTGGCCCCGGCCTCATGAGCACCCCCTGCACAGGCCCGGCCCAAGCCAGGCGCTAGAAGGGCTGGTTGTGGAGTGCTTATCCTTGACAGGTATGGGGCCAGGTGAGGGCAGGGGACAAGGTGCAGCTGAGGCCGAGCCCAACTAGGTCCTGGGCACCCCTGCAGGTGGGAGTGGTCCTTGTCCTCCTGGTATCCAGCAGACACCCCCCTCTCCCCACCAGCCCCATTCTCAGGTCCTTTCCTCTTTGTCACCAACACCAAGAATCTGTCCAGGGTTCTTGGCTTATCTTTTATCTCTTTTCACTCCTAGAGAGGAATTGCAATTGACTCAGAATGACACATTTTGGCACCACGTGTGTAGAAAGCCCCCACTGTTAGATGATAGCCTCGTGAAATTCATGTTTCTGTATTCTCCTATTTCTTTTCAAAAACTAATTTTTTTTTTAGTGTAATAAATCCTAAGAGGGAACTGATTTAAGAAACAAGGCCGCCAAACAAAGGCAGCAGTTCCGACTCCAGCAGCTGGGAAAGGAAGGAAAGTGACCCCACTTTCACTCCTGCACAGCCCACTGGTTACCAAAACCACCGTGCAAGTCGGGATGACAGCAGGGACTTCTGGCCAGGTGGGAAAGGTGCCTGGAAGCGGGATGCGCCTGTGCGTCTCTTGGCCATGATGTTCTTGTGGGCATGTTATTCTTGGTGCTGCCTGGGGTGTTGCTGAGCGGACAGGCTCTCCAGCTGGAGTCCATGGAGAGGCCAGAGGCTGGCGGCCCTGCCTGGGCCTTCGGAGCCTCCTGCCTGCACCCTCCACCTCTTCTAAACCATGATGTGGCACATTTTGGTGTTAATAAAACACAACACACAAAGTATTCTAGCATGTTCCCCAGTGTGTATAATCGCCCAGTTACATCCTGCAGCCTTTAACCACGTGGCCTCCCAGATTTCCCCTGTGGACCCACCACCCACCCCTGTGGGGGGCACTAAAGACCCCCCAGCTCCACTTCCAAGGCCCACCTTGGCCTCCCCAACTTCACGCTGCTCTCCTGTCCCTGTCCCCGATGCCCCCTGTGCAGGCACACTCCTGGGTGCCCACCTGCGATTCCCCACTCAGCAGCCCCACCACACACTGCCCAGCCTGAGGCCAAGCCTCCAACCCTGCAGCCCCGTGGCCTCTCTGCAGCTTCCTCTCCCACAGCCTCTCTGTCCTGCTTGTTCAGCACCCTGGGCCTGCGCCTTGGGCTTTTGAAGCTCAACAAGCACCTCCCTCGGCAGCCCCCTCAGGAAACAGCCCCTGGGCTGGGTCTCTGACTGGCTCACCGCTTCCTCGGGCCCTCCCGATCCCTCCTCCGCCTCCTCCAACCTTCTCCCAAACCCAGCCTCCCTTTCTGAGTCTCTTGCAGGTGCCTGGTCCAGCACCAGGGCAGCGCCAGCTCTCACCTTCTGCTCAGCTCCCCCACCCACATCTTGTCCTTCCCCGCCCTCCCCCATGGTGGCAATGGCTTCCACAACCCAGCAGCGCCCCTCTCCTGGCAGCCCAACACCGACCACAGCACAGGCCGCACCCTTCAAACTGTGAGCTCCTCCGGCCTATGAGCTTCCCAGACTGTGAGCCTGGCAGCCCAACTCCGCCACCGACAGCACAGGCCGCGCCCTTTAGACTGTGAGCTCCTCCAGCCTGTGAGCTTTCCAGCTGCCTCCTTGTGTTCCAACCCCAACCCATGGGCAGGTGCAGCTGAGGACACCTGGCACCCTAGGACACAGGTCTGTGCCCACAGGGCCCCTTTGATCTTTGCAGCCCTGCACAGCCCTGGCCTGAACTCACACCAGGGACCTTGCCTGGGGGTGACAAGAGGAGGTAACCCTGACCTCGCGAGATGTCTGTCTCCCACCCTCACCTACGGAGACCTGAAGACAGATCAGGTGCAGTGGCCATACTAGGGGGCGCAGGCTGCAGTCCCTGACAGCAGGGGGAGGGGTGTCCCCCTTCTCTCTCCCCTTCTCTCCTCTGGCTCAGAGTCACAAACATGGCCAGGGGGTGACCCTACATCCCTACCCCACAGGACCACCCTGGGGGGCAGCCTGGACCCTGAAGCCACAGCAGGTAAGGAAATGATGGACAAAGAACAAGAAGCTGCCCCAGGCAAACCTGGAGGGAAAAGCCCAGTGCTGGATGTGCAGTGGGCAGGGCCTCTAGGGGGCGGCACTGGGCTCTGGGGTGGAGGTTTCAGGACGGGGGTGGGGTGGGGTCCTCAGAGGAGTGGAGGCTTCAGGAAAGGGGCCGGGGCCCCCAGCTAGTGGATGCTGTGACCTCAGAGGGGAGGGGAGGAACGATGGCTGCTTAGGTTGGGGGCAGACATGACTTTATTGGAGGAAGTCAGTGGGGCGGGGGCAGGGCCCTCATCTGCTCCCCCGAGGAGACCCGGGCAAGCTCCCTGGAACTTCAACGGGCCAGGCAAAGCAGGGAGGGCTAAGGGGTGCAGGAGACTGGAGAGGGGTCTGGGGAAGGGGCTGGGGCAGGAACAGAGGGCCAGGTGAAGGGAGTAGGGCGGCTCACACATGGTGCCCCTCCAGCAGGGGCAGGTGGCCCAGTGCCGAGTGGCAGACAGTCCCGTAGGCTTGGGAGTAGCCTCCAAGCAAAGCCCTGGCACCCCCCTGGGCACCCTGCAAGGCAGAGGTGCTGAACATCCTCCGGCCGGGCCGGGCCTCCGGAGGAAGCCGGGGAGGGACCTGTGTACAGTTGAGGGTCACATAAAGGGGCCATCAGAGGGGGTGCAGTGGAGGGGAGGCCTTGAGGTCCTCGAGAGATTTGAACTGGACATTGGAGGGGCAATGGGAAGCATGGGGAAGGGAGGGAAAAGCAGGGGGGAAGGGGAAAGGGGAAAGGAGGATGAGGGGACGGGGGCAGACTGGGCCGGGCTTACCTGTTGTACGCTGGCCACCCTCACCCCACCGCCCCGGTTCCAGTCACCCCGGATCAGGGCCTGGTTGGCCACCTGAGCCGCAGCCTGGGAGGTCAGGGAGGGCGCAGCTCCCCTCCCGCTTGGCTTCACCTGGGAAGGGCCATGTCACAGGGTCACTGAAAGGTGCAGAGGAGGGGTCCCTCCTGTGCCCGCCCCACCATGACTTACCAGCGAGAGTGTCAAGGGGGGCGCTTCCTTCGCCCCAGGGGGCCTTTCCCCATTCCCTAGGAGAGCAGTTTGGAGCAGGGGAGCGGAGTTCTGCCTGGGAACGTTCTTGGCTGCACGGGGGGACTCTGTGGGGTCAGTGGGTCAACCCCGGGGTCAGTGGGTCAACCCCAGGGTCAGGAACCGAATGCTGCGCATAGTTGGCAGCACAGGCAGAAGGGGCCCGGGCCGTGCTCCGCGTGGGCGGCCAGCAAAGATCACACACCGTGCTCGGCAGGGTCATGGCCTGGGCTGCTCTGGGGCCTGGGTCTGGGACCCTGCACAGGTGTCCTAGAAGGCAGCTGAGGGTCGGCTCTGGGTTTGTGCAGGTGTGCCTGGCTTGGGGAGACACCCTCCGGGCCCTTCTCTCTCGAGGTGCCGCTGCTGCCTCCACACTCCAGGATCATCTGCGGGAGGGGAAGGGTGCTCAGAGGTCACAGCCTGGGCATGGGGCGTTTGGGGGTCTCTGACATAGGAGGCAGCCTCCAGGGTGCAGTAGACAGGGGATGATAGGGGTCGAGAGCCGGAGCACCTGATAGACGCGGCTGCGGTACTCAGGCACAGAGAGCTGGACCCCTTCGTGTGCCCGGGGCCGCACATCTGCCTCTCGTGCCCACTCGTCGCTGGGGCAGTGGAACCTGCAGGGAGCCAGGGAGGTGGGGCCCGGGCTGCGGCCAAGGGAGCCCCTCAAGCCGTCACAGCAGGGTCCCTGCTGTGGGGGCTGTCCCTCATGGGCTGGCTCTCTCCTGCCCCCACCTCTGTCCCCCCGCACTTGGGGGACTCTCTCCCACCCCCACCTCTGCACGTAGGGGTGCTGCAGTGCCTGGGTCGCGCTTAACCGCTTGTCCGGGGCGAACACCAGGAGTCGCCTAAGGAGGTCCAAGGCCTCTGGGGAGGTGTCTGGCGGTAGGAGGGCATCCAGCGTCTGTCGTGGCCTGTGGGCTGCCGTGTGTCGTCTCCAGGGCCCGACCCAAGGGCCCCTCCTCAGATCCATGTTCGTGGCTGGGGGCTCAGCTTCCAAACTGGGGTCCACCCTGCTGTCCTGTCTAGGTAGATGCCCCTGTGCCTGACCTGCAGGCAGTCTGGGCCCCTGCAGGGTGGAGAGACCCCTGCGGCCCCCTGGTGCCCTCCTCTCCACGCCCTGGCACAGCTCCTCTGGGCCACCCTCTAGGAGCACCAGAGGGGCTCCTGCTTTCAGTGTGGCCAACAGTTGTTGGGTTTGGGACTGCCATCTTGAAAACAGGCAGAATCTGAACTGGTACAAACTGGCCCCAGTAAACTTGCAGGAAGGTGGCCCTGCTCCCTTGAGATAGGCCACCCTGTCACCCTCACCGAAGTGCCCCCACTCACCGGGACCCCAGCTGGTGCAGCACAGAGGCACGGCAGCCTGAGCCGAGAGCCAGGAGGTCTGGGGCAGCAGAAGGTGGTGTGACCCAGGCAGGCCTGGTCGGCTGGGGCGGCTCAGGGCATCTGGGGCCAGTCATCTCTTCCAGCCCCAGGGAGCACAGCCTCTCTACAGGGTTTCTGCTGTCTGGCGGGGCTCAAACACCCCATCACCAGGGCGTGCCACCCAGCCTGTGCACGGGAGCACCCGCACATGACCCCTGCTCCACACTCGGGCACCTGGCCCTGGGGTGTGCTCACAGAAGTGGATGCTGGCGCCCACCTCCACGGCCCAGGAGGCTCCACCCAGACAAGCAGCTATGCCTGGCGGTGCAGCTCCCTCTTGCCCCCGCCCTCAAGAGTGACCCCCATGGCCCCTCTACCACTGCCTTCCTCCACCTCTTCCCTCAGCACCTGAATCTCTCCTGCCCAGCTGTCTCTGCACACCCCAGCTCCCGGCACAGTGACAGTCCCTGCCCCTGCTACCCGAATCCCTTGGGGACCTTGTCCAGCCTGCTGGCCCCTTCACGGTCACTGCTTGGCTCTCATGGTGACTGTGCCAGGTGCTGCCTTGCCCACACCCACCCCCAGCAGCTCCTCCTGGGCCCCCATCACCAGTCGGTCTTCCTGGGGCTCCTGCCCCATCCTCTGGATCCTCCCTGTCCCCGTCCCTCCTCTCAGCACAGTCCTAGCCTGTCAGCTGCTGTCTCCCCACAGCTGTGCTGTCTGACCTGCAGCATTCCCGGTGCCCAGCCCCAGCAGCCTGGCTCACCCTCCTCAGATGGCGGTGGGATGGTCTCCAGGATCAGCTCCAGCTGGTGGAGGGTGGACGTGCCGGGGAACAGGGGTCTCCCCCGCAGCATCTCCCCCAGGATACAGCCCAGACTCCACATGTCCACCCCAAGGGTGTATCTGGGGCAGGAAGCGGTGTAGGCATGGAGAGACCCAGAGGCAGAGGTGGGGGTGGGGTTGCTGGGGGGTGAATGGGGGAACACTTGTGGACCAAGGCAGGGTCGGAGTACGGGAGGCCTGGGAGCCCTGGCTGGGCAGGAGGGCAGCAGGGAGGTGGAGGGGGGGTTGGGGATGTCTCGCTATTACCGGTGCGAAGAGAGCAGCACCTCCGGTGCTCGGTACCAGCGTGTGGCCACGTACTCTGTCACGGCCTGGTCCTCAGGCCCCTCGGGGAGGTCGCCCAGGGAGCGGGCCAGGCCAAAGTCACACAGCTTCACTGTGCAGTTGGCATCCAGGAGCACATTGGACGGCTGCAGAGAGGAGGCAGGCTGAGGCCCCGGGGCTGGGTGGGGCCGGGAGCCGGGCCACGTGGCATAGCGGGGGCGGGGGAACCGCACCTTCTGGTCCCGGTGCACAACGTGCCCCGAGTGGAGGAACCGGGTGGCCCGCAGGAGCTGGTAGAAGATGGAGCGCACGTGGACGTCCTGCAGCAGGCCGCCCTTCCGGATGACTGCGTTCAGGTCAGTGTCTGCAGAGAGGGTGCGCACTGCAGTCGGGGGTGGGGGGCTGGGGGGGCAACCTGGGGGGAGTGGGAGAGGGGCACCTGGCAGGTCTGTCCCACTTTGAACCAGCCCACGGCCTGGCCGCCCCGCTCCTCCATCCTGTGCACTGCCTGTGGGCACAGCGGTGAGGTCTGCAGGAGTTTTAACACTTTATTTCATGTTGCCTTTGTTTCATAAAATGAGAAGAAAAAGGAGAACGCAACTGCAAACTGTGGTCAGAGCAGGAGCCTGGGGCAGGTGGGACGAAAGGGGTCGCTGCTGGCTCTGGAGGCTGACACTAGTCAGCTGTCTGTCCCTGAGTCCAGGGTACATGGTGAGGGAGCAAGCCACTGTGGGCCAGCTGCAGAGGGACACGCAGGGGGACACGCAGAGGGACCCGCAGACGGCGTCAGGACAGAACAGAGGTGGGGCTGGGGCGCTGGCCGGGGCCTCACTCACCCATAAACTCAAACACCAGGTAAATGTCCCTGTCGTTCTCTGCCCGGATCACGTCAAGGAGGCTGATGATGTTGGGATGGTCCCCAAACTCCTGGGGAGAGAGTCGGAGGCGGCTGGAAGGCCAGGAGGGGCTGTGCTCTGGGGCCCAAGAAGGCCAGTTTCTCTCCTGTCTGGAGAGATCTGTACCTGGGCAAGGGGATTGGACTGGAGGGCCCAGGCCACTCACCTGGAGGAGCGTGATTTCCCGGAATGTTCTCTGAAGAGACAGAAACACAGGTGTGTGGGTGGGTGGAGCAAGAAGGAAGCCCATGTCCTGAGAGGACCCAAAGGAGCTGATGTCTGTCACCCAATACCCACCAGACCAGGCGTGGCAAGGGGGCAGTGTTCCGAGACAGGCCAGAACATCTGCTATGACTGGGCTCCAGCTCCCACCTGAGCTTCCAGGCACCAGGGCAAGGGGCTGCCCCTCCCTGCCCCCATCCTCTCCCACGCTTCTCCCCACACACTCACCTGGGCATCTGTCTTATCCCTAAAAGCATCAAAGATTTTCTTGATGGCCACGACCTCACCAGTCCTCCGGTCCACTGCCTTCCACACAATGCCATAGGCCTGGGAAGGAGTGCCGTCACACAGGGCCAGCCCCTTCCCCCCATCCCCTGCCCACCCAGATTGTCCCTACAGACATGAGGCTCCTCCTTCCCATCCTGGGTCCCGAGAGGGGATGGGAGTGTGGGCTCCCGCAACTGCAGGCTGCCCTAGACTCCGACATCTTCCAGAGGAGGGGAGGTAGAGGGAAGGGAGGGTGAGAGCTGGCGAGGCCCTGGAGGAAAGGAGGCCACAGAGGGGAGCGTCTGGGCAGGAAATGAAGCTCGGGGATGCCCTATCATCCTTCCAGCTGCCCAGGCACTCTCCCTCCCTTTCTCTCACACCCCATCCACCCCCAATCCCATTGGCCCTACCTTCAGATTCCTCCAGAATCTAGCCCCTGCCACGGTCTCTTCTGCCCCCACCCTGGTCCCAGCCTCTGGCATCTCTCGCTGCGTGGCTACGCTAACCCCTTAACTCATCTCCGTCTGCCGCTCCCGTGCACACCCACGGTAGGTCCTCAGCACAGGGGTGGGCCTTGTAAAGTGACACCAGCAGCTGCTACAGCTCCCAGCCTCAGCAACAGTAAAAACCAAAGTCTTGGAAGTTCCCCAAAGCTCCCACACGATCGGACCCTCACCACTCACCTGTCTCTCTCCATCTCCTATCCAGTTGCACATACACAACCCTGCACTGGGCCTACGCACTTACCGTCTGCACTGCCTGGAAGGCTCTTCCTCCCCTCCCCCATGGCACCCTCGAACACCCCCCCACACACCCACGCACACACACACAGGCTTACATGCTCACACACACACACAGATACACAAGGCTCTGCCCTTCACTCTGCGCCCACCCCATAACCGCTCAGGCCCTTCTCGGGCCTCGCCCCTGTGCTCCTGAGCCTGGGGTCCGCCCTTCCTCTCAGTGACCCGGGCGCGGGCCCAGCCTCCCCAGAGCGTCGTGTGCACCCGGGAAGCGGGCGACTGTGGACGCGTGGGGAGTGGGGCGCCAGGATCCCTCTGCCTGAGGCCTCTGGCGGCCCTGGCTGTCACCTGCCTCCAGGAGCCAGGTTCCTGGGAGTCAGGATCGTGTTACCCCATGAGGAAACTGAGGCACGAAGGGGCTCCAGACCACCTCTCCCGCCTACGGAGGAGGCAGGACGCCAGTGTGTGACGGAACAGGCCTCCGAGGGGACCGGCCGCGCCCCGCAGGTCCTCTCTCCGCAGATCTGCCGCGCCCCTCGGCGCGCGGACGCACCCCCAGGCACTCACCCCCTGCCCGAGCTGCCGCCTGAGTAGGTATCTCCGGACAATGCGAGGGTCCACTACGGTGCACATGGCGGCCAGGACGCCCGCGGGGCCTTACTGTTGAGTCGGTTGCCGTGGGAACCGACGGCGGCCCGGCCCCGCCCCTCGGGGCGCCCCTCCCAACACCCCCCGCCCCCGGCAGGCCCCGGCTCCGCCCCACAGTGGGCCCACCCCACCTCCCCGCAGGCCCCTCCCCTCAATGCGCCCCGCCCACGTCCCCACCGGCCCCGCCCCACAGTGCGCCCCGCCCACCTCCTCGCAGGACCACGCCCAGCCCAGCTGACTAAAGTAGAAACAAGAACTATCTGTTGTGGACTCTATAACTTGTAGAAGTAAAATGCATGACACCAATAGCAAAAAGTGAAGGGGGATAATGGAAATACACATTTATACTATTACAAAATAACATGAGAATATGTATTGTAAGGTTCTTAAGTTACATGTGAAGTATTAATAGTATATTATTATTTGGGCGGGACACGGTGGTTCACGCCTGTAATCCCAACACTCTGGGAGGCCGAGGCGGGTGGATCACCCGAGGTCAAGGGTTCAAGACCAGCCTGGCCAACGTGGTGAAACCCCGTCTCCACTAAAAATACAAAAATTAGCCGGGCGTGGCTAATGACTCAGGAATTGGAGACCAGCTTCGGCAACATAAAACCTCATTTCTATTAAAAAAAAAAAATAGGAAAATTAGCTGGGTGTGGTGACATGAGCCTGTTGTCCCAGCTACTTGGGAGGCTGAGGTAGGAGGATCGCTTGAGCCGGGAGGCAGAGGTTGCAGTGAGCCTGGATTGCGCCACTGCACTCCAGCCTGGGTGACAGAGCCAGACCCTGTCTCAAACAACAACCACAACACAAACTACTTGCTCAAAAAGAATTCAAAAAAAGAAGGAAAAGGAACAAAGAAAAGATAAGACCAGTAGAAAACAAATAGCAGGGCTGGGCGCAGTGGCTCACACCTGTAATCCCAGCACTTTGGGAGGCCGAGGCGGGTGGATCACGAGATCAGGAGATCGAGACCATCCTGGCCAACATGGTGAAACCCCGTCTCTATTAAAAATACAAAAAAATTAGCTGGGTGTGGTGGTGGGCGCCGTGGTGGGCGCCTATAGTCCCAGCTACTTGGGAGGCTGAGGCAGGAGAATCACTTGAACCCAGGAGGTGGAGGTTGCAGTGAGCTGAGATCGCGCCACTGAACTCCAGCCTGGCAACAAGAGCAAGACTCCTCAGAAAAAAAAAAAAAAAAAAAAAAAGGCTGGGCGTGATGGCGCACGCCTATAATCCCAGCACTTTGGGAGGCCGAGGCAGGTGGATCACCTGAAGTTGGAAGTTTGAGACTAGCCTGGCCAATATGGTGAAACCTTGTTTCTACTAAAAATACAAAAATTAGCTGGGCATGGTGGCGTGCACCTGTAATTCCAGCTACTAGGGAGGCTGAGGCAGGAGAATCGCTTGAACCCAGGATGCAGAGGTTGCAGTGAGCCGAGATTGCACCACTGCACTCCAGCCTGGGTGACAGACTGAGACTCCGTCTAAAAAAAAAAAAAAAAAAAAAAAAAAAGCAAAAAGCAAGATGGCTGACGTAAAACTTACCATTTTTCTTTAACTAAAAAGTAAACTTTAATGTCGAAAATGCAAACTTGGGGAAGACAGAAAAGATCACACACAAGGCTGTCACTTCACACTTGGAAGGTTGCACAGCGGCCGGGCAGAGGCGCTCCTCACTTCCCAGACGATGGGCAGCCAAAGTGCTGGGATTACAGGAGTGAGCCACCGCGCCCCATCCCTTTTTTTTTTTGAGACAGAGTCTCGCTCTGTCACCCAGGGTAGAGTGCAGTGGCGCCATCTCAGCTCACTGCCAGCTCCGCCTCCCAGGTTCACGCCATTCTCCTGTCTCAGCCTCCCAAGTAGCTGGGACTACAGGTGCCCGCCACCACGCCTGGCTAATTTTTTGTATTTTTAGTAGAGACGGGGTTTCACCGTGTTAGCCAGGATGGTCTCGATTTCCTGGCCTCGTGATCCACCCACCCCGGCCTGGGCACTATTTCAACCAAGTCCAACTTTCCCTTGTCCAAATATTCTTGCCGATATAAATTTTGTCAAGATTATTTTTTTCTCATCATTTGTTGGTCAAATATATTTGACAATAAGCCACAATGTTTTTTTTTATTATTTTATTTATTTATCTATTTATTGAGATGGAGTCTTGCTCTGTCACCCAGGCTGGAGTGCAGTGATACAATCTCAGCTCACTGCAACCTCTGCCTCCTGGGTTCAAGTGATTCTCCTGCCTCAGCCTCCTGAGTAGCTGAGATTACAAGCGCCTGCCATCACATCCTGCTAATTTTTGTATTTTCAGTAGAGACGGGGTTTCACCATGTTGGCCAGGCTGGTCTCGAACTCCTGACCTCATGTGATCCACCTGCCTCGGCCTCCCAAAGTGCTGGGATTACAGGCGTGAGCCACTGCGCCGGGGCTAAGTCACAATAAGTTTTGTTGCATGCGGTTGTAACTTTCAGCTTTATTTTGGGTGCATTATTGACCTGGACCTTGCATTGAATTTTTAACCAATCCACGGGGAAATCATGGGTGAGGTCTGGGGAGAGGTCATCATCCAGAAGCCCCAGAGTCACAAGGGTGGGGCCCAGATCACAGCCCCTGGTGAAACAGTGTGGCTGGTGCCTCCTACTTCACACACACCCAGCATTCCGTAACCCAGGAAACCAAACTCCCCTGGCCCCCACCTCCCAAGCTGTCACAGGCCCCATGCATGGCCCCGCTCTCTCCCATAAGGGCACCATCCGTGTGCTGTTGTGTGGGCCGAGATCCTACCTTGCCTCTGAGTGTCATAGTCTGAGAAGGTATCCCCGCCCTGTCCCCTCCAGTGTCACAGCCATGGCCCACCACCCATCCCATCTCATACACAGCCTCTCCCTGTCCTACTGGGGCTACCTGGTGGACTCCAAAATGGCCCTCTCCTCTCTCCTGCTTCAGATGTGGGCTACAGACTCAGATACTGTAGCTGAGGTACAGGTACAGGTACTCCAGGTCTCCCCTCTCTCCTGCTCTGGATGTGGGCTACAGACTCAGGTACCCCAGGTCTCCCCTATTTCCTGCTCTGGGTGTGGGCTACAGACCCAGGTACCCCAGGTCTCCCCCATTTCCTGCTCCGGGCGTGGGCTATAGACCCAGGTACTCCAGGCCCATCCACCCTGGTCACTCCAGTCACTTACTTGAGCCCCTTCGGTGGGGACACGTGCCAGTTGCGGATGTGGTTGTCTCTGAGATCGTGAATCTGGAGGCATGGACTCAGGAATGAGGGTCCCCAAGGAGGCGTGTCCTCAGCTGGGCACCCCTGATGGCTGCCTCTCAGGGATGTCTCTGGAACTGGGTGCAGGTGTCATCACTGAAGCCTGTGTAGGGGCTCTGGACCCTGGACACCCTCCTTTGGCCATCCTCTTCCTCACAGAGGTAGGTGACTCCCAAGGGGCCCCATGCAGGCCCACCTGGACCACACCCCAGCCCCCCACTGCCCTGGTTAGGGATGATCAGGAATGACCTGGTCAGGGCCTGCTGGATCGGGCCTCATGCTCATACCTGGAGAGGTGTGGCAGTGCAGTTATGGCCCTCGTGGTGCTGTGGACGGGGAGGGCAGAGCGCTTTCTCTGGGACAATCCTGGGTGTGGGAGCTGATGCATGTCACGGCCTGGGACTGGAGCTTCCATCTGGGACTGACCGAGAGCCTTGTGTGGATCTGGCCTGGGTTCTGAGGTACCTGGCCATGGGGGCAGGGTCTTTGTCTCAAACACCCTTGCCTAAGCCAGCCCCAGTGGGTGGGGGTGCAGGGAGGCCTGCCAGGGATATGGGGCAGAGGACAGGTTCAGGTTGGGCCCAGGGTGCTGAAACAAAGAGGACTGGGGCCCCAGCACCTGACCCCAACCAAAGGATACACGGGGTGGGCAGCTCCACTGGGCCTCACTTGTGGTCAGTCGTCCCCTTTGCCCCCTTGGCTGTCACCACCAGCTCTGAGCTGCTGCACAAGGGACAAGGTGCACAGGGTGGAGCTGCCCCATGGGTCCTGGGCTTGCAAGTGGGCTCAGCCCATCCTCAACTCCACAGGTGGAGCTGGCCTTGCCGGGTGGGCGGGCAGCCCTGGCACATGCACTGGCCATGTCCTGGTCCCGGGGCACAGGGCAGCTTGGGGGAGGGGACCCCACCAGAGGGAGTGCAGAGAAGTGGGAGGAACCCCTCACAGGTCCAAGTCACAGCCCCAGCAGTTCCAGGGGGCTTTGGACAACTCACCTTGCCTCGGTTTCTCCATCTGTGAAATGGGAACAGAGGCTGCTGGGAGGGCTACACTCGGTGTGCCAGGCACACAGCCCCACCCCCGTGGCTACGCTCAGTGCAGGGCTCACCCCAGTCTCAGGAGATGAATCAGGCAGGACATGCAAAGCAGTAGGGGCGGGAAGACAGGGGCACGGTGGGCGGGGCCACCTGGGGAGCCTGTGGGAGCCCACAAGCCCCAGGAGCAGACCCAAGGTGGCCCTGTGCTGCAGCCTTCAGGGTCCCCAGCAGGGCCCAGCATAAGGGGCTGGGGGGCAGGAGGGAGGCTGGCCTGGCTGCGGAGGGGTGGGAAGGGAGGCTGGCCTGGCTGTGGTGAGGGTCCGGAGGAGGCTGGCCCAGCTGTGGTGGGGAGGAGGGAGGCTGGCCCGGCTTTGGGGCGGTGGGGCAGGCGGTGAAACGAGGGAGGCTGGCCCAGCTGTGGTGGGGAGGACGGAAGCTGGCCCGGCTTCGGGGCTGTGGGGAGGGCGGTGAAAGGAGGGAGGCTGGCCCAGCTGTGGACGGGGAGGGCCTCACAGGGAGCAGACAGTGCCCCTCTTCCCAGGGCCTTTCCAGTTTGCCAGCCTGTATCTGAGGGGGGTGAGACTGCAGGTCCTGGGGGGACAAAGACCACCATGCCACTTGAGGAGGCCTGCATGGCCTCGGGGGAAGACCCCCGAGGGTGGGAGGTGTGTCACAGGAAGTGAGTTCTGTCCCCATGGATGGTGCAGGACCTGGTGAACCCCAGAGACCGCCTGCCTTCCTAACACAATGAGAGAAAAGCCTGGGGGATCCTGGGGAGGCATCTGAGCCCGCCCCCAAGGCCAGGCTCTCCCCACTTCCCCGCAAAGAATCGCCCCATGCAGCGTGGCCCCCCAGCAGAAACCAGGTCTCCTCCTGCCCCTCATCCCTGTTGGTCAGAGGCACAGCTGGGCAGCTGGCAGCCAGACCCGGGTCAGGGCAGAAGTTAAAGCGCTGGGCTGGGCAGAGGCCTGGGGGGGTGGGGGTGTGGTTGCAGGGACAGGAGTGTCCGCACTAGACTAGGGCTGCGGTCGGGGCTCCCCCAACTATTCCATGGAGTTGGTGGGTGAGGCAGGGGTTGCAGAAGTGGGAATTGCAGAATTGGGAAGAAGAAAGCCTCCAGGACGCCTCGACAGAGGAGAGCAGGAGGCTCCCAGATCTCTCTGTGAGGAGGCATTGGTGAGATTTAAAGCAAAGAAAAATCAAGAAACCCACAGGC
The DNA here is from genome assembly GCF_000001405.40 of Homo sapiens. NCBI lineage: Eukaryota > Metazoa > Chordata > Mammalia > Primates > Hominidae > Homo > Homo sapiens. Next base: position 143,710,844 of record NC_000008.11, on the reverse strand, counting down.
AGGGATGACTTAAAACTTAAAAACCTTACCTCACCAGGGATTTAAAGGCCAAGAGCAACCGAGACCCTCCAGTGGCAGATGCGCGGGTGCAGTGGGGCTGGGAGTAGGGGAAAGAGCAGTCCAGACCCTGGACGTGGCGTGGCCTGGGATGGTACAGGGTCTGAGACTGTGGGGCACCCGACTGGCCCATGTGAGCAGGCCTCTGCCTATTGCTGCCTCAGTTTCTCAATCTGTCAAATGGGGACAGTGACCCCACACAAGGCCTGAGGGTAGCAGGGTGGAGAGCACTGGGGTGTGGCCATGGCAAGGAACCAGAAGAGGCAACGCTGGGCATTAAGCACCCCTACACATGAGCCTGCCCCCCACCCCAGATGAGTCCCTGCTGCAGTTGAGCCCCTGCTGCAGGGATGCAGGGATGCAGGGTCATGTTTTTCTCATGATTCTATGTGGTCTTTTCCCAATTTTCTGTGACAGGAGAGGCACCATTTTCATATTAAAAGCCCATATATTAAAGCCAACATTCAGATGCAGTTTAGTTTATAAGTCAATGTCCTCTTACAATGTTAATGCTTTGTTTGGTAGTTTGTGTCCTCTTATTTTTACTTATAAAATACTTTTTTTTTTTTGAGACAGAGTCTCGCTCTGTCGCCCAGGCTGGAGTGCAGTGGCGCAACCTCGGCTCACTGCAAGCTCCGCCTCTCGGGTTCACGCCGTTCTCCTGCCTCAGCCTCCCAAGTAGCTGGGACTACAGGCACCTGCCACCACGCCTGGCTAATTTTTTGTATTTTTAGTAGAGACAGGGTTTCATCATGTTGGCCAGGATGGTCTGGATCTCCTGACGTGATCTGCCTGCCTCAGCCTCCCAAAGTGCTGGGATTACAGGTGTGAGCCACTGCGCCCAGCCTAAAATACATTTTTTTACAAGGAGTAAAATGCCTCAATCGTGTTCTTAATTTTAAAAGGCTCTGCTGCACCTTTCAGGCAGGTTGGCTGATCAGAGCAAGCCCAGCCATGTCCATGAGCCACCAGACGACCTCCACCACAAACCTCTGTGCAAATGTGGTTTTCTAAACTGTGTCCCTCACAAAGATCCTCAAATCTGCCCACATCCCAGCAAATGTGGACAAACTGGGCAGAAACTCAACTCTATGATGACAGAACACAAAATAGGGGTCGATTTAAGTTGTGTGTCAAAGGCTGCTGGACACACTGTTCCTGAGGCATCTAACAGAACGGGAGCTGGGGACCGCTGGTCTAGACGGAGGCAAATCTTACAGGACCAACAGGTGGTGATGCCTGCTGTGCAGTAATGACCAATACATCAAGACAGCAGAGTTTGCAGCAGAGAAAGTGTCATGATCCCCGGACACCGAGCAAGGAGATGGGAGGGACCTTCAAATCCATCTCCCTGAGTTCTGGGCTGGGGTTTTTAAAGGGATTGTGGCGGGTGACGGACTGTAAAATGGGGTCATCAATTGGCCGGGGAAAGGGGATGAAGTCCTCAGGATGTGTACCCTGCGTTCTTTGGCACATTACCTCCTCGTGGGGTGCTTCAGACCAGCTGGGTCAGTCGCTTCATGGGTGTGCAGGACCTGTCAAATAGAAAACCTCACATTTTACTATGTTTAAGTTGTTACCTATAGAGCAGTTATGGGGACCTCTCATCTTGTGACAGGGTCTGTGTGATTCTGGGGCCACAGGCACCAAACAGCTCTGAGGAAGGAGTTGGGAGGCAGGCTGACCTCACAATGAATGCTGAGCGAGCTGCAAGCTGGGTTTGTTTTCCTTTCTCGCCTCCCTTCTTCCCTGATTAATAAAGTCTATAGGAATGGTTTCAATAATGATGTTGTGTCCACAAAGTCAACAGAAAAGGAGAAAAAGCCAGCCCTTTTTGGATCCCTATGTCCTCCAGCCATCCGGGCACACGGGGAAGGGAAGCTACCCAGCTGCAGAGCCGCGGATGAGCTGAGCGGGTGCCGCACGCGCGCGCTTAGGACCTTCAGAGAGAAACGCTCTCTAGGCGCCCAGTGGACTCCATACTTCAGGAACCCCAATTCCCACGGGGGCCTCACCGAAGGAATCACGAAATGCTCAGGGAAAGCAAGGGTCCCTGAAGAGGCGAATGCTCCAGGGAAGCGCTCCCTCCTGACAACACAGAGATTTCACTCGGGAAACGGGGGGGAACGTGGTGAAGCTCCTCTTCAAGTGGGGGACAACCCGGGAGAAGGCCCGTTGCTGAACCGAAGGCGAAGGGCGCTTCTGGGGTCTGTGAGATTCAGAAGCACGTCCGGAGTCCGTCTGAAGCCCAGTTTTGTCAGCTCAGGCCCTATCTCTGGGGGCACATTCACAAGCAGTCACGGGCGACTCAAGATGAGAGAGTTGTGCGGAATGAAGGAGTCGGCCATCGCCAGAGTAACGGGGTGGGGGTGGGAGAGGACGAGTAAGTTCTGTCTCCATAGAGACCGTGCCCGCCGAGCAGCAACATTACTAATGTTAGGCGCACCCAGACGGACAGCGAAGGTCCAGCGGGAGCCCACGAGTGAAGGTTGGCAAAGCTGCCCTGACCCGCGACCCAAAGCCCCGATCTGCCTCCCCAAAAGCCTCGTGACCCCGAGGCGCGTCCCACCTCTGGGCCTGGCGCCTAGAATATTTAGGCCAGGTAAGAGGAAGGGCTAAATTGGGGAAGGGGCCGGGGTCGCTGCCCTCACCAGTCCTGGTGGTCCAGGCACCAACCCATGGCGCCCAAGAAAAAGCGCGGGCCGAGCGCAGGGAGCCAGCCAGGTGGTGCGGCGGCCGCGGGTGCCGAGCAGCCGCTATCGGAGCGCGCGCAGTACCTGCAACGCGAACACGCGCTGCTCTCGGAGCAGCTGGACACCTGCGAGGAGAGCGTTGACCAGGTGCTGCGAGAGAACGCCTTCCTGGACCGCGAGGCGCTGCGCCTGCGCGAGGAGAACCGGCTCTACGCCAGCTACGTGAGCGCGCGCGCCCAGCGCTGCGCCAAAGCCATCGTCCGGCTGGACGAGCAGAACCGCGTGGACCTAGCGCAGATCCACTGGCAGCGGGCGGAACTGGCCTCGCTCTACCACGGGCGCGAGGACGGGGTGCGCGCGCAGCTGTTGGAGATGGAGGCGCGCGCGGCACAGATGGCACAGCAGGTGCAAGAGCTGCAGCCCTACAAGGCCAGTGAGCCCGCCCGCGGCCGGGGTGAGGCGGGGCGGGGCTGGTGGCCGGGCCGGGGGCGGGGTGGGGGTGAGCTGACGGCGCCCCCGCCGCAGGTGCTGCAGCTGGAGCAGCTGGCCCGGATCCGGGCGCTGGAGCGCGAGCTGCTGCATATGCGCGTGGAGCACACGCAGCTGCTCCACCGCGTGAAGCGGCGCTTCCTGGAGGACAAGGCGGCCTTCGAGCGCGAGGCGCGTCAGCGCGTGCAGTCACTGGCGCGGCGCGCGGAGCGGGAGGCGGTGCGCGCGCTTGTGGCGCACACGCAGGCCATCAAAGCGGACAACGGACGCCTGCGGCAGGAGCTGCTGCTGCTGCTCCGCCGGACCCAGCTGCTGCACCACACGCGGCGCCAGCTGCTGGAACAGCGCGAGCAACTGCACCGCGAGCACGAGGACACGCGGGACCTGGCGCGTGTGCACGGCTGGCTGCGCAGGGGCCCCGGAGGCCCGCCGCTCTGGGAGCGGCCGGCCTTCTCCCAGCCCACCTCGCGCCCCGGGTCATTAGCCGCCCCCATAAGCCCGTCGCGCGCGGCCTCCCAGACCCCGTCTGTGGTACCGTCGCGCGCGGCCCCCCGGGCCTCGTCCGTGGTCCCGTCGCGCGAGGCTTCCCGGGTCCCCTCGTTGGTGCTATCGAGCATGGACTCCAGGGTCCCATCGCTGGCCACTTCAAAGGTGGGATCCCGGATGCCATCCCTGACCGCTTCGCGCGCAGGCTCCCGGGCCCTGTCGCTGGTGCAGTCACTCGAGGGCTCTGGGATCTCTTCGGGGTCCTCACCGAGGGTGTCCTCACAGGACACTCTCCGCTCCACGAAGTCTGGCCCCAAGCTTCTCTCTGGCCTGTCCCGGGATCGGGATCCGGCTCTTCTCCCCCCACAGTCGGAGGACAGCGTGAACGCTGAAGCTGCGGCAGAAGCCTCCCCGGGTAGAGCCTGAACCTGCAGAGAGTGAGGCCCAGGAGGCCCTAGTGTGGGCGAGTCAGGCGCGCAGGGCGCTTACGGGGATAATGCAATGGTTAATAAAGGCGTGGCCCCCAGGCGGCTCTGACACCCGCGTGCATGCTCTAGCATTTCCGGCCGGCCACTCATTCGTGCGTCCAATTTCCAAGCTGCAAGAGAGCTCAGCGCCTGCTTTCCCTGAATGCCCTTTGGGACCCCGCATCCCTGCCCTCAGTGGGGCCCTACCGCGAGCCGGCAGGCTCAGAGCAAGCCCGGGCACTGGCGGGCGCGGACGTGCGACGAAGCGGCAGCTGGCAGCTGGGCCGCTACGGTGAGGCCCGGGGGAAAAGCGTAGACTTTGTTCTCCGCGCCAAGGGGATGTCTTATGTTCAACCTACTGGGAGTTTTTCAGTAATTTTAAAACTTTGATATACTTTCCAACTTAGAGAAAGTTGCAAAAATAGCACAGGGACCGCCATGGACCCTTTATCCGGATGCCCGGCCGCTGACGCTGCCCGTGAATTTGGTCCGTGTGTATCGCTGTGCACGAGCGTTGCTTCGGAACCGTTTGAGATGCGGTTGGAGACGCTGGCCCCGGAGCCCCGAAGTACTTTCGTGTGTATTTCCTGAACAGAGGGATGTTCTCCTACGATGCTTTAGTGCAGTGATCAGAACCAGGACATTTACTGTGGAGGAATATTATCCCCATCGTCGCTCACATCACAACTTTGTCACCCGTCCCAAGTGTTTCTGTGGCTGTCCCCATCTTCCAGGGTCACGTGTTGCATTTAGTTGTCGCGTCTGGATGTGTACAGGCGGTTATTAAAATGCCCCTCCGTGGAGGGTCAGCTCTCCGGGCTGCGCGGGACGCCCGCCCAGCTCGCGCTCAACCTTCCTCGTGGCCGCGACGCGACCAGCGAGTGCCCAGGGCTAGAGCGGCGCCGCGCTTCCGGTTCGGGAGGCGTGGATTCCGGGGGTGCGTGGAGGCGGCTGCGGCTCTGCGGGTTGGTGGTGGCCTCCTTTGCCCCTTGTCCCGCGGGCCGGCTCCTCCCTCTGAGCAGGTCTGTGGCGCTCAGCCCGGGCTTCCCTCTCCCCGGGGCCCTGAGTTCCCTTGTTGGGGTCTCAAGTGGGTGCCCCCAGTCCCCCCCAGCACCTCCCGGGGCCTGGCCCTGGTGCTCCTCCCAGGAGCTTGAGGACCCCCAGGGACCAGGGTGGGCCCACCTGAGCCATCTCTGTCCCCTCACGAGGAGCTGCCAACGCTGGGGCTCTGCGCCCGAGGCGGGCGGGCAGGGAGGTGGGTGCAGCTGCTGCGAGGCGGGCAGCTTCTCCGGCTTGCAGGGCCCCGTGCACCTCCCTACACACAGGGTCTGTGTAGCTGGGTTGTCGCTGTGTGTGTAGCTTTTTGGAGCAAGGGTGTCTGGCCCTGGGGCAAGAACTGTGTTGGGGAGGGGGACAGCTGGGCCCTAGAAAAAGTATAGGGAGCCCACTCACTCAGCCAGTCTGGAAGGTTGGTTCTTTGTGAATAAAGATCCAAACGTTAAAAACACACCTGTAAGTGGATAAATCTAGGACACTGACGACACCAAAAGCCTCTAAGTATGAGCAACAGGAGCTCCCATTCATTGCTGGTGGGAAGGCAAAATGGCACAGCCACTGGGGAAGACAGTTTGGCAGGTTCTAAACGTACTCTCACTGTACCATCCACAACAGTGCTCCTTGGCATTCGCCGAAAGGAGTTGAACATTTGTGTCCATATAAAAACCCACATATGGAGTTAGCTGGGTGTGGTGGTGCACACCTGTAATCCCAGCTACTAGGGAGGCTGAGGCACAAGAATTGCTTGAATCCGGGAAGCGGAGGTTGCAGTGAGCTGACATCTGCCACTACACTCCAGCCTGGGCAACAGAGCAAGACTCTATCTCCAAACAAACAAACAAATATCCCACACATGGATGTTTATAGAAGCTTTATTAATAATGGCCAAAACTCAAGCGGCCAGGATGTCCTTCAATAGGTGAATGGATGAACTCTGGTCCATCCAGACAATGGAATATTATTCGGTACTGAAAAGAAACCAGCTGTCAAGCCATAAAAAGACACAGAGAAAATTTAAGTGCACATTGCTAAGTGAAAGAAGCTGGTCTGAAAAGGCAGCACGCTGTATGATTCCAACTGCAACATTCTGGAAAAGGCAAAACGGGGGGGGGGGACAATAATAAGGACCAGTGGTTGCCAGGGGTTGGGGGAGGATGGGGCGAAAAGGTGAAGAAGGAGTATTTTTAGGGCAGTGGAACTACCCCATACAATACTACAATTGTGCAAACATGGTTTTTCCAAACCATGGGATCTACAACACCAAGAGTGAAGCCCTAATGTGAACCATGGGTGTTAGTTAAAAGTCACATATCAATATTGCCTGTCAGTCACAGAAGACGAGCCACACTAAGGCAAGATGTTAATAATAGGGGAAAGTGGCCGGGTGCGGTGGCTCACGCCTGTAATCCCAGCACTTCGGGAGGCCGAGGTGGGCGGATCACCTGAGGTCAGGAGTTCAAGACTAGTCTGGCCAACATGGTGAAACCCCATCTCTATTAAAAATACAAAAATTAGCCTGGCGTGGTGGTGGGCACCTGTAATTTCAGGTACTCGGGAGGCAGAGGCAGGAGAACTGCTTGAAGCTGGAGGTGGAGGTTGCAATGAGCCAAGATCGCACCACTGCCCTCCAGCCTGGGTAACAGAGTGAGACTACGTCTCAAAATAATAATAATAATAATAATAATAATAATAAATAATAATAATGGAAAGTGCCTGTGAAGGGGTATTATGGGATCTCTGTACTCTATGATCAATTTTTCAGTAAACCTAAAACTGCCCTAAAGATATAGTCTGTTAACTTTTTTTAAAAGTAAAAACATTAAGTATTGGAAGTAAATTTGGAAATAATTTGAAGACGTGGAAAGCATTTTTTAAAAAAGAAAACCCAAGGCCAGGCGTGGTGGCTCACGCCTGTAATCCCAGCACTTTGGGAGGCCAAGGAGGGTGGATTACTTGAGGCCAGGAGTTCAAGACCAGCCTGGCAAACATGGCAAAACCCCATCTCTATTTAAAAAAAAACAAAAATGTTAGCTGGGCGTGGTGGCACATGCCTGTAATCCCAGCTGTAATTGGGAGGCTGAGACAGGAGAATCACTTGAACCCAGGAGGTGGAGCTTGCAGTGAGCCAAGATCGCACCACTGTACTCCAGCCTGGGAGACAGAGTGAGACTCTGTCTCAAAATAAAATAAAATTAAAAAATAGAAAAGAAAAGAAAACTCAGGGGCATAAAAGATTTTCTGTGAAGACAGGAAATCAGTGTGAAAAACTTACAGTAAACTACACCATAAATTGGAAGACAAATGACAATCTTGGCAAAAATATTTACAACAAATAAAACAGACGAAGGACAACTCTATATGGAGCTATAAGAAAAGACCCAACAACCAACCAGAAAACACAGGAAATGACTCAAACACCAAAGACCCAACAACCAACCAGAAAACACAGGAAACAACTCGAACACCAAAGACCCAACAGCTAACCAGAAAACACAGGCAAATGACTCGAACACCAAAGACCCACCAACCAACCAGAAAACACAGGAAACGACTTGAACACCAAAGACCCACCAACCAACCAGAAAACACAGGAAACGACTTGAACACCAAAGACCCAACAACCAACCAGAAAACACAAGAAATGACTCGAACACCAAAGACCCAACAACCAACCAGAAAACACAGGAAACGACTCGAACACCAAAGACCCAACAACCAACCAGAAAACACAAGAAATGACTCGAACACCAAAGACCCAACAACCAACCAGAAAACACAGGCAATGACTTGAACACTAAAGAAGTACAAATGCCGATGCATGTCCCCAACAACCAACCAGAAAACACAGGCAAACAACTCGAACACCAAAGACCCAACAACCAACCAGAAGACACAGGCGAACGACTTGAACACCAAAGACCCAACAACCAACCAGAAGACACAGGCGAACGACTTGAACACCAAAGACCCAACAACCAACCAGAAGACACAGGCGAACGACTTGAACACCAAAGACCCAACAACCAACCAGAAGACACAGGAAACGACTCGAACACCAAAGAAGTACAAATGCCGATGCGTGTCTGAAGACAGCCATGCTGCCCAGGAAACGGGGAGGGGCAAGTCAAGCCAGTGCCAGGATGAGGAAGACCCAGAGTAAGGGGCTGTGGAGGGCACCTGTGTCATTGCAGAGCCTGGGAGTGTGGAACGCTCCTGATTTTGTTGGCTGGCTGCTGCTATTAAATCTAAAACAGCCCTGCTCTTTGACTCAGCAGATCGACCTCTAGGAATCCATTGTGTACCTTTGTTGTGGGTTGCAGAGTCCCCTGAAAAATTTACGTTCAAGCCCTAACCCCCAGTACCTCAGAACATGACTGTATTTGGAGATGAGGTTGTTGCAGATGTCATTAGCTGGGGTCATGCGGGTAGGCCCTAATCCAATGTAACTGGTGTCCTTATGAGAAGCTGGTCACATGAAGACAGAGACACAGGGAGAACGCGTGTGCCAACAGAGGCAGAGATTGGAGTGATTTTCTACATGCCAAGAACTGCCAGGAACTGCTGGCAACACTCAAAACTGGAAGAAGCAAGGGAGGATCCTTCCCCTACAGGTTTCAGAGGGAGCACAGCCCTGCTGATGCCTGGATTGTGGACATCAGGCCCCCAGAACTGAGAGAATTCATTTCTGTTGTCTGAAGCCACCTGGTCTGGGGTGTCCTGTTACAGCAGCTGCAGGAACCTGGCAAGGCCCAGGTGCACACAGACGCAAGAGCGGGGATACAGGCACGTGTGCACACAGATGTAAGAGCAAAGACATTCACTGCGGCGGAATTCACAGCACCAAAACGCTGGGATTGCAGGCTGTGTCCTTCCACAGGACACATTCATGGGACAGCATGCGGTTGCTGGAAAGAGCGCACACAGACGGAATGAAGAAGCACATGCGGGGCGCACAGGACGACTCCACACGATGAGGAGCACACACACGCAGGTTTGTGCCTACACAGGTGTTGGACAAGTATTTGTTGTGTCAACCTAAAAAGAAACTCAAGAGACAAGCTCTCCAAATAAGCGAGTTGATTTGAGAATTGCAGAGAATTGCAATTCGGGGTATTTGGCAGGCTATAGGTGTATCCAGGGGAGTTGGGGAAAAGGGGAATCTTAAAAACAAAAAGGGCCAGGCGCAGTGGCTCACGCCTGTAATCCTAGCACTTTGGGAGGCCGAGGCGGGTGGATCACCTGAGGTCAGGAGTTCAAGACCAGCCTGGCCAACATGGAGAAACCCAGTCACTACTAAAAATACAAAAATTAGCTGGGTGTGGTGGCTTGCGCCCGTAATCCCAGGTACTTGGGAGGCTGGGGCAAGAGAATCGCTTGAACTCAGGAGGCGGAAGTTGCAGTGAGCCGAGATTGCACCACTGCACTCCAGCCTGGGAGACAGAGCGAGACTCCATCTCAAAAACAACAACAACAAAAACAAGAACAAAAAAGAAGCCCACATAAGCTGTTTTCAAAGCCAAGGGTCTTTTACAGGAGTCTGTTACAGGAGCTGGAATTAGTGCGTGGGCTGAGACAGTCACTGCTGGGCAAGCGTCCGTCTGGGGTAGGCAACCCTGAGGGCGCCCTGTGGGTCCTGGAACCGTCTCCGTGCAGGAGTGTCTTGGGCTGCGTCCTGTCACAGGCCTCTGTATCTGAGGACTTCAGGGCTACCCCGACTCCATGTTGGTAGCGGCAGCTTTCACAGTGGACACACTCCACCATCAGGAAAGCTCATTCCACAGGAGTAGGGGCAGTAAGGGGGCTTTACCCTTTGTGCTGTATTTCCTGGAGAGCAGAAGGCCTGTGTGAATTGTAACTCGGAATAAACTTCACTAAAATAACGTGCACTTAGCTCTCTTTTGTAGACAAAAGTTGCCTGATGTATTGGCCAAGGGAACCCCAACTGCATTCCACCCCTTCTGGCAAGAGAACATCTCTCTTCACATCAGACCAATCAGAACCCCGGGGATCCACGGCGAGGGGATTTGGCTGTGTATGGACAGGACAGGGCAGTACTCGAGCAAGGAAGAGGACGTGAGCCTGGGTGTTCTGGGCCCCAAGTGGAAGGTCTGATCCGCTGTGCTGTGGGGCCAGACACCCAGGGCCAACCCCGGGCCACTCAGCAGGGGGTTTGCTGTGGGGAGCTTGTGCAGAGAGAGGCGAGTTCCATGCAGGCGTGGCAGGGCTTGTGTGGGGGTCTGCAGCTGGATGGTCCTTGAGAGAGGAGCCACGGGGCCAGGCGTTAGCACCCCTCCATCTACTAGTTCCTGGATGTGGCCCCAGGAAGGGGCATAACCTTGGAACAGACATCTGCGTCAGCGAAGGTCAAAGCAAAGGTGGCGGCCCCTGAGGGCTGTGGCCAGCAACACTCAGCACCTACCAGGAAGGGCAGCCGAAGGGGGATTGGAGAAGTGCATTTTCAGCCTCCCGAGTAGCTGGGACAACAGGCGTCCACCACCACCCCTGGCTAACTTTTGTATTTTTAGTAGAGATGGGGTTTTACCATGTTTGCTAGGCTGGTCTCAAGCTCCTGACCTCAAGTGATCCGCTTGCCTCAGCCTCCCAAAGTGCTGGGATTACAGGCGTGAGCCACCGCGCCCAGCCTAGGGCTGGATTTTATCTATGGGATTAAAGGGAGAGATGGAATCAGGAAGAGAGTAGGACTAGGTCTGCATCTGCACGCTGAACAGATTTGGCCAGGAGGACCTGCCCTGAAGAACAAGGCAGAAGCCATCAGTTTCGTTGAGTTGCCACAAAAGACTTGGTGTATTTCCCTTCAGACATCTCTCCTCTCCCAACCTGTAAGTCATCTGAGAGGGTCACTCCCTGTCTCTCGCCACGTGTCCAGGTGACAGACCTCAGGCCCCTTTAGGAAATCCTTAGATGCTCAGGCATGCGGCTCCAGGGCCGCGGCCAGCCGAGTTGCTGAGTAAACCCCAAGGAAGGTGATGGGCGATGGAGACCGTGTCCTACTGCTCGGCGGCCGCCGTACAGCCCACCACAGCTCCCCGGCTGCTGGATCCACCCGACATCTGTTCAGCAGTGTCCAAATACTGAAATTTTAACTAGTCACTCACTTTCCTTATTCCTTTTCAAATAAATTGTTTCCGCCCTTTCCCCTCTTTGCATGGTGGTTTTGTCATCTCCCACATCCGGAGTTGCAAAAAGGCCCTGAGGTGGCTGGGCACAGTGGCTCATCCCTGTAATTCCAGCACTTTGGGAGGCCGAGACGGGTGGATCACGAGGTCAGGAGTTCAAGACCAGCCTGGCCAAGATGGTGAAACCCCGTCTCTACTGAAAACACAAAAATCAGCTGGGCGTGGTGGCGGGTGCCTGTAATCCCAGCTACTTGGGAGGCTGAGGCAGAGAATTGCTTGAACATGGACATGGTGGTCGTGGTCCCCGGTGGAGACACTGCAGCTGGAGGTGGGGTGAGTGGACTGAGCACCTTTGAAGTAGTGTGATCAGAAGACGAGGCTGGCCGACCCCTCTGTGGAAAGGACACAGCCCTCCAGCTGTGGCAATGGGTGTGCAGGCCACAGGCTCACCTGTCCTAAGGCGGGGCTGCTCTGCCTTTGTTTGGATTGTGTGTGGTATCATGGCTCTCCTGCAGTCAGGCTGCCACACTTCCTAAGTGTGCACGTGTGGGGAGGGGAGGAGTGGGGAGTGTGAGTGATTCTGGGTGCTCAGGTGCATGACAGCTGGTCTCCCCTCATGGAGTTACCACTGTAACCGGACTCCAGGCTTCCACCATCGGCCCTCGAATTTTACATAGGATGGTTGGCCCCGGGAAAAGGAGCCTCTGAAGTTTTAAAATCCAATATGGCTCCAACATTAAGCTCACACTGGGGACCAGCTCAAAACCCACCCATTTCACATTCCCCAAAACGTTTCGTTTGGTGGGCCTGTGATTTAGCTCCCAAGAGGTCACAGATACAAACACAACGAAGCGAGCTATTAGGGCTGGACATGCACTCAGTGACGCAGCTGTCCCTCCACCCTGGCCCGGGTCAGGTTCTGCCAACTCCACACGCACACTCTTCGTTTGAAGGGTCCCAATGGGTTTGAGGACCTGTAAGACTGGTACGCACGGCGGACCCCATGAACACCCAGAACAACAGTGAGTAGAGTTTATGATACGTTGTAACTAGAATGACCCCAAATATCTTTATTTACTTGGCATTGTACTTCCCAAAGAAGAATATTGCAGCCACTGGGCCTCCCTTCAGAGTGCAGAGAGGCAGCTCCAGGAGCTGAGCCTGCTGGGATGCAACTCCTCCTCCTAGCACCATGGACTCCTTCATCTTTCAGTCAAGGCTGCCAGTGGCTACCACGTGGCCCTCCCATTCCTGGAGCTCTCAGCTGCATCCGCCACCTGCTCTCTCGACGGACTTTTTTTTTTTTGAGATGGAGTCTCACTCTGTCGCCCAGGCTGGAGTGCAGTGGCACGATCTTGGCTCACTACAACCTCCGCCTCCCAGGTTCAAGCAATTCTCCTGCCTCAGACTCCTGAGAAGCTGGGATTACAGGCGGCAGCTACCATGCCCTGCTAATCTTGGTGGACTTTACACTGGACACATGTGTGCTGAGCGCTAACACAAAGGCCAGGCAAGTGTCCCCTGGAGACAGAGGGGTGGAAGGCTAGGTCACAGGCATGGCTGTCAACGGACCCTGCTGTGCACCCATTCTGGCCGCGAAGTAGCTTCATGCATTCTCTGCCCAAGATAAATGCAGAGAAAACTCGGCTCTACAGGCTCACAGGGAGTGACGGCTGCTGGCCCCAGGAAGGAAGATGCTCCTTACGGGACACCTGCTGTGAGCCCCTTCTGTCACCCCACCCCCGCCTGGGTGGTGAGGAGGCCAACAGGGCAAGATGCAGAGCCTCCCGGCCCCTCACACCCCCATGGGCTCCTCACCACCATTCTCTCCCCAGGCCTTTTCTGTGGACCTGACCTTCTTCAGCGACCCAGGAGGCAGGAAGGGAAGCCTGAGTGTTAGAAGGAAAGACAACTAAGAGCAGCAGCCTGACCGCAGCTGAGCACGGTCGTGCTCCTCCCTGGGGAAGTGCCAAGGGAGGGACCCCCTGCTCTACCCGGAGCCCTGGAGCCCTGCTAAGCAGGGTGGAAAGCCTGCAGCCCGGGGGGTACCGCGACTGTGGCCCAACCATCCAGTGTGTGAGCCCTGGATGATGAGGCCACCAAGAGCAAGGCAGCCCGCTTGGACAACTGACCATCATCTGACGAGGCAGCGCATCACCCACGTCTCTGCTGTTCACATTTAATCCTGCACAAGAGCGTCACAAAGTGACAGCATTGTGAGGGACTAACGACCAGGCACAGGTGACCCTGGACGCGGCCAGTGGCTTCCTGCAGGGCGCTCAAAACCCAAGTCCTTATGATCCGCCGCATCTACTGCCGAGACACCAGCTGCTCCGTCCCCACCTGTGCTCAAGCACCTGAAGGCCCTTCCAACGGCGCCCGCTGGGCAGGGGACAAACCAGACACGAAACACACATGCGCTTTTACCAGCCTGGACTCTGTAAGAGAAAGGCACCCCCATATCCCCCCTGGGGAGATTTCCACTTATCCTGCAGGGCCCTCACTGCCTCACCGGGCTCTGCCAGGGCCTGCCCCGCAGGGGCAAGTGCTTTTCCTACACAGGGTCTGTGGGCCAGGACAGACCCAGAGGAGCTTCTGCTACGGGCTGAATGGTCACTCTGAAATTCCCATGTGGAAGCCCTAGGCCCGACGTGATGGTATGAGGAGGTCTCTGGGAGGTGATTTGGCTTCGATGGGGTGATAGGGGTCATGGGATCCGGGCCCTCACAAGGAAAAGGTGACACCAAAGCCCCTCCTGACATGAGGATGCCTCTGAACCAGGAGGCGCTCGCCGGAAACGGACCCTGTTGGCACCTCTACCTCGGACTTCCAGCCTGCAGAGCTGGAGAGAATAAACCTGTGTTGTCTGTGGGGCTGCCGGTGGTGTCCTGGTAAGGCAGCCCTGTGACTCCATGACCGACAGCTGCTCTCTACAATCTTCCGTGAGCACGAAGAAACTCATACTCATGCTGCAAATAAAAGATTTGGGGAACTTTTAAGCACACCAACCTCCCGGCTTCAACAGCTGTCAACATTCAGCCAATACTGTTGTGTCTTTCTCCTCTTTATTAGAATCGTAAAGTACATCCCAGGCGCCACGTCATTTCCCCACAAAGACGTCCAAATGCATCTGAGTGAGGATTCCTCCGTAACCCTGTGTCACCATCACCGCTAGCAGCCAATTCCGCACCCCCACCCGACTCACGGCCCACCCACCCGACTCACGGCCCACCCACGCAACTCACGGCCCACCACGCAACTCACGGCCACCCACCCGACTCACAGCCCACCCACCCGACTCACGGCCACCCACACGACTCAGTCCATCCACCCGACTCACGGCCCACCCACCCGACTCAGTCCATCCACCCGACTCACGGCCCACCCACCCGACTCAGTCCATCCACCCGACTCACGGCCCACCCACCCGACTCAGTCCATCCACCCGACTCACGGCCCACCCACCCGACTCAGTCCATCCACCCGACTCACGGCCCACCCACCCGACTCAGTCCATCCACCCGACTCACGGCCCACCCACCCGACTCAGTCCATCCACCCGACTCACGGCCCACCCACCCGACTCAGTCCATCCACCCGACTCACGGCCTACCCACCCGACTCACGGCCCGTGCCCACATTTCCATGATTGTCTCAAAAGTGACTTCGCACTCGGTTTGCTCCTACCAGGGTCACACACAGCCCCCTCGGCCTTTCTGCGTGCCCGTCTTCCCACAGAAACGTCGCCGTCTGGTGGCATCTCCAGCCGGATCTGGCTCAGGGCTTCCTCTCGGTGTGTTCAACCTTCTCCTCATCCCCCTATTTCTTGTAAACTCGTTTCTGATTCCAACATTACATATGCATCTGTTGGCTGGAATTTTTTTTTTGAGACGGAGTTTCACTCTTACTGCCCAGGCTGGAGTGCAATGGCGCAACCTTGGCTCACCACAACCTCCACCTCCCGGATTCAAACGATTCTCCTGCCTCAGCCTCCCGAGTAGCTGGGATTTCAGGCGTGAGCCACCACGCCTGGCCTGGCTGCAATTCTTAAAGAAAAACAGGCAAAAGCAAAAATAATTGGCTAACCTGAAACACGGCAGTGTCCCGACCCATTCCCACGGGGGTCTTCCCTTGGGAACACCACTGGCAGATTTTTATTTCTGGCTGGATAAGCAGACACCTTAAGTTTAAAACAAAGAGGTCACCTCTTCCCCCACGAAATGCGATGTGGTGGATATGGCCACCTCACTGCCCTGAGACCCAACTTGATCTCCCAACTCCAGGTGCATGACCCAGGCTCTGACCAACAGAGCTGGGTGGAGGCCGTTCCTGCAGCACTGGGGGTGGCCCTGACCTAACCACCACTCCTAATCCTTGAATGAGGTTCAGTATTACAAAGGCTCTTGTTTCTACGGCCCAGCGCAGAGGCTGCAGGAGGGTCTTTGCCTCTGTGCAATGCTCACAGCTGCCTCGCCCAAGACAGAGACAAGAAGGGAAGCCAGACCGGGCAGCCAGCATGGGGTGCAGAGCCAGGAAGGAAAGGCCCAGCAGACGGCGACTCGGGGCCAGGGTGGAGTCCCTGAGCCAGACGGCTGTGGGCACCAGGCAGGCTTCTCCGCCTCTGAGCCCGGCCTGGCACGTGGCTCCGGGGTCGCGCACACTCTCAGCACATCCCCAGGATGCCCGGCGCCGGGGCGCAGCCCCCGCCATCTCCAGAGCCCCCGCCATCTCCGGCGTACCCATGGCTCTGCTTCTCCCACCTGGCAGTTTTCCCAGTAAACTTCTCGGGGGACTGGGGAGCTCTGAGGACTAAGAAGGCTTCTCTGAATTCAGGTTGATTTTCCAGGCTGAAGAGCAACTTCTCACTGCAGCTCTCCCTCAGGACCCAGTACTCCCGCAGAGGCGCAGCACCCCACTCTTCGGGCGCCCCTACACCTCCCCGTGCCTGTGAGTCCTCTGATGCCGCGTGAAGAACCCCAGGTGACGGAAGCCTTTCCCACAGTGGCCGCACTCGTAGAACCTCTTCGTCAGGTGCAGCCTCCGGTGGATGCTGAAGCCCTTGGGCCACCGGAAGGACTTGCCGCACTCGGCACAGGTGTAGGGCTTCTCCCCGCTGTGGACCCTCTGGTGGTGGCTGAGGTTCTCCTTGGTCCGGAAGGCTTTGCCGCAGTCCGCGCAGTAGAACGGCCGCTCCCCGGTGTGCACCAGCTGGTGTCTGAGAAGGTTGGACTTCTGCTTGAAGGCTTTCCCACAGTCGCCACACGAGTAGGGCCTGTGCTCGGTGTGGACCTTGCGGTGCTGAGCCAGGCGGTCCTTCAGGCTGAACGCCTGCCCGCAGGCCTCGCAGCAGAAGGGCTTCTCGCGCGTGTGGTTCTTCTGGTGGCGCTGCAGGTTTGAAGCCCACCGGAAGGTCTGGCCGCACTCGGGGCACTCGAAGGCCTTGGTTCCCGTGTGCACCGTCTGGTGAGCGAGCAGCCGGCTGTGGCAGCTGAGCGCCTTCCCGCACGTGCCGCAGATGAATGACAGCTCTACTGCGCGCTGCTTCCGGCGCTCTCTGCGGCCCGGCCGCCGCCCACAACGCTGCGTGAGCACCTGACACGGGAAAGCCGTGGGCTTGGCGTCTGTCCTTTCTGGAGCAGCTCTGGGAAGCTGCCCGTCATCCGTGTCCAGCCTGAAGCCCTTCCTAAAGCTGCTTCCTTCCCTGGCTCTTTCTCGCCGCACGTGGGTTTTCTTGTGAGCCCAAGCTGGATGATCACAAGGTCTCTTGGGGTCTGCAGACTTCCTTGCCCCTGTGGAAGGAACAGACACCCTTACACAGAGCCAGTGGCCCACAGCCAGGCAGTGCCTCCAGCAAAGCCCAGAGGAGGCCGGGCGCGGTGGCTCACGCCTGTAATCCCAGCACTTTGGGAGGCCGAGGCGGGTGGATCATGAGGTCAGGAGATCGAGACCATCCTGGCTAACAAGGTGAAACCCCGTCTCTACTAAAAAAAAAAAAATACAAAAAATTAGCCGGGCGCAGTGGCGGGCGCCTGTGGTCCCAGCTACTCGGGAGGCTGAGGCAGGAGAATGGCGTGAACCCGGGAAGCGGAGCTTGCAGTGAGCCGAGATTGCGCCACTGCAGTCCGCAGTCCAGCCTGGGCGACAGAGCGAGACTCCGTCTCAAAAAAAAAAAAAAAGCCCAGAGGACCCTCCTGCTGTGTGCGTGGACTGGCTTCCATTGACTCAGCTCATTCCACATGGTTACGAGTGATCAGGAAAACTCGTTCAAAGAAACACAGATGAGCCACAGGTATCAACAGCGGAAGCCAAGATGAGCTCAGATGCTTCCCCAGCCCCGGTGGTACGCAGGCCACCCGGCACTGCTGACGTGAGGGAGAGCCGACACATGCCTGCCAACCAACAGAAGCAACTGGGCCAAGAGAATGTCCTTTCACCCTGTCCACGCCAGCAGGCCCCACTCATGCGGGTGGAGGTGGTGCTAGGATGTCGTCTAGAAGACGGGTAGCTCCACCTGATTCTCAACCACTCAGCCTCAGAGCCATGGCTCCCTTCAGCCGGGGGCTCCACACACCCGGGGATGCGACACCTCCCCAGCCGGGGGCTCCACACACCCGGGGATGCGACACCTCCCCAGCCGGGGGCTCCACACACCCGGGGATGCGACACCTCCCCAGCCGGGGGCTCCACACACCCGGGGATGCGACACCTCCCCAGCCGGGGGCTCCACACACCCGGGGATCCGACACCTCCCCAGCCGGGGGCTCCACACACCCGGGGATGCGACACCTCCCCAGCCGGGGGCTCCACACACCCGGGGATCCGACACCTCCCCAGCCGGGGGCTCCACACACCCGGGGATCCGACACCTCCCCAGCCGGGGGCTCCACACACCCGGGGATGCAACACCTCCCCAGCCGGGGGCTCCACACACCCGGGGATCCGACACCTCCCCAGCCGGGGGCTCCACACACCCGGGGATCCGACACCTCCCCAGCCGGGGGCTCCACACACCCGGGGATCCGACACCTCCCCAGCCGGGGGCTCCACACACCCGGGGACCTGACACTCCAGAGTCAGGGGCTCCACACACCCAGGGACCTGACACTCCACAGTCGGGGGCTCCACACACCTAGGAACCTGACACTCCACAGTCGGGGACTCCACATACCCGGGGACCTCCCAGGGCTCGTGTTCACATAGCTGCTCCATCCCACTCTGAAAATGTAAGTAAAAAGCAAAACCCTGCTGACAACTGCCCCAAGAGCAACCCTCACCTAATGGAGGGAAGCATGGCCACTGTCCCAGTTTTGCAAACAAGGACGTGGAGCAAACTCCTACCCAGAGCCACATACCTGGAGACCCTCACGTGCAGTCAGTACCAGGCCTGGGACCCCACATGGCCATCACAGGGAGGTCAGACACCCACACCAATGGCCTCCGCCGGACAGCACCTGGGTGGCTAGGTGCAGGCTTCAAGTGTCACTCCAGCCTCAGGCCCCTCCGAGCTGCAGCTGTATGTCATCCTGCAGCACTATGCCTTTCGAGCCCCACCCCCGGCCAGTGTCCATCAGGGCAGGAGCGTGGCTGCCCCTACGTCTCTAATGCCTGTCTAATTTAGAGAGCAGCTGTGTGTCTGCTCTCCCATGGGAAGGACACACCCTTGGTCACTGCAGCGTGCTGAGCACTACCCAGGAGCTGTGGGCCACAGGGACGGGGCCCGCCGAGCCCAGACAGCCCAGCACTCACCTGGCCGGGGTCCCCTCTGCACTGCCTGGAACTCAGGTCTCTCCCGGTCTTCAACCCACGGCTCCTCCCACTGTTCCAGGCGAGAGACGAGGTCTGGTCTGGGGCTGCAAAATCCTTCTCAAAGGAGAGAAAAGTTTCTGTTTTACTTGTACTGAGGACAAAGTGAGGGTCGAGGCTCAGAGCAGTTGTGCATCAGCCTAAGACGCCAGGCCAGCCCTCGGGAGGCCCTGGAGAAGCCACCCCAAAGCAGAGATGACAGGAAGGGAGGGGCCTGGACACCAAGGCCCACGGAAGGCCCTGGCAAGGTCAGAGGAAGGAAGATGAGGCTGCCTCCAGGGAGCCCGAGAGAAACGCTGAGTGGGCCCCTCTGTCTACATAAGCCAATAACTTCTAGCTCCTGAGCCCCCTCAGCTGGGAGGCCCCACTACTGTCCTGGACGAGCTGGGCCCAGAGGCAGCGGCAGAGCTCTCCCAGCACTCACCCTGTGCTCACGCTGCGCTCAGCCCGTGCTCACCCAGAGCAGCCACACTGCTGAAGTTGTCCAGCATCACGTCCCGGTAGAGGGCCCTCTGGCTGGGTTCCAGACACGCCCACTCCTCCCTTGAGAAGTAGATGGCCACGTCCCTGAAGGTCACTGGCTCCTGCAACACACACAGCTCCCGAAGAGGCCATTCCCAAGAAAAAGAAGGCTCAGCCCACAGGTCTGGGTGGGAAGGGGGAATGGGAGTGGCCCTGCGGTGGACTGATTGTTTGTGTCCCCTAAATCCATTCACTGAAGCCCAGAGCCCCGAGTGGCTGTGTCTGGAGATGGGCCTCTGTGGAAGAGATTAAGGTTAAGTGAGGTCAGAAGGGAGGGGCCCTGACCCATGGACCTGGTCCTCACAGGAGACTCCAGAGAGCCCCCCGGCTCCCTCCCCGCACACGCGTGAACACAGCACAATAGTGGCCCCCACCAGAAACCAGATCTGCAGCATCTGATCTTGGACGTCAGCCTTTGGAACAGAGGAAGTGCATGTGTGTAAACCACCCACTGTGTCATGTTTGGTTACGGTAGCTCTAGTGGACTAAGAGAATCTAGTCTACTTTCCTACAACAGCCACTACTCTCCTAGTGTCAATGAATCCAATTTTCTTTTCTTTTTTTTTTTCTTTTTTGAGACGGAGTCTTGCTCTGTCACCAGGCTGGAGTGGTGGCACGATCTTGGCTCACTGCAACCTCCGCCTCCCAGGTTCAAGCAATTCTCCTGCCTCAGCCTCCCGAGTAGCTGGGCCTACAGGTGCGTGCCCAGCTAATTTTTTGTATTTTTAGTAGAGATGGGGTTTCACCGTGTTAGCCAGGATGGTCTTGATCTCCTGACCTCGAGATCCACCTGCCTCAGCCTCCCAAAGTGCTAGGATTACAGGCGTGAGGCATTGCGCCTGGCCCCAATTTTCTTTTTCTTTCCCCACCCCTTAAGAGAGAAGGCAGAAAGGCAGACACGGGCACAGTGCCTGGGAAGCCACTGCCACAGACCCTCCCCGCGTGTGTGCTGGGGTCTCAGGCAGCCAGCAGGGCAGAAGGGAGGCTGCGCTCGGCAGCAGCAGGGCTCACCTGGGCCATGTCCATGGGAACAGCGAGGCCACCCCTCTGGGGAAGCACAGTGCCAAGGAGGGCAGATCTGGGGAGACAAGAAATGTAAGCGGGTATAGCCGGCCTGGGAATGCCCCCCGCACCTGACCCCAGGAGCCCCCCCACTCAGCAAATCACGGGGAATTCAGGAAAAATGAGTGATGCACACACAGGGTCTGCTCTGTAACTACTGACAGCCACCAGGTGTGGGGAAACTTGGCAGTGGTGAGGGGCCAACATATCTTTAAGGGACAGCTGGGTACAGTGTGCCACCTCCACAAACAAGAACTCTGAAATACCAGACAGCAAGCCAGGCCTGTCACCAGAGGAGGACAGGCCAGCCATTGCTGGCTGAAAGCCAACAGCTTAGCTGCAAACACATGACTGGAGAGTCTAACCGCAACTGAGGCAGCGGAGGCTCCTCCTCAGGAGACAGGCGGGCAGCCCGTTCCCACAGCACTGTGCCAGGAGGATGCTCTCGGGTACGCTACAAGGAGGCCACCTCGCAGCCTTCCCCCAAGTGAAAACCTGGTGCAGCCCCGAGAAACCCCAATAATGTTCACTGAGTCTCCAGATCAAGCCACAAGATCCCCTAAACCTTAGGGCCCCAGCCCGCTGAGATCCAGCTTCTACCCCCAGGTCTGTAGAGAACCACCCTGGCATCCCACTGCCCTCCTGCCACAGTGGGTCCTGCCTCCTTCGTGAGTAAAGCTCAGAGCCCCAAGATGCAGAAGAGGCCAGCCCCACAGGCACCCCTGAGAAGAGACAGAACCAGCTGGAGGAAGATAGCCCATGCCTGGTTACCTCGTCAGGGGAGGGGAGGAGATGTCACTCTAGACCCTACAGACATGGAAGTATCCTAAAGGGCCGTCAGGAGCAACTCATGCAAACAGGTTCAGCAACTGAGATGAAACAGACAAACTCGATGAAAAACACAGTATCATGAAACTGACAAAAGAAAGGGAAGCCTTCCATCTGATAAGGCAATTGAAAATGTAACTGGAACCCTTCCCACACAGAAAATACCACACCCAGCTGGATTCCCTGGTAAACTCCACCAAAGCCTACGGAAGCACAGTACTGATCTTAGAAGCTATTTAGTGAACAGAGGAAGAGCAGACGCTATCCAGTCTGTCTTAATGAGGCCAGCAAAACCCAAACCGAAAACCTGACAGAGATATTACAAGGGGCCAAGCACAGTGGCTCACGCCTGTAATCCTAACACCCTAGGAGGCTGAGGCAGGAGGACTGTTCGAGCCCAGCAGTTGCCCAGCCTGTCTCTATAAACAATACAATAATTAGCGGGGCGTGGCAGTGCACATATGCAGTCCCAGCTACTCAGGAGGCTGAGGTGGGGGGACTGCTTGAATATGGGAGGCGGAGGTTGCAGTGAGCTGAGATCATGCCAGTGCACTCCAGCCTGGATGTTAGACTGAGACGCTGTCTGAAAAAAAAAAAAAAAAAAAAAAAGATATTACAAAAAAATTACCTACCAAACTCTCATAAACACAAATTCTCAAAAAATATTAGGAAGCCAAATCCAGCAGTTTATAAAAAGAATTCTCTGTCATGACCAAGTGACATGGACCCTAAGAGTACACAGCTGGTTTGATCCCCATTAACTGCAGTTGGTGCCCAGGAGGCTCCCTCCACCACCTGCACTCAACACTCACTGCATGGGGCGGCTCCCTCGGCGTTCACCCCTGACCCCTCGTCCCTCCCACCTCCAGCACAGCAGGTACACAGACATTCCCTTTCTCCTTCTGACACTCACAGGTGGTTACATTAACTGCTACATGTTTTCATGAATATGCTTTTCAACTTGATATTTTTTTTTCACTCTTTCAACAGCATAGCATCAACTTTAATCACAATGTTAATCCCCAACATTTGCTGTCATTTGAAAATGACATAACTCCATCCTGGCTAACACGGTGAAACCCCATCTCTACTAAAAAACAAAAAATTAGCCGGGCGTGGTGGCACGAGCCTGCAGTCCCAGCTACTCGGGAAGTTGAGGCAGGAGAATGGCACGAACCCGGGAGGCAGAGCTTGCAGTGAGCCGAGATCACGCCACTGTACTCCAGCCTGGGCAACAGAGTGAGACTCCATCTCAAAAAAAAAAAAAAAAAAAAGAAAATGATATAACTAACCAAATTAACAGAATAAAGGAGAAAACCATATAACAGCTATTATCTCAATAGCTGCAGAAAAGGCATTTGTTAAAATTCAACACCTAATCCCAACAAAAACTCTCAGCAAACAAGGAACAGAAGAGAACTTCTTCAACCCGGCAGACCTGCAACCAACATCCTGCTTCATGGGCCACTACGGAGCTCTTTCCCTCTGAGACCAGGAAAAAGCAGGGCTGTCTGCCCACTGCTTCTCTCTGTCACCTTATTGGAGGCCTGAGTCAGTGCAAGGAGGTAGAAAAAACACATAAAGCCATAAGATTACAAAGAAAGAAGTAGGTCGGGCGTGGTGGCTCATGCCTAGAATCCCAGCACTTTGGGAGGCTGAGGCGGGTGGATCACCTGAGGTGGGGAGTTTGAGACCAGTCTGGCCAATATGGCAAAACCCTGTCTCTACTAAAAATACAAAAATTAGCCAGGCATGGTGGCAGGCACCTGTCATCCCAGCTACTTGGGAAGCTGAGGCAGGAGAATCGCTTGAACCCGGGAGGTGGAAGTTGCTGTGAGCCAAGATCGCACCCCTGCAGTCCGGCCTGGGGAACAAGAGCAAAACTCCGTCTTAAAAACAAAAACAAAAACAAACAAACAAAAAACACAAACTGGAGGTAGAGGTTGTAGTGAGCCAAGATTGTGCCACTGCACTCCAGCCTGGGTGACACAGAGAGACCATCTTCACAACATTGGGGTAGACAAACATTTCTTTCATGGATCCCTAAAAGCACTTTTAAAAAATTACAAATTCAGGCCGGATGCAGTGGCTCACGCCTGTAATCCCAGCACTTTGGGAGGCCGAGGTGGGCGGATCACCTGAGGTACGGAGTTTGAGACCAGCCTGGCCAACATGGAGAAACCCCATCTCTACTAAAAATACAAAATTAGCCAGGCGTGGTGGCACTTGCCTGTCATCCCAGCTGCTCAGGAGGCTGGGGCAGGAGATTCACTTGAACCCAGGAGGCAGAAGTTGCGGCGAGCCGATATCGCGCCATTGCACTCCAGCCTGGGCAACAAAAGCAAAGCTCCGTCTCAAAAAAAAAAAAAAATCACAAATTGGATTTATCAGAATTAAAAATTTTTGTTTACCAAGGCAGTTAAGAAAAAAAAAAAAGGAGACGGGGTGCAGTGGCTCACGCCTGTAATCCCAGCACTTTGGGAGGCTAAGGCAGGGGGATTGCTTGAGGCCAGGAGTTTGAGACCAGCCTGGGCAACATAGGGAGACCTCTGTCTCTATTGTTTAAATTTTTTTTTCTAAAAAGAGACACAAAGGTAAGCCACAGACTAAGAGAAAATATTCCCAATACATGTATCTGACAAAGGACTTATATAAAGAATTGTAACTCCTACAAATCAATAAAAAAGAGAAATAAAATTTAAACTGGGCAAAATATTAGAACAGACACTTCAACCAAAGTTATACAACGGTCTATAAAAACATGAAAAGGCACACTGAGCACATGGGTCATGGGTGGTGTTTTCCAATTAGAACACCTTGCTGAGTTCCTCTAGCAAGTAGCAATGACCACAGTGATAAAAATAACAGCTCCCGGCCATTCGCGGTGGTTCACGCCTGTAATCCCAGCACTTGGGGAGGCCGAGGCAGGTGGATCACCTGAGGTCAGAAGTTCGAGACCAGCCTGGCCAACATGGTGAAACCCCATCTCTACTACAAATGCAAAAAATTAGCCAGGCTACTTGGGAGGCTGAAGCAGGAGAACTGCTTGAACCCGGGAGGCGGAGGTTGCAGTGAGCCGAGATTATGCCACTGCACTTCAGCCTGGGAGACAGAGCGAGACGATCTCAAAAAAAACAAAAACAAAAACAAAAAAAAAACACCCTCTCCCCTCAGCTCAACAGCTGTGTTTGCACAACCTGGACTGGGCTTCCCAGCCTGGAAAGCAGAGTCAGGGAGAACCGTGAGATAGGCCAGGAAAGGGGCTAAAGCCAGATTCCTCAAGGCCTCCTGAGCCGTGGTTTCATGTGTAATGCAACAAAGTTTAATACGGGAGAACAGAAGGATATTGTCATAGCTACTTTTTTTCCCCTAGGCAAATTAACACAGGATTTTTTTTTCTCTGAGGCAGGTCCTTGCTCTGTCACCCAGGCTGGAATGCAGTAGTGCAATCACAGCTCACTGCAGCCTCGACCTCCTGGGCTCAAGTGATCCTCCCACCTCAGTCTCCCCAGTAGCTGGGACCAAAAGCGCATGTGCCAACATGCCCTGCAATTGTTTTAAGTTTTTTGCAGAAACGGGGTCTCACTATGTTGCCAAGACTGATCTCAAACTCCTGGCCTCAAGAGATCCTCTGGCCTCAGCCTCCCCAAGTGCTGGGGTTACAGGCGTCAGCCACAGCATCCGGCCTAAGCTACCTTTTTTTTTTTTTTTTTTTTAATAAGATGATGTCTCGCTCTGTCGCCCAGGCTGGAGTGCAGTGGCGCGATCTCTGCTCACTGCAACCTCTGCCTCTTGGGTTCAAACGATTCTCTTGCCTCAGCCTCCCCAGAGTAACTGGGATTACAGGCGTGCACCACCACACCCGGCTAATTTTTGTATTTTTTGTAGAGACAAGGTTTCAACATGCTGACCAAGCTGGTCTAGAACTCCTGGACTCAAGTGATCCACCTGCCTCGGCCTCCCAAGAGCTGAGATTACAGGCGGGAGCCACCTTGCCTGGCTAAGCTACATTTTATAAAAGATCCTCTGTGATGAACAAATGAGAAAGCAGCAAAACAGGATGGGGGTGGGGAGAAGACAGGGAGGCGTTCAGGTGAGAGAGGAAGACGGCCAGGATTGGGACTTACAGGGTGGGAATGGCAAGGAGGCAAATGGTTCAGTTATGGAGCTAACGCACCAGTGACTGTGTGGCTGGGCGTGGGCAGGAAAGGAGAAGAAGCGAATCTCGGGTTTCTGCCTCCTCCCCTTCGCGGTGGAATGCCTGGGAGGACCAGAGGGTGGGGTGTGGAGGTTGCAGGAGCTCAGCCTGGGGCCGGGGAGCTTTGGGTGTTATGAATCAAGTCTAAGCGCTCGGGTCTCATCGGAGCGATAGGGCTGGAGACACAGGTGTGGAAAGTGTCTATGAGGGATAACTAAGGTCACGATCGCGGACGGGGTCGGCCAGGAAGAAACCAGCTTCAAGAGGATACGCAACCGGGTCCTGACAAACCTGCAAGTGTAAGGAGCGAGGAGAGAAGAGGAGGCCGAGCCGGAAGAAGCTGAAGAACAGCCCCCGAATAGCCGAGGGCACGGGCAGCCTCCCCGGTCTGTCCCAGCAGCCGCGACGCTGGGTCTCACAGCCCTGGGGCGGCCGCAGAATTAGAAGGTTTGACAGCCCACGACCCAGGGACGGAGGGGCGGCGGGGGACACGGGCGCACTCACCACAGGGGCGTCCTCCACTAGGATGCTGCATCCACTACGCCGCGCCGGTAGCCCAGACTTTTACAAACTTCCCGAGCGGAAGTTGTTATCCGAAAGCTTCCGGCCCCTCTAGGAGCCCACGTCTCGGTGGTGCGCGCTGGCCTTCCAGGCCGTCCAGGCCGCCCGCCTCGCCCCGCACCGCTTGTGGTTCCGCCGCAGCCGGCAGGCCCCGCCCCGGTCACAGCCAAGCGCCACGACGCCCGGCTGATTTTTTTGTAATTTTAGTAGAGACGGGGGTTTCATCATGTTGGTCAGGCTGGTTTTGAACTCCTGACCTCAGGTGATCCGCCTGACTTGGCCTCCCAAAGTGCTGGGGTTACAGGCGTGAACCACCGATCCCGGCCCTCATAACCTAAAGTCGGCCTAAAGGTTTATCCTACAAAGTGAACTGTAACCTAACTGGAGGTGTGAACAGACTGTCACTTGCTCTCCTGCCAGTCACCCAGTTCCAGCCAATCAAGGGTGTAGGGTCCAGCCCTGCGGGGCTAAGCGGGTGTTGTCCCCGTGTGCGGAGATGAGAGATTGTAATAAATAAAGACACAAGACAAAGAGATAAAGAGAAAACAGCTGGGCCCGGGCGACCACTACCATCAAGACGCAGAGACCGGTAGTGGCCCCAAACGGCTGGGCGCGCTGATATTTATTGCATACAAGACAAGGGGCCAGGGTAAGGAGGGTGAATCTTCTAAGTGATTGACAAGGTGAAGCAAGTCACATGATTACAGGACAGGGGGCCCTTCCCTCTTAGGTAGCGGAAGCAGAGAGAGAAGGCAGCATAAGTTAGCATTAATCAAAGACTTTAAGACTTTCACTATTTCTTCTACCGCTATCGACTACGAACTTCAAAGAGGAACCAGGAGTACAGGAGGAACACGAAAGTGGACAAGGAGCGTGAACATTGAAGCACCACAGGGAGGGGTTTAGGCCTCCGGATGACTGCGGCCAGGCCTGGGTAATATCCAACCTCCCACAAGAAGCTGGTGGAGCAGAGTGTTCCCTGACTCCTCCAAGGAAAGGAGACTCCCTTTCGCAGTCTACTAAGCAACGGGTGACTTCCCAGACACTGGCGTTAGGGCTTGACCAAGGAGCCCTCAAGCAGCCCTGATGTGGGAGTGACAGAAGGCTCACCTCTTGCCTTCTAGGTCACTTCTCACCATGTCCCTTCAGCACCCGACCCTATATCCGCCGGTTATTCCTAGGTTATATTAGTAATGCAACAAAGAGTAATGGTAAAAGCTAATGATTAATAATGTTTATAATAATGATTGATAATTGTTCATGGTCATCTCTATATCTAATTTGTATTATGACTATTCTTATTCTAACTATTTTCTTTATTATACTGAAACAGTTTGTGCCTTCAGTCTCTTGCCTAGGCACCTATGTAATACTCCACCCACACAAGGGTGGCCAACTGTTCAAACCTAGACACGCCTTTCTATAGATTCCAGGTCTTAGGTAATCACTTAACTTATTCAACCAATTGCCAATCAGAAAATCTTTGAATCCACCTATGACCTGAAAGCATCCAAAGTATAGCCAAGAAATATATTTAAAAGTAAAATAGGCCGGGCACGGTGGCTCCCGCCTGTAATCTCAGCACTTTGGGAGGCCGAGGCGGGTGGATCACGAGGTCAGGAGATCGAGACCATCCTGGCTAACATGGTGAAACCCGTCTCTACTAAAAATACAACAAATTAGCCGGGCATGGTGGCGGGCGCCTGTAGTCCCAGCTACTCGGGAGGCTGAGGCAGGAGAACGGTGTGAAACCCAGAGGCGGAGCTTGCAGTGAGCCGAGATCGCGCCACTCCATTCCAGCCTGGGCGACAGAGTGAGACTCCGTCTCAAAAAAAAAAAAAAAAAAAGAGTAAAATATTTTGATTTCCTTTATCTGTCATGTGACGTTATGCTAGAGTCAGGTTGGAAACTAAGCCAATTATATAGGGTTAAATAAAACCTATCTGATGACATTTTATGGTTTGTAGGGCAGACTCCCCAGGCCCTTTAGATAAGAACTTGAGCAAGAGAGAAAAAGATCAGTTTAGTCCTCACTAGTAAAGGAGTGATAGCGACAGGAGGCAGGCAGCCAAATGCCCAGCCAAATGGGGGCAGGTCCCCAGTGAAACCTCCACCTCGACGCTGAAAACAGCTTAAAGCCTGAAAGCCAAGCTGCAAGTCGAATCCTCAGACCGGATTGAGAGCCTGTCTTCCTGTCTGGCGCACTTTCCTCTGATTGGTCCCACCCTTCACCTATTTTACATATACCTACCCTTTTCTAATTGGCTTTCTACACTGTCATGCCCACCTTTCAGTGGTGCCTTTGCTTTAACCTTTTTTGCATTACTCACAAACCAATCAGCACGCCCTCCCCATTCTGAGTCCATAACATGGGGAACTTTCCTGCCTTCATGTAGGGGGACCACGCCATGTCCCCTCTCCACTGAAAGCTGCCCCGTCACCCAGTGAAATTCCCCGCCTTGCTCACTCTTCGATTGTCAGAGCCTCCTCATTCTTCTTGGCCGTGGACAAGCATTCGGGAACTCGGGGGAGTTGACGGGCTGTCTCCTGCAGCAGGTAGTGTGTCAAGCGAGGCCCTGGCGGGGCGTCGCTGGCCGGAGGTCCCTGGCTTGCAGAATGACTGAGAACAACATCCTATGTCAATAGGAATGTCTTCAAAATTGTTAGTTACATATAATTTAATACTTGTTGATTTGCTGTTACTTATGTTTTTGGTTTTGAGCCTCTGGAATCGGGGCTGGACAGGTGGCCATGGTGAGGTCTGGGGACAAGTTCTCAGTGCCTCGACCAGCAGCTCCCAAGCAGAATCCAGCCCCATGTGGTCCCCTTTCGCCAGTTTTGCCTCCTGGCTATTCTGGGAGAGGTTGGATCCTCCAGGCATTGCCTTCACAGCTCTGTCTTCTGTCCTGAGCTCTAACCTAGGATGTAACTTCGGGCCTCAGACAGCCTTGACAGCCTCCCTGGGTGCCACATGGCTACTTGAGACCCAGCAGGCCTGGGAAAGACTGTAGGGAGGGCACCTGTGTCATAGCTTCATGCAGGGAGCCGAAGGCCCGTGGGACGTGACCAACTCAGCATTCCGCTGGAGGCTCTATGATCAAACAGCAAACTGTTTACCATGAATGCAGGATGTGGGTGAACTCACACTGCCCTGCCACCAAAAGGTTTGCTGAGGGCCTCGCTCCCTGGCTCTGGGCTCCTTGAAGTTATCTATTGAGAAATACTCTATTGTCCAAAGGATGCAGCCTGTTCAAGGCCGACTGACAATTACCCGACAATCACCCCCCTTTTCTCACTATCTCTTTTGCCTAATAGATACGGAGGGCTGTGTAAAGCTCAGGGCCCTTGTCCACTAGAGGCAAGGTGCCCCCTGACGCCCTCTTCCAAATATACTCTTTTGTCTCTTGTCTTTATTCCCGAGTTCGCCCCCTTTGTTCAGTCCCCTTAGGTCCGTGCAGGTTACAAGTGGCGCCCCGATCAGCGATAGAATCGGGTGCTCAACACTTTCAAAACTGTTTTTTTTTTTCGGATGGAGTCTGACTCTGTTGCTCAGGCTGGAGTGCAGTGGTGCAATCTCGGCTCACTGCAAGCTCCACCTCCTGGGTTCAAGTGATTCTCCAGCCTCAGCCTCCCGAGTAGCTGGGACTACAGGGGCCCGCCACCATGCCCAGCTAATTTTTTGTATGTTTTGTAGAGACAGGGTTTCACCATGTTGGCTAAGCTGGTCTCGAACCCCTGACCTCAGTTGATCTGCCTGCCTTGGTCTCCCAAAGTGCTGGGATTACAGACGTGAGCCACTGTGCCCGGCCAAGACCCCATCTCTTAAAACATTGGGAAGAAAAAAATCTATAATATTATAAAAGCTGTATGGGCCAGGTGCGGTGGCTCATGCCTATAATCCCAGCACTTTGGGAGGCCGAGGCGGGCAGATCATAGGTCAGGAGTTCGAGGCCAGTCTGGCCAACAGGGTGAAACTCCATCTCTACTAAAAATACAAAAAATAGCCGGGCGTGGTGGTGCGTGCCTATAGTCCCAGCTACTCAGGAGGCTGAGGCAGAAGAATTGCTTGAACCCAGGAGGCAGAGGTTGCCGTGAGCTTGTAGCAGGACAAGATGCAGACAAAACTCTCAGACACCAAGTCAAAGAAGGAAGGAGTTTATTTGGCCGAGAGCATTGGCAAGACTCCTGTCTCAAGAGCCGAGCTCCCTGAGTGAGCAATTCCTGTCCCTTTTAAGAGCTCACAACTCTAAGGGGGTCCGCGTGAGAGGGTCGTGATCAATTGAGCAAGCAGGGGGTACGTGACTGGGGGCTGCATGCACTGGTAATCAGAACGGAACAGAACGGGACAGGGATTTTTACAATGTCTGGAATCTATAGGTAACACAACCGGTTAGGTCAGGGGTCAGTCTTTAACTACCAGGCCCAGGGTGCGGCGCCGGGCTGTCTACCTGTAGATTTCATTTCTGCCTTTTAGCTTTTACTTCTTCTTTCTTTGGAGGCAGAAATTGGGCATAAGAGGATATGAGGGGCAGTCTCCTCCCTTATTCCCCCTCTTTGAGACTCTCACTCATTTTATTAGTGGGAGTTCTCACCTTCTTCCTCACTAGCTATGTCTTCCTGCATGACAGAGCGATAGTGATTCATGAAGTACACTTGTGCTGAAGCATTCTTTTTTTTTTTTTTTTTTTTTTTTTTTTTGAGACGGAGTCTTGCTCTGTCGCCCAGGCTGGAGTGCAGGGGCGCGATCTCGGCTCACTGCAAGCTCCGCCTCCCGGGTTCACGCCATTCTCCTGCCTCAGCCTCCTGAGTACCTGGGACTACAGGCGCCCGCCACCATGCCCAGCTAATTTTTTTTTTTTGTATTTTTAGTAGAGACGGGGTTTCACCGCGTTAGCCAGGATGGTCTCGATCTCCTGACCTCATGATCCGCCTGCCTCAGCCTCCCAAAAAGCTGGGATTACAGGCGTGAGCCACCGCGCTCGGCTGTGCTGAAGCATTCTGGTGAACTAGAGTAGTGATGAAACCTTTTACCATTTGAAGGAGTACAGGTAGTAAACAACGGATCAGTAAGCAGGTTCTTATTACTACTGTAATTTTTATTATAAGAGTTTTAAATCCTCTTAGCGCTGGGAACCATTTTCAAACATGGCCTCAGGATCAAATCCGTGCCACGCTTGTACAGGCACATGTGCCAGTTTCGTCATGTCTTTAACTGTATCTTCAACTACTTGCCCCGATCATGTATGTGCAGGCAGCAATTGGTAAGGTTCAATTTCCCACAGACTTCTCCTTCAGCTGCTAGCAAGTAGTCGAGAGTCAATTTATTTTGATAGATAGCATTTCTCATCTGAGTTTCTTGCCGGGCCAGAATAGTCAAGGCTCTGCCGGTCCTATTAGTGATTATTTCTAAGACAGCTTGTAACCGTATGATTTGGTTGAGCATGTAGATGGGGGTCCGGTATCCCCACAAGCCATCTTGTGCCCAAGTAGCAGGCCTATAATATTCCATCATTCTCTCAGGGGGCCATTTATTATCTTTCTTATTTTTTTATAGCTATGCTTCTCTTTTCGCGGGAAACATAGGGAAGCCCAGGAGTTCACCTGTCTTTATAGGCAGTAGGAAGAAAGATGGTTTAATAGTGCCAATCACACAACTGCCTGCCCACTGGTCGGGTAATTTGGTGTAAGGCCTATGCCCACACATTCAGTATAATCCAGTGGGGGCTGTCCAGTCTCGGTGGGACTCCGGATGGGTCCACACGGTTTGCAACTTTGGGAATTTACTAAATGGATTTTTCTTAGTATGGTTTGAACTCCACTAGGTGGCTGTTTTTGTAGTACCATTATACAGTTTTTGCCTAAGGCAGCTGAGTCGTCCTACAGGAAGGGTGAAGTCCTTCCTTACTCTTTTTTTTTTTTTTTTTTTTTTGAGACGGAGTCTTGCTCTGTCACCCAGGCTGGAGTGCAGTGGCGTGATCTCAGCTCACTACAAGCTCTGCCTCCCGGGTTCACGCCATTCTCCTGCCTCAGCCTCCCGAGCAGCTGGGACTACAGGCGCCCGCCACCACGCCTGGCTAATTTTTTATATTTTTAGTAGAGACGGGGTTTCACCGTGTTAGCCAGGATGGTCTCCATCTCCTGACCTTGTGATCCGCCCGCCTCGGCCTCCCAAAGTGCTGGGATTACAGGCGTGAGCCACCGCGCCCGGCCCCTTACTCTTGCTATACAGTATTGTCTAGTGATTGAGGCTTTTAGGACCCGGAAGTTATCAGGGTGATTTTTCTGAGCCAGGAATTCGTCAGGAACTGGGTCTGTAGGTACTAATTCTTGGGCTTCCCGTGGCCATTGGTCTTTTATTATAGTTCCTCCACACACATAGCATGAAGTGACATTGAGAGACTGGGCTACATGGTCAGCTAATTGCAAACAAATTTCTTATTTTTCCTGGAATTTCTGGTGCTGGCACATTCAGTTCATCATAGAAGGTTTGAAATACTGGCTCAGGAGAGCGTTTATAAACTTCTCCTCAAACCACAATATTTACTTGAAGATCCAGTCCAGCCCCATGAATTTCTAGGGTTATGGCCGGGCACGGTAGCTCACGCCTGTAATCCCAGCACTTTGGGAGGCAGAGGCGGGCGGATCACGAGGTCAGGAGATCGAGACCATCCTGGCTAACACGGTGAAACCCCATCTCTACTAAAAATACAAAAAATTAGCCGGGTGTGGTGGCGGGCACCTGTAGTCCCAGCTACTCAGGAGGCTGAGGCAGGAGAATGGCGTGAACCCGGGAGGCAGAGCTCGCAGTGAGCCGAGATCGCTCCACTGCACTCCAGCCTGGGTGACAGACCGAGACTCCATCTCAAAAAAAAAAAAAAATTCTAGGGTTACACATTTCCTTTTTTTCCAGCGAGGATTAAGGGGGTTGGTTATTACTAGTTCTAAGGGGTTACACTGACCACTGGTATAGGAAGGGCCACTTTTCCTTTTCTGAAGGTGGACAGAATTTTTTTCATTTTTTATCCAAGTAGCCTAAATGACACAAGACCAGTAACTACATTCATTTCCACACAGTCCTAACTCATGATAAATGTACTTATTTTCTGCCATACAGCCTCTTTCCTAATGAAGAGAACCACATCCTATTCCTAACTTATTAGTATTAATGACAGCACAGGCATCACACTTCAAGGTGACTTGTTTGGGCACCTCTTTTTGTTTGTTTTTTTTGGCTAACACTTTACTCATATTGTTTATGAGCCCCCACCAGTCTTTAATTCTTAATCTTATTTGAAAAACTGTGGTCATGGGAGGCTCAGATGGGTCATAACACACATCAGGTTGGTCATTTCCTGGGCACATACCTTGTATAGAATAACATTATACAAACAAGTTCTTTTTAGAGTTCCAGTACACTTATAATAACCGTAAAATAATGGGACTGTAGCAACATTTTGTCCTCCCTCAGTGACTTGATGTATACACTAGGAACAGTCCTCAGTCTGAGGAGGGTGAGTTGAAGTCCTTACTGTACAAGTCCAAATTTTAAGGAAAACGAGTCCTGCGATGAGTTTCCTCATGCTTCGGCCGTGCATGGACCAGTCAGCTTCTGGGCGTGACTGGAGCAGGGCTTGTCGTCTTCCTCAGAGTCACTTTGCAGGGGTTGGCGAAGCTGCTGCTATCCACGTACTGCTCACAGTCTACTGATGTTCAAGGATGGTCTCGGAGGTTGCGCCTGCTAGAATAAACTGAGTCCAACACCTCTACACAGTTATGTTCAACTGGGCTCCCCGATACCGGGAGCAAGGTGCTGGGGTTTAGGGTGTTGCAAACTGCAGTGGTTATGTGGGGATTTTCACACAGCAAGCTTTGGTACTTGGTTAATCTAGCATTTGTTAGCCAATGATGTCCTTTGGGATTCATCAAAGTTACCACAGCATGGGGGGCCTTTATATTCAGGTTTTGTCCAAGAGTTAGTTTATCTGCTTCTTGTGCTAACAGGGCCGTTGCTGCCGGGGCCCTTAGACACGGGGGCCAGGCTTTGGAAACCCCCTATAGTTGTTTAGAGAGATAGGCCACTGCCCTTAGCCAGGGCCCCACAGTCTAGGTTAAAACTCCAAATGCCATTTTTTCTCTTTCTGACACATAGAGTGTAAAAGGTTTTGTCACGTCAGGTAGACTCAGGGCTGGGGCCAACAGGAGTTTTTCTTTTAACTCATGAAAAGCTTGTTGCTGTTGGTTGTAATAGATGTAGTTTATCTAATCTACACTTTTATTAACTGTCACCTACTAAAATATTGACGTAAATCCTATAGCTATTTGATTTCAAGCTTTAATTGATCTGGTGTTCCTTGAGGGGCCCCAACTGCATCCAAATAGACGTGAGAGTTGAAAGACCCATAAGGGGCTTCTCTCGCTTTATGACGTCTTATTTTTTCTCCCTCTGGTTGATGAAATGCCAGGGTGAAAGGGATAGCCAAACGGACTAAAGCACAAGTGCCATTCCAGTTATTCAGCAGAGTGCCCAGTAAAGGTCCACCACAATACCACCACACATCCGCACAGGGATGAACAAGGGCTGACTGATTGATAAGCTCTCGAAAATTCTTAAGCTCATCGCATCCCTTCAGGTCTCCAAGGAATGCTGTTTCCTCCCTGTCGTGAGAGACACGAAGTGAACTTAGTGTTGGGAGACAGAAGCTGGATGGCCCTTGCGGGCTGACCCACAGGGTGCTGGATTTCGGGATATAGCAGAGAGAGCTTGGCACGTCTTGTTACTGCAGGCTGTAGAATCCTGGAAAAGAGCTACTATGCAGCCACGCCTGGTCGACTGGCGACCACCTTAGTGGAGGGGGACAATCTGGGCCTCTGGCCTGCCATGTGCACAAGCGTAACAGTTGCTTTTGTTTAATGTGTAGATGGAATATTTGATCCATTTTAACCAGGCATTTGCACCTTGGTATCCTGTCCTAATTGTTAAAGTTTGTTTTAAGTCTTTAACTTCTATGATCCTCTAGTATTCTCCATTCCCCTCTTCTGCAGCCCTAGAAACCACCGTTCTACTTTGTTTCTATGAATCTGGCTACTGTGGATACCTCGTAGAAATGGAATCACACACAGTATTGGTCCTCTTGTGACTGATTATCTCACTCAGCACAATGTCCTCAAGGTTCATCCCTCTTGAAGCGTGTGTCAGAATTGACTTCTTCTTTAAGGCTAATATTCTGCTGTGTGTCCATACCACATTCGGTGTATCCATTTGTCCATTGACGGACTCTTGAGCCGCTGGGAATGGTGCTGCTGTGAACGTAGGGGTGCAAACGTCTGCGTGAGTGCCTGCTTTCACAGCTCTGGGAATATGCCCAGAAGTGGAATGGCCAGGTCACAAGGTCACTCCAGGCACCACACGCCGAGGACCCGCCGGTCACTCCAGGCACCACACGCCGAGGACCCGACGTCACTCCAGGCACCACACGCCGAGGACCCGCCATGCTGCTCTCCTTAGGAGGTGTACTATGTACTATTTTACATTCCAAACAGCAGCACACAGGGTTCTAGCTTCTCCACAGCCTTGCCAATACCTGTTATTTTTCTGTTTTAAGTTGTTTCTGTTTTGTGTTTGTTTTGTTATTTTAATTGTTTGCCATCCTAATGGGTGTGAGGTGGTATCTCATTGTGGCTTTGATTTGCAGTTCTCTAAGAATGAGTGGTGTGAACATCCTCTCATGTGCTTATTGGGCCATTCTTTTCTTTACTTTTTTTTTTTTTTTTTTGAGACGGAGTCTCACTTTGTCGCCCAGGCTGGAGTACAGTGGCGTGATCTCAGCTCACTACAACTTCCACCTCCTGGGTTCAAGCAATTCTCCTGCCTCAGCCTCCCGAGTAGCTGGGATTACAGGCACCCACCACCACGCCCCGCTAATTTCGTATTTTTAGTAGAGACAAGGGTTTATCCATGTTGGTCAGGCTGGTCTCGAACTCCCAACCTCAGGTGATCCGCCCACCTTGGCCTCCCAAAGTGCTAGGATTAGAGGTGTGAGCTACCACGCCCAGCCTATTGGGCCATTCTTGGGAGAGAGGTCTAATTAGTCCTTTGCCTATTTTTGAATCAGGTTGTTTTTGGGGAGTCGTTTTCTGGAGTGTTCCATGGTAAGTAGGTCTATGTAAACCTGTCTCCAAAGTCCGAGGAAGCTGAGAGGTCAAAGAAAAAGGCTAACAAACCCAGTTTCTTAGAAAGAAACACTTAACAGGGACTTAGAAAAAGAAGCCATGTCTGTCTTGGCAGCGGCAAGAGGAGATACTGGATCCCACCATTGCCCCCGCCCAGGGCTTGTGTACCACGGGGAGGGTTGGGAGGGAAGTGCAGGACAATGGGCGGCATCAGGGCCGTCTGACCCTGCGGCAGGGTTTATAGCAAGTGCCTGCCCTTACACAAGGAACAACAGATCACCTGGAAACGTCGGAGGCCTTCCCTGGACGGGTTAGTCGAAAGCCCACACAATAGTCACCATCCAGGCTGGAGCGGCTTTGGCCTCCACAAGGAGTTCCTTCGATATTTTGGATATGAGTCCCTCATCGGACACGTGATTTGCAGATATTCTCCCGTTCTGTGGGGAAGGGGCAGCTTTTCACTCTTTTAGGAGTGTCCTTTGATGAACAAAAGGCTTTAATTTTCACGAAGCCATTTGGCTGTTTGTTGTTGTTGCCTGTACCTTTGGTGTCCAAGGAATCATTGCCAAACCCAGTGTGTGTCAAAAGCTTCTGCTCCCAGTTTCTAACAAGAGTTTACTGTTTCAGGTCTTGCATCCAGATCTTTGATCCATTTTTACTTTTTATTTTACTTTATTTACTTATTTTTTTGAGACAGTCTTGCTCTGTTGCCCAGGCTGGAGTGCAGTGGCGTGATCTCGGCTCACTGCAACCTCTGCCTCCCGGGTTTAAGGGATTCTCCCACCTCGGTCTCCCAAGTAGCTGGGATTTCAGGTGTGCACCACCACACCTGGCTAATTTTTTTTTGTATTTTTAGTAGAGACAGGGTTTCACCATGTTGGCCAGGCTGGTCTCGAACTCCCGACCTCAGGTGATCCACTCTCCTCAGCCTCCCAAAGTGCTGGGATTACAGGTACAAGCGGTGCAAGCCACGGTGCCCAGCATGATCCATTTCTAGTTAATTTTTGTATGTGGTACTGACGAGGGTCCAACTTCATTCTCTTGCATGTATCACACTTTCCCAGCAACAGCCACTGTAACCTCTACCTCGTGGGCTGAAGCCATCCTCCCGCCTGAGCCCACCACGTAGCTGGGCCTGCAGGAGTGCATCACCACACCTGGCTAACTTTTCAAAATTTTTTGTAGAGACAGGTCTCAATATGGTGCCCAGGCTGATCTGAAATTCCTGACCTCAAGCAATCCTCCAACCTTGGCCTCCCCAAGTGCTGGGATTACAGGCATGAGCCATGGTGCACCCTGGCCCCACCAGGAGATTGTATATCCATGGGTACTGGTGACACTGGGCCTCAATAGAACAATTCCATATATACTGTATATGATTCCATTCACAGGACATTCTTGAAAAGATGGAATTACAGAAATGGGCCAGGCACTGTGGCTCATGCCTGTAATCCCAGCACTTTGGGAGGCTAAGCGAGGTAGGCGGATCACCTGAGGTCAGGAGTTCCAGACCAGCCTGGCCAACATGGTGAAACCTCGTCTCTACTAAGAATACAAAAATTAGCCAGGCATGGTGCATGCCTGTAATCCCAGCTACTTGGGAGGCTTGGGAAAATCTCTTGAACCTGAAAGGTGGAGGTTGCAGTGAGCTAAGATCGCGCCACTGCACTCCAGCCTGGGCAACAGAACAAGACTGTCAAAAAAAAAGAAAGAAAAGAAAAAGAAAGAAAGAGAGAAAGAGAGAGGGGAGGGAAGGAAGGAAGGAAGGGAGGAAGGAAGGAGAAAAAAAGAAAAGAAAAGGAAAGGACAAGAAAAGAAAAAAGAATTACAGAAATGGACAGAACAGATGAATGGTTGCCAGCCCTGAAGGAGGGTTGGAGGGAGGGAGTGGGTGTGGCTGTGGAAGGGTGAGGACCATATCCTGACTCTGTGAACATCAATACCCCAGCTGTGTGCACTGCAGGGTTCCAGGTGCTACCACTGAGGGAGGTAAAGGGTGCCCAGCATCTCTCTGTAAAACACCTTACAGCTGCATGCAAATCTAAAATTATCACAAAAAGCTTAATTAAAAATAAATAAACGTGTTCCTGCCTAGCTGCCTGGTCTAATTAAATTAGGGTGGGTGCATGTGGGACCTGGCTGCCGCAAGTGACGCCAGTCCATAACCGGGGCTGACACCATTGCCTCTGGGGTCCCCACCAGGTCCCCCGCCCTGCGCAAGGCACAGGTTACCTTTACTGCTAAGGTTCTAACTATGTGAACCCCTTCTAAAGGGCGAGCCAGGGAGAGAGGCCCCAGAGGGCCGGCACTCTCCCGAAACCAGCTAGGAGAGGATGCGGACACCACACAGAAGGCCCATCGCACCCCTTTGGTAAACCGTAAGTCTCATAATCCCAGCAGTTCAGGAGGCCGAGGTGGGTGGATCACCTGAGGTCAGGAGTTCAAGACCACCCTGGCCAACATGGTGAAATCCTGTCTCTACTAAAAATACAAAAATTCGTCGGGCATGGTGGCGTGCACCTGTAATCACAGCTACTCAGGAGGCTGAGGCAGGAGAATCGCTTCAACCCAGGAGGCAGAGGTTGCAGTGAGCCGAGATCTCACCACTGCACTCCAGCCTGAGTGACAAGAGTGAAACTCTGTCTCAAAAAAAAAAAAACCCTTAACTAATGGGTACAAAAAAATTAGAAAGAATAAGACCTAGTATTTGATAGCACAACAGGGTGACTATATTCAATAATAATTTAATTGTACATTTTAAAGTAACAGAGTATAATCGGATTGTTTGTAACGCAAAGGATAAATGCTTGAGGGGATGGATACCCCACTATCCATGATGTGACTATTACACTTTGCACGCCTGTATCAAAACGTATACCCCATGGGAGGCTGAGGCAGGTGGATCACTTGAGGCCCGGAGTTCGAGACCAGCCTGGCCAACATGATGAAACCCCGTCTGTACTAAAAATGCAAAAATTAGCCAAGTGTGGCGGTGCTCGTCTGTAGTCCCAGCTACTCGGGGGCTGAGGCAGGAGAATCACTTGAACCTGAGAGGCGGAGCTTGCAGTGGACTGAAATCACGCCACTGCACTCCGGCCTGGGTGACAGAGTGAGACTCTGTCTCAAAAAAAAAAAAAAAAGAAACAAAAACATGTACCCCATAAATACGTACGCCTACTATGTGCCCACAAAAATTCAAAACAACGCAAAACAAAACCTCTTAACACCAAATCCTAAAACTCTTAGTCTTCATATTTGATTTCTTTTTTTGAGGCAAGGGCTTGCTCTGTTGCCCAGGCTGGGGTGCAGCAGCCCGACACAGCTCACTGCAGCCTAGACTTCCTGTTGTCCAGGCTGGTATCAAACTCCTAGACTCAAGCAATCATCCCACCTCAGCCTTCTGAAGTGCTGGGATTATAGATGTGAACCACTCCAACCCCATATTTGATTTTTGTACAGCAACAGTTCCCAGATATAAAAACAGGCTAACCATGATGGCTCACAGCTTTAATACTAGTGCTTTAGGAGACTGAGGCAGGAGGATCATTTGAAGCCAGGAGTTAGTTTGACACTTGCCTGGTCAACATAGTGAGACTTCATTTCTACAAGAAATTTTTTTAAAATTAGCCAGGTGTGGCCAGGCGCAGTGGCTCACTCCTGTAATCCCAGCGCTTTGGGAGGCTGAGGCAGGTGGATCACCTGAGGACAGGAGTTCAAGACCAGCCTGGCCAATATGGTGAAACCCTGTCTCTACTAAAAATAAAAAATTAGCTGGGCGTGGTGGCAGGCGCCTGTAGTCCCAGCTACTCGGGAAACTGAGACAGGAGAATCTCTTGAACACGGGAGGCAGAGGTTGCAGTAAGCAAAGATTGTACCACTGCATTCCAGCCTGGGAGGTTGCAGTCAGCTGAGATCACACCACTGCACTCCAGCCTTGGCAACAGAGTGAGACTCCATCTAAAAAAAAAAAAACACAAACAAACGAAAAAAAGAAAAACAATTAGCCAGGTATAGCATTCCTGTAGTCCTAGCTCTTCAGGAGTGATATGGTTTGGGTCTGTGTCCCCACCCAAATCCCATGTCAACTGTCATCCTCAATGCTGGAGGTGGGGTCTGGTGGGAGGTGATTGGATCATGTGGGCGGATTTCCCACTTGGTGCCCTTCTGGTGATAGTGAGTTCTCTTGAGATCTGGTCTGTTAAAAGTATGTGGCACCCCAGCCTCGGCATCGTCTGGGAAGTGAGGGGCACCTCTGCCCGGGTACCCCCACTGTCTGGGAAGTGAGGAGCGTCTCTGCCCGGGTCCCCCGACTGTCTAGGAAGTGAGGAGCGCCTTTGCCCGGCTGCTGTGCAACCCTCCAAATGTGAAGTGATAGCCTTGTGTGTAATCTTTCTACCTGCCCCAAGTTTGCATTTTCAACATTAAAGTTTACTTTTTAACTAAAAGTTTTAAATTGGAGAATTAAAAAAAAAAAAGTATGTGGCACCTCCCCACTCCTCTCCTCCTCCTGCTCTGGCCATGGAAAACGTGCCCACTTCCTGGGATTACAGGTGTGAGCCACCACACCTGGCAGGAAGTTTTGAAGTAGACTCGACATAATTGGATTTACATTTGTTAGATACAGTGAGTTCCTCTTCAAAGGTTCCACTTTACAGCAAACAACCTTCCAGCCACTCCCAATCTATAACCCAATCTGTAACCCACATCTGTTCCCAATCTGCAGCCCAATCTGTAAAACCCACATCTGTTCCCAATCTGCAGCCCAACCTGTAAAACCCACATCTGTTCCCAATCTGCAGCCCAACCTGTAAAACCCACATCTGTTCCCAATCTGCAGCCCAACCTGTAAAACCCACATCTGTTCCTTATTTGGCCACTGTAGCCGCCCCTGATCCATTTGAAGTAGCCAATGGGGATCGGCTTAGATGGTGTGGTGCGACTCCAGCCAATGGGGACTGGACACAGTAGCAGGGCGTGACTGCTTTAGGGATAAACACCCCTGCCCTGCTTTGTTCGGTGTGCTCTCCCAGTGGCCAGAAGAGAGAGCGGCACTCTTCTGCAGAAGTAAATTTGCCTTGCTGAGAAGGCAAATTTGTGAGCACTCAAAAAAAAGCCAGTGGAAGTTTTTTTTTGTTTGTATTTTGAGATGGAGTTTTGTTCTTGTTGCCCAGGCTGGAGTGCAGTAACACAGTCTTGGCCCACTGCAACCTCTGCCTCCCAGGTTCAAGCGATTCTCCTGCCTCAGCCTCCTGAGTAGCTGGGATTACAGGTGTCTACCACCAGCCCTGGCTAATTTTTTGTGTGTGTTTTTAGTATTTGAGTGCTCATTTTCTTTTTTTTTTTTTCTTTCTTTTCTTTTTTTTTTTTTTCAGACAGAGTCTTGCTCTGTTGCCCAGGCTGGAGTGCAGTGGTGCAATCTCAGGTCACTGCAAGCTCCGCCTCCTGGGTTCACGCCATTCTCCTGCCTCAGCCTCCCGAGTAACTGGGACTACAGGTGCCCGCCATCTTGCCCGGCTAATTTTTTGTATTTTTTTTAGTAGAGACGGGGTCTCACCATATTTGCCAGGATGCTCTAGATCTCCTGACCTCGTGATCTGCCCACCTTGGTCTCCCAAAGTGCTGGGATTACAGGTGTGAGCCACCGCGCCCAGCCTTGAGTGCTCATTTTCTTTGCGACTCCAAGCTCTTATTTCCAACACATTTGAGAGGAAGCTGTCCTTGTGCAGTCTCAGCTGTGTGATTGTGTGGGCCAGCTGTGCAACATGTCAAGTTACTTTACCTTTCTGCATCAGGGCGCAATCAATCAGCAGACAGAAACTGCACAGTCATTTGGGCAAGGAACGTTTAATATAAAGGATTATTTACTATAATGGAATTATCTGTACAGGGCTAAAGATAATGCAAAAGAATACTCTGGGCTGACAGAGAGTTCCCAAGGAAGGAGAAAATGTGAAAGATGGCCTCCTCCCCAAGGCTGGGGCTCAAATCTTGGAAAAGGTGTGGTTGCAGAGATGCTGTTTGGTGCAGTATGGATGATGGAGAGGTTCTCTGGTTTTCCCGTAGCCAGAGCTGGTCCACAGTCAATGGGCAATCACTCCTGCAGGTGTAGAGGGGTTGAAGGTGGCAGGTAGGGAGCCTGGCCAGGACTGGCAAGCAGGAAACACCTCTCTGGGGCAGGCTGAGGCTGGATGCTGACCAGTGGAGCATCTGCAAGACTCACGGGGATCCACCCATGGCATTGCAAGTGAAGTTGGCTGGGGGTGAGCAACACTGAGTGTGCTGGCAGCCACATGGCAGGAACAAGAAGAAAACAGAAGAAAGTGCAGAACAGGAAGAGAAGCACTTTCCTCCTGCAGGGTCCCTCCAGTGCCCTCTACTTACAAAGCTTAACGTCATACCTGCTTTAAAGGAGAAACAATTTAGGGCCCAGCTCCATTTTCACCAAGCAGGCGATGAAGTATGTATTTGAAGCTGAAAGACAGTAAATGGAGAATTGGCAGTTTCAAGCCTCAGTTGGGCCCTTGGTTTTCTCAGTACTCACTCTGTGCCTCCCAACAACTAATCTTCTTTCTGATTCTCCAAGTAGCTCTTTCAACACTCCGTAAAAATCCTATCCACCATCTTTCTTCCCACTTGGAAGAAAACCTTGCCTTTTTTTTTTTTTTGACAGGGTCTCACTCTGTCATTCAGGCTGGAGAGCAGTGGTGCGATCTTGGCTCACTGCAACCTCATCCTCCTGGGCTCAAGAAATCCTCCCACCTCAGCTGCTTGAGTAGCTGAGACAACAGGTGCATGCCGCCACGTCTGGCTAATTTTTGTATTTTTTGTGGACACGAGATTTTGCCATGTTGGCCAGGCTGGTGTCAAACTCCTGGGCATCTGCCTGCCTCAGCCTTCCAAAGTGCCAGGATTATAGACCTGAGCCACCAAGCCTGGATCTTGTCTCTTATTTTACAGGGAAAATACATAATAATGTGTGTTTGATTACAATTGAATAATGCAGGCTTTGGGAAATCCACCTGTTATGGGTTGATTTGTTTCCCCCCAAATTGAAATGCTGAACCTAATGCCCGGTACCTGAGAATGTGATTGGATTTGGAGATAGGGCCTCTAAAGAGGTAGTAAAGTTAAAATGGGGCCTTTGGGTGGGCCCTAACCTGATCTGACTAGGGTCCTTCTAAGAGGAGGAAATTTGGATGCACAGAGAGACATGGGATGTGTGTTTGCACAGAGGGAGGGAGGGCCTTGCGGGGACACAGCATGGGATGTGTGTGCACATGGAGGGAGGTAGGGCCTCGAGGGGACACAGCATGGGATGTATGTGCACATGGAGGAAGGAGGGAGGGCCACGCATGGACACAGCGTGGGATGTACATGCACACGGAGGAGGGAGGGCCACGTAGGGACACAGGATGGGATATGTGTGCACATGGAGGGAAGGAAGGCCTCACGGGGACACAGGATGGGATGTGTGTGCACACGGAGGGAGGGAGGCCACGCATGGACACAGCATGGGATGTGTGTGCACACAGAGGAGGGAGGGGCACGCAGGGACACAGGATGGGATGTGTGTGCACACGGAGGGAGGGAGGCCACGCATGGACACAGCATGGGATGTGTGTGCACACAGAGGAGGGAGGCCACGCGGGGACACAGGATGGGATGTGTGTGCACACAGAGGAGGGAGGGGCACGCAGGGATACAGCATGGGATGTGTGTGCACACGGAGGAGGGAGGGG
This sequence comes from Homo sapiens, assembly GCF_000001405.40. Lineage (NCBI taxonomy): Eukaryota > Metazoa > Chordata > Mammalia > Primates > Hominidae > Homo > Homo sapiens. The sequence continues at coordinate 143,666,576 of NC_000008.11, read as the reverse complement.
CACGCAGGGACACAGGATGGGATGTGTGTGCACACAGAGGAGGGAGGGGCACGCAGGGACACAGGATGGGATGTGTGTGCACACGGAGAGAGGGAGGCCACGCATGGACACAGCATGGGATGTGTGTGCACACAGAGGAGGGAGGGGCACGCAGGGACACAGGATGGGATGTGTGTGCACACGGAGGGAGGGAGGCCACGCAGGGATACAGCATGGGATGTGTGTGCACACGGAGGAGGGAGGGAGGCCACACAAGGACACAGCAAGAAGGCGGCCATCGGCAAGCCAAGGAGAGGAGCCTCCGGCAAAACCCAACCTGGGACACTTTAGTCTCTTCTGGCTTCCGGAACTGTGAGAGAATAATTAATTTCTGTTGTTAAGTAACCTACTCTGCAGTATTTTTAATGGCACCCTGGTGTAACTAACATACTACTGGTGTTGGAGTATTTTATAACTTGTGGAGGCCATGGAAGCATCCCCCGCGCTGTCAGGGAGGCAGAATGTCCTGTGAAAGGAACAAAATCACTTTGGACACACCTGGCAACTGGGCAAAACCTCAACTGGTTCCTTGATCAACAGAGTGAGTCTTGTAGTGGGAAAATCAAAGTGGAAGCTCCTGCAACTCTACCCTCTGTGGAGAATGGCAGGCGTTAAGGCCACCTGTGAAGACGTAAAAGATCCGCACTCGCCTTGCTCCCATCCCCCTCGTCCCCAGGCTCCTCGTCCCAGTGCCCCTAGTCCCTGTGCCCCTCGTCCCCACCCACCTTCTTCCTGTCCCTTGTCCCCACCCACCTCATCCCCATCCCCCTTGTTTCTGTCCCCCTCATCCCCGCCCACCTTATCCCCATCCCTCTCATCCCCATCCCCCTTGTCCTCATCCTTCTTGTCCCCGTCCCCTTATCCACCTTGTTCCTGTCCCCTTAATTCACATCCCCCTTTACCCTGCCCTCCTTGTCCCCATCCCCCTTATCCCTGTCCCTCTTGTCCCCACCCGCCTTGTTCCATCCCCCTCATCCCCATTCCCCTTGTCCCCATACACTCCCTTGTCCCTGTCCCTCTTGTTCTTGTCCCCCTTGTCCCCATCTGCCTGTCCCCACCCGCCTTACAATCTGGAAACCCAACCCCTGCGGAAGCTGCATGACCGTGGTGGACAGCAGTGGACTACCACAGGCTTAAACAGTAGTAGCTGAGGCACGCTTGTGGCCATCCACATGGTCTTTCCAGAAGAGACTGATGTGGCCACGTGCATGTGGTTTTTGGCTACTGGTCTGATAAACACATCATTTCCGAAACCTGTTTGGAAGGGGAATCGGAGCAGTTCCTGCCCACGCGGGGCCAACAGCGGCACACAGGTACGGTCGCTCCAGAACCGAGTGGGGTGCCTCGTCCCAACATGGCCCAAAGGCCTGACCCACTGGATGGTCCACGAGCAAAGGTTGGCCCATTCAGTGGATGCCTTAATGGGCACTGGACTCATGCAGAGATAGCAGGTGCGCTGATGGCCTCAGAAAAACACGGGCGCTGTGGAGGGCAGGAGGCAGACTCCGTACACTTCAGAGACCTGCCCCATGAGCAATGTTCTCAGGGTGCGGTGGCCTGTAGGGTGCTGGGGCAGGCCCGATGCCTCTTTGGGCTTGAAGGCAATATGTTCTGCCCTTGGCGGGGGAGAGGGAAAGCCGTCGGCTCTGAGTGGGGTCTGGAGCAAGGGAAGGGGCTGAGGCAGGCCCAGGCTGGGTGACAGGCAGTCCTGCCACGTGGGTCATGTGGCCGTGAAGTTCCCACAGGCTTCACATGTGTGGCAAAGACACGAGTGGCGCCCATGACGAGCCTCAGTGCAGGATGTGCAGCCCAGGCCCAAGGCCACCGGCGCAGGGCCCCGTCATGTTCAGGGGACTCCACCAGCTGGTAGGTGGTGCGGGCAAGTGTTCGGGCCCTGACCGTGGAGGCCACGGTGTTTATGAGACTGGCGCTGCCCATCGTGACTGGGTGCTGTCGGAGCTACCAGTCGCACATCCAAGGGGCCGTCAGGAGTTTACTGGGAGATGGAAGTGGAGTCCAAGATTGGGCTTGGGCAGGTCCAGAAGGCACAAGGATGGCCCAGGTCCCCGTGCCACCCTCTATTCTCCACTGGGCCTCTCCCCAAGCCCATGCCTGTGGCTCCATGGGGAGGTCCCCGAGCCCTGCTGCAGGAGACGGGTAGTCTCGTACCTGGCTTACGGGGGGGCCCGGTGTGCTCTGTGGCCCTCCAGTCAGAGCAGGGCTCCTGCAGCAAGGCAGTCGGTGAAATGCAGCTCCAGCCCACCTCACAGTGGCCCAGTGGGTCCCTGAACCCAAAAGGCAACACTAGAGCTCCACAGCCTAGAAGCCGCACACCGCAGCGCGCCGTCTTCACCCTTCCTTGGCTATGAGCTCTTCCAGGCAGCACAAAGCACAGGGAAATGCCCCAGGGTGACGATGTGACTGCTTGCAGCCTGCTTTCAAAAAGAACGCCAGGAACACAGGCAGGAAAGGTGGGCAGGAGAGAGAATGAGACTGATAGCCACCAGGTAGCTGACTCCAAATTAATAGGATTGTCAACTCCTTACCAATTTATATTTACCGGTTACATAAAAAATGGTACAGTGACCTCCCCTTCCAGCCATGATTAACAAGTATTGGACTTGCCCTCCTGCCCTAAACTAGAAAGCTGGACAAAATCCATGCAACAGCTGCTGTTAGATGTTGGAGGGTGCAGTGCTGTGACCTGCCCAGGAGGATGGAGATGGGGGGGGCACCTCCCATGATGCCAGCTCTCTGCCTGGTGGCATTTTCTAGAATACAGCATATGAAGGGGAAACACAGGCATGGTATCAACTCACTAAGTTGAGGAGGCAGAGGTTGGACTCTGGGGAGGTACAGAAGGCTCGCATTTATGGGGTCCAGTACGAGAAAGAAACTGGGACCCATGAAGAGGAAGTCCCCAGTGCTGCCATGAGTGTTTGGATGAACGTTAAGCTGCACACACCATGGGGCCAGGCCACAAGCCACGGGGAGCTGACAGCAGACAATCCCCAAATAGCTTGCAGGCCTGGGAGGTGCTCAAAGTGTGATGAGCCAGAGTGGTGGGCCTTGCTGCCCAGTGGCGGCACTCAGTGAGAACTGCGAAGGGTCCAGCCCTACCAGGAGCACGGCTAACCTGGAGTAAAGGCCGCTGTAGACCAGCCTCAGCCAAGCTCAGAAACAAGCCTCAAAGGACTAAGCTGATCTACAGTCATTAAGCTGCCTGCAAAAAAATTCAATAATTTTGAAAGGAAGACAAATTTCAGACCCTCAACAATGTAACATTCACAATATCTATCAAAAAAATTACTAAACACACAGAGGTGAAAATGTCACCCATAGCCAAGAGAAACATCCATCAGCTGGAGAACATCCAGGCCGGGTGTGGTGGCTCATGCCTGTCATCCCAGCACTTCGGGAGGCTGGGTGTGCAGATCACTTGAGGTCAGGAATTTGAGGCCAGCCTGGTCAACATGACAAAACCCCATCTCTACTAAAAATACAAAAATTAGCCGGGCGTGGTGGCGTGCATTTGTAGTCCCAGCTACTCGGGAGGCTGAGGCAGGAGAATCGCTTGAACCTGAGAGGCAGAGGTTGCAGTGAGCTGAGATCGCGCCACTGCACTCCAGCCTGGGTGACAGAGTGAGACTCCATCTCAAACAAAACAAAACAAAACCCTGAAGAACATCCAGACATGATAAAGATGGTGGAATTAGCAGATAAGAACTTTTAAAAAGCCAAATGAGTAATTTCACAGGTTTAAAGGAAAACGTGGTAATGAGGAAAGGAATGAAAGGTATAAAGAAGAATCCAGTAGAACTTCTACAGCTGAAAAACCTACATCTGAAATGAAAAGTTCAATGGTGGAATGAACATGAGACCACAAAGGCTTCTGAACCTAAGGTGACCTTTTAGAAATAAAAACAAAACAAAATAAACAAACAAAAAAGACCTCAAAGGCAAAAGAAAAGGTCAATGGACTTGAAGACAAACCCACAGAACATGCCCACATTGCAGCACAGCGAGCGAAGGGGCAGGAAGGCACCAGCAAACAGGGCCACAGTGCCCCGAAGGCGAGCGAAGGGGCAGGAAGGCACCAGCAAACAGGGCCACAGTGCCCCGAAGGCGAGCGAAGGGGCAGGAAGGCACCAGCAAACAGGGCCACAGTGCCCCGAAGGCAAGTGAAGAAGGAGCAGGAAGGCACCAGCAAACAGGGCCACAGTGCCCCGAAGGCAAGCGAAGAGGCAGGAAGGCACCAGCAAACAGGGCCACAGTGCCCCGAAGGCGAGCGAAGGGGCAGGAAGGCACCAGCAAACAGGGCCACAGTGCCCCGAAGGCAAGTGAAGAAGGAGCAGGAAGGCACCAGCAAACAGGGCCACAGTGCCCCGAAGGCGAGCGAAGGGGCAGGAAGGCACCAGCAAACAGGGCCACAGTGCCCCGAAGGCGAGCGAAGGGGCAGGAAGGCACCAGCAAACAGGGCCACAGTGCCCCGAAGGCAAGTGAAGAAGGAGCAGGAAGGCACCAGCAAACAGGGCCACAGTGCCCCGAAGGCAAGCGAAGAGGCAGGAAGGCACCAGCAAACAGGGCCACAGTGCCCCGAAGGCAAGCGAAGAGGCAGGAAGGCACCAGCAAACAGGGCCACAGTGCCCCGAAGGCGAGCGAAGGGGCAGGAAGGCACCAGCAAACAGGGCCACAGTGCCCCGAAGGCGAGCGAAGGGGCAGGAAGGCACCAGCAAACAGGGCCACAGTGCCCCGAAGGCGAGCGAAGGGGCAGGAAGGCACCAGCAAACAGGGCCACAGTGCCCCGAAGGCGAGTGAAGGAGCAGGAAGGCACCAGCAAACAGGGCCACAGCGCCCCGAAGGCGAGTGAAGGAGCAGGAAGGCACCAGCAAACAGGGCCACAGTGCCCCGAAGGCAAGCGAAGAGGCAGGAAGGCACTAGCAAACAGACCCACAGTGCCCCGAAGGCAAGTGAAGAAGGAGCAGGAAGGCACCAGCAAACAGGGCCACAGCGCCCCGAAGGCGAGTGAAGGAGCAGGAAGGCACCAGCAAACAGGGCCACAGCGCCCCGAAGGCGAGTGAAGGAGCAGGAAGGCACCAGCAAACAGGGCCACAGTGCCCCGAGGGCAACAGGAAGCAAATTTCACCTAAAATTGCAATTCCTGGCTAGGAGGGATGGCTCACGCCTGTCATCCCAGCACTTGGGGAGGCCGAGTTGCGTGGATCACCTGAGGTCAGAAGTTTGAGACCAGCCTGGCCAACATGGTGAAACCCCATCTCTACTAAAAATACAAAAATTAGCCGGGCGTAGTGGTGGACACCTGTAGTCCCAGTTATTCGGGAGGCTGAGACAGGAGAATTGCTTGTATCTGGAAAGTGGAGGTTGCAGTGAGCAGAGATCATGAGACTACACTATAGCATGGGCAACAGAGTGAGACTCTGTCTCAAAAAATAATAATGAAAACAAAAATAAATAAATAAAATTAGAATTCCTCTTGGTGTGGGAGGGTGGCAGAAAAACATTGTAAGAAACTGTGGGCTGGGTGCGGTGGCTCACGCCTGTCATCCCAGCACTTTGGGAGGCCGAGGCGGGTGGATCACCCGAGGTCAGGAGTTCAAGACCAGCCTGGCCAACATGGCAAGACCCTGTCTCTACTAAAAATACAAAAAAATTAGCTGGGTGTGGTGGCAGGCGCCTGTAATCCCAGCTACTCGGGAGGCTGAGGCAGGAGAATTGCTTGAACCTGGGAGGCAAAGGTTGCGGTGAACCGAGATCGTGCCATTGCACTCCAGCCTGGGCAACAAGAGTGAAACTCCGTCTCAAAAAAAAAAAAAATAGAAACTGTGATGGAAAAGATTCCAAATAAAACGAAAATAATAGAGCTACAAATCCAAGATCAATAACCCCCAAGAAGGATAAAAACAAAGAAAGCCACACCAAGGCACATCATAATCAAACAGCTACAAGCCAGTGATAAAGAGAAAATCTTACAAGCACTCAGAGGCAAAGTAAATTACATATTATATATCCAGCAACATCCTTCAAAAATGAAGGCGAAATCAAAATATTTTCCAAAGATAAAAGTTGAAAGAACTTGGCCGAGCATGGTGGCTCACACCTGTAATCCCAGTAGTCTGGGAGGAGGCCAAGGCGGGAGGATTGCTTGAGCCTAGGAGTTCCAGACCCGCCTGGGCAACATAACGAGACCCTTTTTTTTTTTTTTTTGGAAAAAAAAAAAGAGCCAGGCATGGTGGCTCATGTCCATGTCATCCCAGCACTTTGGGAGGCTGAGGGGGGCAGATCACCTGAGGTCAGGAGTTTGAGACCAGCCTGGCCGTCATGTTGAAACCCCATCTCTATTAAAAATACAAAAAATTAGCCGTGCATTGTGGTGGGCACCTGTAATCCCAGCTACTCGGGAGGCTGAGGCAGGAGACTCACTTGAACTGGGAGGCGGAGGCTGCAGTGAGCCAAGACCACGTCATTGCACTCCAGCCTGGGCAACAAGAGTGAAACTCCATCTCAAAAAAAAAGGAAAGAAATTTAATCTCCAGTCTCCAATGTGGCAGTACTGAGAGGTAAGGCCTTTAAGGGGGTGACTGAATCACCAGGGCTCTGCTCTCATTTGTGGATTAATAGATCAATGGGTTACCAGGGAGGGGATCTGAAGGCTTTGTAAGAAGAGGAAGAGACCTGAGCTATCCCGTAAGTATGCTCAGCGCCTCACCATTGATGTCCCGCACCATCTCTGGACTTTGCAGAGTCCCCACTAGCAAGAAGACTCTCACCAGATGCGGCCCCTTGACCTTGGACTTCTCTGCCTCCATAGCTGTAAGAAATAAAATCTTTTCTTTTATAAATTACCCAGTTTCAGGCCAGGTATGGTGTCGCACACCTGTAGTCCCAGCTACTCGGGAGGCTGAGGCAGGAAGATCACTTGAGCCCAGAGGTTTGAGGTTGCAGTGAGCTATTGTGGCATCATTACCCTCTAGCCTGGGTAACAGAGTGAGATTCTGTCAGACAAACATAAATAATCCAGTTGCAGGGATTCTGTTGTAGGCAACAGAAAATGGACTAAGACAGAAAATTGGTACTGAGAGTGAGGTGCTGCTAATAAAAAATAACCAAAAATGTAGAAGCAGCTTTGAAACTGAGTAATGGGCAGAAGCTGCAAGAATTTGGGGGAGCAGGCTAGAAAAGGCCTAGATTCTGGTGAGGGCTTAGAAGACAAGACTAGGGAAAGACTGGACCTCTTTAGAGATCCATTAAGTGGTCACAACCAGAACGCAGATAGAAGTATGAACTATAAAGGCCATTCTGATGAAGTTTCAGATGGAACGGAGGCACAAAGTGTTGGACAGTGAAGTAAAGGTCATCCTTAATATAAATTGGCAACGAGCTTCGCTGAATTGTGTCCATGCCTCGGGCTTTGAGGAAGGTCAAACTTAAGAGTGATGAACTAGGATATCTGGAAGAAAAAAAGAGGAGCTGCTGGTGGCCGGGCGTGGTGGCTCACACCTGTAATCCCAACACTTTGGGAGGCCAAGGCAGGCGGATCACCTGAGGTCGGGAGTTCGAGACCAGCCTGGCCAATGTGGAGAAACCCCATCTCTACTAAAAATACAAAATAAGCTGGGTGTGGCGGCACATGCCTGTAATCCCAGCTACTCGGGAGGCTGAGGCAGGAGAATCGCTTGAACCCGGGAGGCAGAGCCTGCGGTGAGCCGAGATCACACCATTGAACTCCAGCCTAGGCAACAACAGCAAAACTTCATCTTAAAAAAAAAAAAAAAAAAAAAAAGAAGGAGCTGCTGGTTACTTTTGGCCTCTTATGCTGAGCTTTGAGAGTAAAGGAATAGTTTAAAAACAGAATTTATAAATTAAAAGGAAGCAGAGTGGAAAGATTTGGAAAACTCAGCCTGGCCATGTAGAGTAAAAGTATGTTCAGCAGAGGAAACCAAGGGTATAGCCCAGTGAAGTTTGTGAAAGAAATTAGCTTGGGTAGAAGGGAGCCAGGTGCAATTCTCCCAAGACAATGAAACTAAGTCCCAGCAGGCATTTCAGATTATCGAGGCTGCCTCTCCCATCAGAGGCTCAGAGGCCTAGGAAGGCAGAATGTTTTCGGGGGACAGACCCCAGGAGCCCTCCACAAGCTCACCCAGGGCCACCTTAGGACTCTGCTCTGGGCACCACAGCCGTTGTTCAAGTAGCCCCAGATGTGAATGCCTCACTCCAGAACACACAAGCCCTAAACCTTGGTGGCATCCATGTGGTGCTAGTTCTGCTGGCTTAGGGAAAGCCAGAGCTGTGAAGGCTTGGCAGCCTCCATCCAGATTGCACAGGATACCACTGAAAGCTGAGGGGCCAGGCAGAGACTTGTAGCAGGGGTGGAGGCACTACAGAGAACCCCCACTAAAGCAATGCTGAGTGGAAATGAGTTGGAGGTGCTGGAGAGTCCCCACCAGGGTAATGTCTAGCGAGCCATGGGAGTGGGACCACCACTGGGACCCAAGAACCGTGGAGTCACTGGCAGCATGCATGCTTGCCTGGAAAAGCTTCAGGCACCAGACTCTAACCCATAGGAGGTAGAGCAAAGCCATAGAGTGGGGGTGCCTGAGGCCTTGGGGACCCAACCCTCGCCCTGGGGTGTCCAGGAAGTGGCACATGGAGTCAAGAGATGATTCTCCAACTTCAGGATTTAATGCCTTCCCTGCAGGGTTTTGGACTTGCTTGGGACCTGCTAACCCTTTCTTATTGCTTACCCCTCCCTGATGGAGTGGGAATGTCTGCCTTTTGCCTGTCACCATCATTGTATCTCGGAAGTAGATAACTTATTTGATTTCACAGGCTCACAGATGAGACTCTGGACTCTGGACTTTTGATTCAGTGCTGGAATAAAATCTGGGGACTATGGGATTGCAACAAATCTGTTTGAGAAGGACATGAGTTTTGGACAGAATGCTGAGTATCTGCCCCTCCAAAACTCATGTAGAAATTTCATCCCCAATATGGCAGTACTGAGAGGTGGCGTCTAAGACGTGATTGGATCATGAGGGTGAAGCTCTCAGATGAATTAATCTACTCTGGCTGGGCGCGGTGGCTCATGCCTGTAATCCCAGCACTTTGGGAGGCCGAGGCAGGCGAATCATGAAGTCAAGGGTTTGAGACCAGCCTGGTCAACATGGTGAAACACCCGTCTCTACTAAAAATAGAAAAAATTAGTTTGGCATAATGGTGGGTGCCTGTAATCCCAGCTACTCAGGAGGCTGAGGCAGGAGAATTGCTTGAACCCAGGAATCAGAGGTTGCAGCGAGCTGAGATCTCACCACTGCGCTCCAGCTCGGGCGACAGAGTGAGCCACTGCGCCCTGCCAGAGGAGATCCTTTTAAATATAATTAAAATAGAATGTCGAATAAAATGTAGTGGAATGTTTTGAACTTTATGCCAATAATTCACTGTTTTACATGAAATGAATAATTCTTTGAGAGATAAAAGTTACCAAACTTGGCACAAGAAGAAATAGAAAAACCTGAACTGTTACAGCTGTTTAAAAAAATTGAATTTATGGCTGGGCACAGTAGCTCACTCCTGTAATCCCAACATTTTGGGAGGTCAAGGTGGGCAGATCACGAGGCCAGGAGTTCAAGACCAGCCTGTGCAACATGGTGAAACCCTGTCTCTACTAAAAATACAAACACCTGGGCATGGTGGCACGCACCTGTAGTTCCAGCTACTCGGGATGCTGAGGTGGGAGAATCGCTTAAACCTGGGAGACAGAGGTTGCAGTGAGCCGAGACCATGCCACTGCACTCCAGCCTGGGTGACGGAGTGAGACTGGGTCTCAGAAAAAAAAAAGGAAAGAAAAGAAAAGAAAAAAGAGAGAGAGAAAGAGAGAGGGAGGGAAGGAAGGAAAGAAGGGAAGAAAACATTTAAGGAAGAAATAATAGTATCAATATTACATAAACAACTTCAGAAAACAGAAGAGGATAGAATAATTCGCAATTCTTTGGGAGTAACAGTATCCTGATATCAATACAAGGACATACTCTTACCAATTCTAAGGAAAACGGAACAAGATGCCCTAGTCAGTACAATAAGAAAAAGGAACAAAGTCCATATAAATTGGAAAAGTAAAATACTTTATTCACAGATGACATGATTATCTACATAGAAAATGCTAAAGAATCTAGAAAAAAGCTACTAGAATAAGTTAACTGATCTAAGTTGCTTGATACAAGATCAATGTACAAGTCTAATGCATTTCTATATACTAGCAATAACTAGAAAACAGCTTTTTGAAAACCTTACCACTTGCAATAGCATGCAGAAATATTAAATACATGAATTTAACAAAATGTGAGAGCTGCAAACTGAGAGAAATTAACAGATCTAAATAAATGGGGCAGTACACCATGTTCAACAATTGGAAAACTCAGAATTGTTAAAATGTCATTTCTCCCTAAATTGATCTATAAATCCCAGAAGACTTTCTTTTTGCAGACATTGATAAAAGTTGTTTTTTGAGACAGTTTCACTCTTGGTTGCCCAGGCTAGAGTGCAATGCCACGATCTCAGCTCACTGAAACCTCCACCTCCCAGGTTCAAGCAATTCTCCTGCCTCAGCCTCCCGAGTAGCTGGGATTCTACAGGCGCCTGCCACCACGCCTGGCTAATTTTTTTGTATTTTTAGTAGAGATGGGGTTTCACCATCTTGGCCAGGCTGGTTTTGAACTCCTGACCTCAAGTGATCCGCCTGCCTCGGCCTCCCAAAGTGCTGGGATTATACAGGCATGAGCCACGGGCCTGGCCTGAAGTTGATAGAAGTTGACTTCAAATTTTATACGAAAATGCAAAGGATCTAGAAGTCAAAAAAAAAAAAATGGGAAAAGAACAAAACGGAAGCCCTTCCAATACCTGAGTTCAACTACAGTTGGCCAGGAGTGGTGGCTCACACCTGTAATCCCTTTGGGAGGCTGAGGCAGGAGGATCCCTTGAGGCCAGGAGTTCAAGACCAGCCTGGTCAACATAGTGAGACCCCCATCTCTACAAAAAAATATAAAAAATTAGCAAGATGTGGTGATGCATGCCTACAGTCCCAACTACTTGGGAGGCTAAGGAAAGAGGCTCACTTGAGCCCGGATGTTCGAGGTTACATTAGCTGTGATTGTGCCACTACGCTCCAGCCTGGGCAACAGAATGAGATTTCTGCCTCAAATAAAACTACAGTAATCAATATAGTGTCATATTGGTGTAAAGTTATACACACAAGAAGAATGGTGTCCAGAACAGACCACTTCTATGTCACTTCAGTTTTTACAAACCTGTGAAGACTTGGTCATTGGGAAAGTAGAGTCTCAACAAATAGAACCGAACCAACCAACCACACAGATAAAAAAGTGAATCTTGACCCTTATCACATATGGTACACAAAAATGAACTCAAAATGGATCACAGACTTAAATGTAAAAGGTAAAACTATAAAAGTTCCATAAAAATAAAAAACATAGGAAAAAATCATGTCCTTTGAGTAGGCAAATTTCTTAAACTCAAATTATTATAAAATATCATAAATCATTATTATTATTATCTTGGTTTACTGCAACCTCTGCCTCCTGGGTTCAAGTGATTCTCCTGCCTCAGCCTCCCGAGTAGCAGGGACTACAGGGGTGTGCCACCCGCCCAGATAATTTTTGTATTTTTAGTAGAGACGGGGTTTCACCACGTTGGCCAGGCTGGTCTCAAACTTCTGGCCTCAGGTGATCTGCCTACCTTGGCCTCCCAAAGTGCTGGGATTACAGACATGAGCCACCACACCCAAATCTTTGATAAATTAGGCTTAATAAAAAATATTCAAAAGACACCATTAAGAAAATGAACAGGCAAACCAAACATGAAAATATTCACAATATTTGTCACAAATGGAGACAAAGAATTCTATATATTACATGTATGTTTTTCATGCAGAATATGGAAAGAACTTGAGTCAACAATAAGCATCCCAACTTAAAAACAGGCAAAAGGCACGAACAGACACATCACAAAAGACGACACGGAAAAGCAATAAGCAGATGAAATCATAGACATACATTATTCAGTGGGCAAATACAAATTAAAATCATAAGGAGGCTAGAGTGGATTAAATTTTAAGAGACTGACAATGCCAAGTGTTAGCAAAGATATGGAGCAACTGGAATCTTCCCATAATGTAGTAATAGTGTAAAATGATTCAACCACTACAGAGGGCTGTGTGACAATTTCTTAGGAAGTTAGAAACACGTATTGCAATGGACTGAATGTTTACATCCTTGCACAATTCATGTCAAATTCCTAACCCATAAGATGATATGAGGTGGGGTCTTGGGGAGGGGACAGAATCACAAGGGGAGAGCCCTCATGAATGGGGTAAGCTTGCTAGTCCCTTTCCACCACGTGCAGTCACAGTAAAAAGACATCTACTTAAAAGGAAGCAGGCCCTCACTAGACACCAAATGTTGACACCCTCATCTTGGACTTCCCAGCCTCCAGAACTGTAAAACATAAATTTCTGTTGTTTATAAGCCTCCCAGTTGATGGTATTTTGTTATGGCAGCCTGAATGAACTAAGACACTTACAACACAGCAATTAAAGTCCTAGGTACTTACCCAAGAGAAATAAAAACACATGTGCAAATACATACTTTTACACAAATGCTCATAGTTTTAAGAGCCGAGACTGGAAACCCATTAACACATGGATGAATAAACAAATGATGGCTTATCCACACAATGGAATACTATTCAGCAAGGAGAACTACTGAAACACAAAACAGCTTGGATGAGTCTAAAAACATGCCAAAGTGAGACATCAGACGCAAAAGAACACATAGTAAATGAATCCATTTGTATGAGGCTCTAAACCAAGCAACACTAATCTATGAGGATAGAAAGTGGTTATCTGGGGCTGGAGTGGGCTTAACTAGGAAAAGGCAAAAGGGAACTTCTTTGGGTGACAGAAACGTTTTTGGTTCTGGCGGTGGTGGTTACACAGGTGGTGGTGGTTACACAGGTGTATAGATTTTTCAAAACCTTGTACACTTAAATAGGCGTTTTACTATATGAAAATTGAATCTCAATAAAGTTGATTAAAATGGTCTGGTAAAATCTACATTTGAAACATCTCTAGTAATGCTGATTTTCCAGAAAATGTAGATCTCTTTTTTGAATTATTTGTCCTGAGACGTTCAGGGTTGGTAGTATTTAAGAACTCAAAATATGGCCTCATGAGAAAAAAATTATATCGTTACAAAACTGGACTTTGGGGTTCATGTCCAGATGAAATTCAGAGGTAAAGACTAACAGTTTGGCGAGGCGGCTGTCCACTGTCCATTTACCTCGCCTGCTTTCGAACAGTCCTAGCCAAAAAGCCATCTGTCATGGCTCCATGTTTCTGCAGATTCCTCTCCTGGACCCTATTTTCTTCTTCAGCTGCTCTCTACTGATCTCTGGCCCAGCTGAAATGTCACCTCTTCTGTAAGGCCTTCCCAGCTCTGTGCCACAGCAGGCACCCCCTCACCTGTGCTCCTTCACACCTGAGGGCACATACTTAACTCACCCTACTGTGATCTCCGTCTTCCCCACTACACGGTGGATGACTTCAGGGTAGTGGGTTGCTCATCTGTTTTCCCAACATTGAGGACTATTCCTTATAGATATCAATACATTTTGAAATGACACAATGAGCCAGAGAGCATGGAAAATGACAAGAGCTCAGTTCAACCTCAGAACTGCTACAACAGAAGAGTTACGTAGCGCATTGAGACTGTGCCTTTCGAGTGAGACAGAAAGATACAGACAAGTAAGTAAAGACCTTCTCTTGAGACCTGCCTCCTCCTGTCCCCACTGTTCCAGCTGAGCCAGGTGTCAATGCCCTCCAGATCAAGTAGACAGTTCTGCATGAGCTGTAAGGTGGCACACAGGAGGGCGTGGATGTGCACAGGATATTGCCTGCAACTTCTAAGTAGGAGCAGCAGACAGTAGCAGGGCTGAGAAGATACTTCTAACAGAATCGTAGATTATACTGATACAAAATGAACAAACAACAAAAAAAACAGCCAACAGCTGAAAATTTTTAGAATGGCAGTATAGAAAGGACAAAGCAAGAGAGATGCCAATTACACATAGATTTAGGGGTGTATTTTTTATTGCCCTGTGCTAGACAGTGGACACATGGAAATCAATCAGATATGATCACTGTCCTCAGGAACCCAACAGCATAGTGACAGAGATAGTCTATCACATCATTCTGACATATGCAAGTAAATATAGTAATAGCAGTAATCACTGAGCCACAGAAGTGTGGAGAGTGCTGCCAACTAAGCTTGAGGGAAACACCCATTGACATGATGCCTGAGGCTTGTCTTGAACCATGATTCAGAGTTAATTAGCTGAGAAGAGACCCTTCAACAAGAACAAAGGCGAGAGAGGTAGGAAGCCACGTGGAGCACAGGGAAGATGAAGCAGTCGGTGTTGCTGCAGCATTAACCGTGTGGCAGGAAGTCAGGCAGTGGGAGGCAGGGCTCCAGGACGCAGGAGGCCTTAGGGCACACGATGGGAGGCCTGGAGTTCCTCCTCAGGACAACAGGGAAATGGCTCGGGGTTCATACACGAGTTACCTTTCTTCAACTTAACACATCAAAATGTCCTAGGTAACATTCTCCTAAATCGTAAGATTAGATACACAGTTGTGCTGTAATAAGGGATTTAAGTCAAGGATGGACTCTGCTTAACTGGGGATGAAACTTCTTAAAAACCTTTTCTTGAGACCTGTCTTCTCCCTGCCCCTACTGTTCCAGCTCAGAGTCAGGTGTCAAGCCCTGTGACTCTCCTGAGGACAGTGCTCACAGCTGAGGAGAAGGGCTGAGCCGAGTAGGGCTGCACAGTGGCAGGTGGCACCCACTGCAAAAGCAGCCCCATCCATGACTCACAAAATTCTGACATGTCCAAATCTTAGAAACCACATGAATCCTAATTCCACGCATTTCCAAACATCACTCACTGGGCGGGAAAGTAATTATTTTATAAGTTACCTGTGTGTTCCCCCTTATCTACAGACCTCTCACCCAAATGTATGGGGGCCTTACTCAAGGAGAGTCCCTCTTGGTGAACCCTTTGATTATTTTTAACGTTTGTAGTTGAGTTAAAATCTCTCCCATACTGACTACATTCATAGAGCTTCTCTTCAGTATGAATTTTCTGGTGTTGAAGGAAGTTTGACCTCTGAATAAAGCCTTTCCCACAATAACTGCACACATAGGGCTTTTCTCCAGTGTGAATAATCTGGTGCAGAAGCAGCTTGGAGCTCTGGATGAAGGCTTTCCCACAGTCTTTACATTCGAAGGGCCTGTCCCCAGAGTGGATCTTCTGGTGCTCAGTGAGATGGGCTTTCTGGAGAAACGCTTTCCCACATTCCTTACATTCATACACTCTCTCTCCAGTGTGGATTTTCTGGTGTCGAATAAGGTATGAACTCAGAAAGAAAGCTTTCCCACACTCGTTACATTCATAGAGTTTCTCTCCAGTGTGAATTCTCTGATGCTGGGTGAAGTTTGACGTCTGGCTGAAGCGCTTCCCACACTCATTGCATACGTAAGGCCTCTCCCCAGTATGGATCCTCTGATGCTGAATGAGCTTTGAACTCCGAATAAAGGCTTTCCCACACTCATTGCATTCAAAGGGTCTCTCTCCGGTGTGAATTCTCTGGTGTTCAATAAGGTCTGAGCGATGACGGAATGCCTTCCCACATTCTTTGCATTCATACTGTTTCACTTCTGTGTGGATCTGATAATGGCGAATGAGGCTCGAGCTCCTTATGAAGGATTTCCCACATTCATTGCACTCATAGGGCCTTTCTCCCGTGTGAATCCTCTGATGGCGAATAAGTAAGGAGCTCTGACTGAAGCCTTTCCCACACTCTTTGCATTCAAAAGGTCTCTCTCTGGTGTGAACTCTCTGGTGCCTAATCAGGTCTGAACTGTGACAAAACGCCTTCCCACACTGCGCACATTTGAAGGGCTTTTCTCCTGAATGAACGCGCTGATGCTCAATGAGACCTGAATAGTGAATGAAGTCTTTCCCACACACATTACAGACGTAGAGTCTCTCTCCAGTGTGAATTCTCTGATGCTCCATAAGGTGTGAGCTCTGGCCAAAGCCTTTCCCACACTGATCGCACGTGTAAGGTTTCTCCCCAGCATGCGAAATCCGATGCCTAACTAGGTCCGAATTAAACGTGAAGGTTTTGCCACAGATATCGCAAGGATTGGCTTCCCCCTCTATGAGCTCTCTCTGAAGCAGAAGAAGGTCTGAGTTCAGAATATGGTTTCTTCCTGACTTGGTGCACACTTGAGCTGTCTCTCCTGTCTGGATCTTCCAATGGGTCACTGTCACCTGCTTGCAGCCCCTGTCCTGAGAGGGGGAACTCCCCAGGCTCTGACCTTCTGGATTTCCCAAGAGCTCCCCTAATCTGGGCTCGTGGACTTCCTCAGACTCGGGAGAGGGGAGCTCCATCACCGTGAGTCTGTCTGACGTCGTCCTATGTGAGTTTTCATCCTCAGAAATCCAGGCTTCAGTCACCTTCTTCTCACCAGTTCCTACATTAGAATCTGAAACAAAAGACAACAAAATCATCTTTCCCCTTACTTAACAGATGGGGATCTCCTGAATCAGGGCAGGATAAAATCCATATCCAAGAGGTGGAAAGTGTTTCCTCTGCCCCTCATCCTGACCCAACATGCTGCTACCCACAGCTCTGGTCTCACACCCAAGCCTGTCCCACATAAGATGGCTTCTTTGTGGCTCCACTTTTAACATCCAACACCAGGACAGACTGGTCTGTGGTGCACAACACTCCTCTGACCATTAGTGAATCCTGGATGAGTTGCAGAGGGGTGGGGATATGCTTGAACTCCATTAAAAAACCGAGACAGATACTTTAAACAAACGTATAAACACATCAGCCCTGCCACCTCTTCACTGTTCCTCATTCCTTCCTTCATGTCCTCTTCTCCCCTCCATACCTAGCTTAGAGCCCATGATCTGGGGCACTGTGTTCACTGTAAGTTGCATGAGAATCACCCTCCTGCACAGAATCGGGCTCCCCTGCCCTTTCCTCCCTCCATGATACTTGGATGGGAAAGCCCAACCTTTGGTTAAAACGAGGTTGTGTTTTGATTTGTGCCTGCACTCTTGCTGTTTTTTTGTTTGTTTTTGTTTTTTTTTTTTTTAGATGGAGTCTCGCTCTGTCACCCAGGCTGGAGTGCAGTGGTGCAATCTCGGCTCACTGCAAGTTCTGCCTCCTGGGTTCACACCATTCTCCTGCCTCAGCCTCCCAAGCAGCTGGGACTACAGGCGCCCGCCACCACGCCCGGCTAATTTTTTTGTATTTTTAGTAGAGACGGGGTTTTACCGTGTTAGCCAGGATGGTCTCGATCTCCTGACCTCGTGATCTGCCCGCCTCGGCCTCCCAAACTGCTGGGATTACAGACGTGAGCCACCACATCCAGCCAGCTGACTGAGCTCTTTAAATTCAGAGCTGCTTGCCTAATGGGGCCTGAGAGCTGCCAGCAACTCCTACCCTTCCCACTCCCCACAGGACCTTCCACTTCTCCTATCTTCTTACAAACTCAGCACTCCCTCCTCCCTCCCCACTGGTGACCTTGCTTCTTGTTTCAATGAGAAAACAGAAGAAATCAGGCAAGGACATCCACTGCCTCCCACGTCTCCTGCCAGCCTGTATCTCCACCCATCCTCTGCCAGGCTTGTTACCTGGGTTAAACTGCCCTTGTTCTGACTTAAAGGCAACACTTCCACTTGTGTGTGAGCTCCCTTTCCCTCTCACACATGCAGGGACAGCACCTGAGCACCCATCCCTCTCCTCCATCCTGAAGTCCTTGCCCTCCAAGCCCACCACTCCCCTCAGCATGAAGAAGTGCGCCAGTTCCCAGCGACCTGAAAAATGCACGTCATGGGCCCCATGTCCCACCAATTACTACCCCATGACTCTCCTCCTCCGCAGCCCCATTCAAAGAGCCCCCACCCCACGCTCGATTTCTCCATTTCCTCCTTCCCCTGAGCCTACTACAGTAGGGCTCTCACCCCAAACATCCACGTCACCATATCAGGGGTCAGCTATGGCCACACTTCCAACTCAACCTGCGGTGGCACTGACACAGCCCCGCTCCTTCAGAAGTCACTCTCCTTATGTGAATCTGGGACAGCCTTTCTCTGTTCCCTACCCGCCTCACTGATAGCTCCTCCCAGTGTCCCCTGACGCCTCAAAGCCCTGGCGTGTCTAGGGCTCAGCCCTCATCTCTGTCCATTACAGAGGGGAGTGCACTCATTATCAGACACCAACGCCATCTATGCTGAACACTCACATGCCTGCCTCCAACCTGGCCTTCTTTCCAGCCCCAACACCTGACCAGCTCCTCACCCAACACCTTCATTTGGATGCTCTCAGAAGTTTTTCAACCCTAATGCGTCCAGCCTCACTTCTGATTTTCCTCCTTCTATAGTTTTCTCCATTATCTCATTTGTTCAGGCCAC
Source organism: Homo sapiens (assembly GCF_000001405.40). Classification (NCBI taxonomy): domain Eukaryota; kingdom Metazoa; phylum Chordata; class Mammalia; order Primates; family Hominidae; genus Homo; species Homo sapiens. The sequence goes on along the minus strand of NC_000008.11, from coordinate 143,647,955 downwards.
AGACACTGCAATAACCCTTGAATCCTCTTCCCTTTGTTCACACTCCACATCTGTTCAAAACCATGCCCAGCGCCAGACGCCCACAGCCTACAGGGCTGCCATCTGCACCATCGCCTTTCACCATGAAGCGTGACCACCTCCCACCTGCTTACTTCTCCCCTTCTCCAGCTCTTTTCTACACAGCCAGCAGAATTACGCTTTAAAATCATAAATCAGATGTCACTTTTCTACTCAAAACTGACAAAGGTTTCCCATCCCCTACTCTGGCCCCACAAGGGCCACTGGGCCTGGACTCCTGCTGCTCACCCTGCCCTCCCCTTCCCTCTTCTTTGGTCACACTGGCCCCTGCAGTCCCTGCCCCCTCGGAGCCTTTGCACTTTCGTAGAAAGACTCCAAAGATATTTGCAGGGTTCACTCCTAGATGTCCTTCAGGTGTCTGTGTTGACGTCACCTGATCAGAGTCCCTCCTAGTCACACTATAAAACAGCAAGGCTGGCTGGGCATGGTGGCTCACGCCTGTAATCCCAGCACTTTGGGAGGCAGAGGCGGGCGGACCACGAGGTCAGGAGATCGAGACCATCCTGGCTAACACACTGAAACCCCATCTCTACCAAAAATACAAAAAAAATTAGCCGGGCGTGGCGGCAGGCGCCTGTAGTCCCAGCTACTTGGGAGGCTGAAGCAGGAGAATGGCCTGAACCCAGGAGGCGGAGCTTGCAGTGAGCCAAAATTGTGCCACTGCACTCCAGCCTGAGTGACAGAGCAAGACGCCGTCTCAAAAAACGAAACAAAACAAAAAAAAAAAAAACAGCAAGGCACCCCCACCCTCAGCATGCCCTCTCTCCTGCCTCTGCTTTCTCTGCACAGTTCTGACCACTTGACCAATCATAAGTCACCCAATCAAAGCAGCCATCGACTGCGAGATGTGACACAATTTTATGAACCATGAAGGAAAATAAAAGTACCAATTTAAATGAAAACACTCCATCAAGCCAGGCACAGTGGCTCACTCCTGTAATCCTAAGACTTTGGGAGGCAGAGGTGGGAGGGTCACTTGAGACCAGGAGTTCAACGTCTGCCTGGGCAAGGTAGAAAGATCCCATCTCTACAAAAAACATTTTTAAAAACAGCCAGGCAAGGTAGCACACCTGTGGTTCCAACTACATGGGAGACTGAGGCAGGAGAATCACTTGAGCCCAGGAAGTTGAGACTGCAGTGAGCCGTGCTTGTGCCACTGCATTCCAGCCTGGGTGACAGAGCAAAACCCTGTCTCAAACAACAACAAAAAACACTCCATCAATTCTAACAGGCAACTCAATTTCAGAGACATTAAAATATGGAGAAAGTGTATCTTAGAATCAATGAATTGTGATATATACATGCATGCACACACACACACACACACACACGCACACACCCCACAGGCAACAAACTATGTGTTTTGTTGTCTCCCCCACAAGTATGTGAGTGCTGTGTGGGCAGGAACTTTGTTCTGTTCTTTATCCTCAGCAACCCAAACAATTTCTGGCATAAAGTAATACATTTCATCAATATCTGCTGTATGAATGAATGTTCTAATCATGCATACATAATACACTCAATACAAGGTAATAAGCCAGGTACAGTGGCTCATGCCTATAATCCCAGCATTTCCAGTGGCCAAAGCAGGAGGACTACTTGAGGCCAGGAGTCCAAGACCAGCCTGGGCAACATAGCAAGACTCCATCTCTAAAAAACAATTTTTTATTTAGCTGGGTGTGATGTTGCATACCTGTGGTCCCAGCTATTTGGGAGGCTAAGTCAGGAGGATCACTTGAGCCCAGAGGTTTGAGGCTGTAGTAAGCCATGACTATGCCATGGAACTCCAACCTAGGTGACAGAGTGAGACCCTGTCTCTAATTAAAAAAAAAGCTCCAACACTTCTAGTATTAAACACTGAAATAAATGTGAGTTATACATACCTTACCTTAAAGAAAGATTAACAGTGCTTGCTACAGCTCTTTTAGAATGTCTAGCAGGTTTCTCAGTTTTTACTGGAAAATCTCCCATAAAAAAAAAAATTAAGAAAAACAAGATAATTATTTACCCACTTATTTTAATGCACGGTTCTGGGTAGCTGGAGCCTATCCTGGCAGCTCAGGGTGCGAGGTGAGAACCAGCCCCGGATAGGACAGGGTCCCACCACAGGGCAACTCACACACCCAAACTCGCTCATGCTGGGACCAAGGAGACACCCCAATTCACCTAATGGACACATCTTTGGGACGTGGAGGAAAGCAGGCGGCCGTGGGGAGAATGTGCACACTCCACACATGGTGCTCCCAGCCAGGAATCACTTTTTCCCTCATAGATGTTATAACGAAACAATGATATCTGAGGCTCTGCCATGGAAAGGGGGGAAGCCAGAATCCACTCTCTGAAAGCAGAGACCAAAGGAACAGTGACTGCTTTGAGAGAAAGTTTCTTTCTTGGCGCCTGCACTTTACCAGCCTCAAGTCTGAGGATTTGTCTTTTTTTTTTTTTTGAGATGGAGTCTCGATCTGTTGCCCAGGCTGGAGTGCAGTGGCGCCATCTCAGCTCACTGCAGGCTCTGCCTCCTGGGTTCACGCCATTCTCCTGCCGAGCAACTGGGACTACAGGCGCCCGCCACCATGCCTGGCCAATTTTTTTGTATTTTTAGGAGAGACGGGGTTTCACCGTTAGCCAGGATGGTCTCGATCTCCTGACCTTGTGATCCGCCCGCCTTGGCCTCCCAAAGTGCTGGGATTACAGGCATGAGCCACCACGCTCGGCCGACCATTTGTATTTTCTCTCTTTTTTTTTTTTTGAGATGGAGTTTTGCTCTTATTGCCCAGGCTGGAGTGCAATGGCACGATCTCGGCTCATCAAAATCTCCAGCTCCCGGGTTCCAGCGATTCTCCTGCCTCAGCCTCCCAAGTAGCTGGGATTATAGGCTTGCGCCATCACACCCAGCTAATTTTGTATTTTTAGTAGAGATGGGGTTTCTCCGTGTTGGTTAGGCTGGTCTCGAACTCCCAAACTCAGGTGATCAGCCCACCTTGGCCTCCCAAAGTGCTGGGATTACAGGCTTGAGCAACTGCGCCCGGGCTTTTTTTTTTTTTTTTTAAAGATAGTCTTGCTCTCTCGCACAGGCTGATTGCATGGTGGCGTGATCTCAGCTCACTGCAACCTCCGCCTCCTGGGTTCAAGCAATTCTTGTGTATTTTTAGTAGAGATGGGGCTTCTCCATATTGGCCAGGCTGGTCTCAAACTCCTGGCCTCAAGCAGTCCAGCCACCTTGGCCTCCCAAAGTGCTGGGGTTACAGGAGTGAGCCACCACACCCAGCCATGTATTTGCTTAATTTCCATATATATTCTGCTTATGCACTGAGGACCCATTAATGTGGCTCTCAGGATGAGAAGGCTGACTGTCTCGCCTCAAGAACCTTCTCTTTGGGGTTCTTGCTGGGCAGTGGGAGCCGGGCCACTGCGAAGATCAGTAATGTTGCCTTCCCATCCACTACTACTGTCTTCAATACCTCAAGGCCACTGCCAATATAATGAGGGAGGGGGGATCAGCCCAGCCCAGAAGCCAGTAAATAAAACTGGAGGTTCTGCTCGTTTAAAAACCAGAGCTGCACCAGGTACAGCGGCTCATGCCTGTAATCCCAACACTTTGGGAGGCTAAGGTGGGTGGATCACTTGAGGTCAGGAGTTCGAGACCAGCCTGGCTATGGTGAAACCTCATCTCTACTAAAAATACAAAAATTATCCAGGTGTGGTGGCATGCACCTGTAATCCCAGCTACTCGGGAGGCTGAGACAGGAGAATCACTTGAACCTGGGAGGCAGAGGTTGCAGTAAGCAGAGATCACAACACCGTACTCCAGCTTGGGTGACAAAGTGAGACTCCATCTCAAAAAATAAAAAACAAAAACCAAAACCAGAGCTGTGACGTGGGATGCACTGGCAGCAAGCAGCCCCAACAGTGAGGATATTTTCAAGGGAATTAGGTTGCTGGAGAAACTGCAAGCCTACCCTGCAGAAGTCTGTAGCTAGAGTGTTCTTAGCAACATTCTAACACCCTAAATATCTAGCAACAGAAGACTCACACAAACAATAATGCACAGAAAAAAAACTGCCACACATAAAAGCACAGGTGGACCTCACAACAGACGAAGTGCTGAGCAAAAGCAGCCAGGCACAAAAGAGCTCATATTGTACGACTCCATTTACATAAAGCTAGAAAACAGAGAGCCAATCCCTGGTGGAAGGATGTAAGCTGCAATGGTGTTCAGGAGACACTGTCACTGGCAGGGGCACATGGTGGTGCCCTGAGTCACACAGGTGCTCACTTTGGAAAAGCTGACTGGACCCGGAATTATGCGACCTCACGCAGGCACTGGGATGCTCTATCCAACCCCGCTGTGGAGGGCAATGCCCCAGCCTGCAGTCTGGGAATCCTCACTCTGGGAACTGCTTCCAAGAAGGGGACTCCACCCGCCCAGTGCCAAGCCCTCTCCCAGTTATCCACTGCTCCAAAAACAATTTACACAAACTCAGCAGCTTAAAGCAGCATGCATTTGTTACCCTACAGTTCTGCAGGTCACACATCCAGGCCAGGCCAGCTGGGATCTCCACGCAGGGTCACGCAAAGCTGCAACTGTATGTCATCGGGCTGAGCTCTCATCTGGAGGCCCTGGGGAAAACTGGTTTCCAAACTCATTCAGATTTCGTGGCAGAATCCAGTTCCCTGCAACTGTAGGACTAAGAACCCTGTGTGCTTACTGGCTGTGAGCAGGAGCCGCCCCTAGGGGCCACCTGAATCTCAAGGCAGGCACAGCACATCACATTTTTCTCACGCATCTAATCTCAGCCTCTGTTCTCCAACCAGATGGAGGAACCTCTGCTTCCCAGGGTCTGTGTGATTAGGTCAGGCTCTCCCAGACGACCTCCCTTCTCACCTCACTGACCTGGGACCTCCCGACATCTGCAAGTCTCTTCATGACAGTACCAGATGAGTGTCTGAATGAGTAACTGGAAGAAGGGGTGTGTACATTAGGGGCCAGGAATCTAAGAGACCACCTCAGAACTCTGCCCTCCACACCCATGCCAGGTGCCCGGCAGGTAACAGGAATCTAAAACTACTGTCACTGTTTGGGGCACCATGAACCGCACCCATATAAGAAGCTGAATTATCAATGTGTGTTTCCTACATCCACCACCAACCGGCTGTTCCCCATCTCTCCCTTTCCTCCAGCCTCCCCCTTCCCTGGATATAACAATATTGAGATTAGGCTAATTAGTAACCTTACCATGGCCTCTCACGTGAAAGGAGGAATCCCACATCTCTCACTTTAAACCAAAAGCTAGAAATGATTAAGCTTTGTGAGGAAGGCATGTCTAAAACTCAGTCAGAAAGCCGGGCCTCTTGCATCAAACGGCTGAGCGGCAATGCAAAGGAAAAGCCCCAGAAGGAAATTAAACGAGCTGCTCCAGTGAACACACAAATGACAGGATAGCAAGACAGCCTTATTGCTGATGTGGAAGAAGTCTGAGTGGTCTGGAGAGATTAAAACAACAACTTTGCCCGACAGCTGGTGTGACTGGCAACCAAAGCTGAATCCACAGCAAGGTCCTAACCGTCCTCAATTCTATGAAGGCCGAGACGGGTGAGGGAAGCTGCGGAAGAAAAGCAGAAAACCAGCAGAGGTTGGTTCATGAGGTTTAAGGAAAGAAGTCACTTCCACACATAGAAGTGCAAGGTGAAGCTGCAAGCTTTACGGGAGAAACTGAAGCAAGTTCTCCAGATCTAGCTAAGATGGTTGACTAAGGTGGCTACTCTAAAAAGATTTTCAGTGTGGATAAAACCGCTTTCTATTGGAAGAAGATGGCATCTAGGACTTTCGCAGCTAGAGAGAAGTCAATGCCTGGCTTCAAAGATTGAAAAGGACAGGCTGACTCTCGTTAGGGGCGAATGCAGCTGGTGACGTGAAGCCAATGGTCATTTCCCATTCCAAAAATTCTAGGACCCTTAAGAATGATGCTAAATCCACTCTGCCTGTGTTGGAAATGGAATAACAAAGCCTGGATGACAGTGCATCTGTTTACAGCATGGTTTATGGAGTATTTTAAGCTCACTAATGAGACCTACTGCTCAGAAAAAAAGATTCCTTTCAAAACACTACTCACGGCCGGGCGCGGTGGCTCACGCCTGTAATCCCAGCACTTTGGGAGGCCGAGGCGGGTGGATCACGAGGTCAGGAGATCGAGACCATCCCGGCTAAAACGGTGAAACCCCGTCTCTACTAAAAATACAAAAAAATAGCCGGGCGTAGTGGCGGGCGCCTGTAGTCCCAGCTACTTGGGAGGCTGAGGCAGGAGAATGGCGTGAACCCGGGAGGCGGAGCTTGCAGTGAGCCGAGATCCCGCCACTGCACTCCAGCCTGGGCGACAGAGCAAGACTCCGTCTCAAAAAAAAAAAAAAAGAAAAAAAAAAAAAAAAAAAAAAAAACACTACTCACTGACAATGCTCCTGGTCACCCAAGAGCTCTGATGGAGATGAACAGGGAGACTGATGTTCTTCTTTTGCCAACACAACGTGCATTCTGCAGCCCCTGGCTGGGAGTCACTCCAACTTTCAAGTCTTATTAAGAAATATGTTTCACAAGGCTGTAGGTGCCATAATGATTCCTCTGATGGATCTGGGCAAAGTCAGCCGAAAACCTTCTGGAAAGGAGTCATCATTATAGATGCCACGAAGAACATTCATGATTTATGGGAGGAGGTCAAAACATCAACATTTGGTATTTTGGAAAAACCTGATTCCAGCCCTCATGAATCTTTGAGGGGTTTGAGACTTCAGTGGAGGAAGCAACTATAGATGTGGTGAAAATAGCAAGAGAGCTAGATTTAGAAGTGTAGCCTAAAGATGTCACTGAATTGCTTCAATCTCGTGATCAAACTTGAATGGATGAGGTGCTGCTGCTTTTTTTTTTTTTTTTTTTTTTTTTTTAAAGACAGAGTTTCACTCTCGTTCCCCAGGCAGAGTGGAGTGGTGCAATCTCGGCTCACTGCAACCTCCACCTCCCGGGTTCAAGCAATTCTCCTGCCTCAGCCTCCTGAGTAGCTGGGATTACAGGAGTGCGCCACCACGCCCAGCTAATTTTTGTATTTTTAGTAGAGACGGGATTTGGCTATGTTGGCCAGGCTGGTCTCAAACTCCTGACCTCAGGTGATCCACCTGCCTCAGCCTCCCAAAGTGCTGGGATTACAGGCACGAGCCACCATGCCCGGCTGAGGTGTTGCTTCTTAGAGATGAGGAAAACAAGTACGCTTCTTGACATGGAATCTGCTCCTGGTGAAGATGCCGTGAACACTGTTGAAATGACAACAAAGGATTTTGAAGATTCCATAAACTTAGTTGATAAAACACAGGCAGGGTTTGAGAGGCTTGACTCTAATTTTGAAAGAAGTTCTACTTGGGTAAAATACTAGCGAACAGCTTTGCATGCTACAGAGAAATCTTTTGTGAAAGCAAGATTCCACTGATGTGACAAACTTCATCGTCCCATTTTAAGAAACTGCCAGTCACACCAACCTTCAGCAACCATCACCCTGATCAGTCAGCAGCCATCAAGAAAGGCAAGACCCTCCATCAGCAAAATGATTACAACTTAAGGCTCAGATGATCATCTTTTAGCAATAAAGTATCTTTAAATTATTTACATTTTTAGACATAATGCTATTGCATACTGAATAGTAACCACAGCATACCTAAACGTAACTTTTATATACACTGGGAAGCTAAGAAGTTTCTGTGACTTGCTTTGTTTTGCTATTCACTTTATTGCAGTGGTCTGGACCCACACTGGCACATCCCCATGTGTGGGATGAAAGGTCCACTGGACACTTGGGTAGCCAATGTGGTTCCCTAGCATTCCTGTTTCCTTCTTCCTTTAAGTGTTAGAAACCCCATCAAATTACTAATGACTGCCCCATAAATGACATTTCCTAGTGTCCCCTTAAGTTAGGTGAGTTTGTGACCAAGATGAGGCGAGAAGGGAAGTGATGTGTGCGTGCTGTCCACTCTCTCCCCTCCCCACAGTGCTGATGAGGCAGGGCAGCCAGAGTCCCTGGAGGCCAACCCTACCTTTAAGAGAGAATAAGACAACTCAAGTTTCTTATTTGAAACACCGTATTTGAATCTGTTACAGCAACTTTAACCTACGTCTTAAATAATGCTAATATACAACTCAAAATATTCAGATTCAATTCTCCCCATGATGATAAATTCAAACTGGGCCAGGTGCGGCGGCTCACACCTGTAATCACAGCACTTTGGGAGGCTGAGGCAGGTAGACTGCTTGAGCTCAGGACTTAGAGACCAGCCTGGTCAACATGGTGAAACACAGTCTGTATTTTAAAAAGACAGGCCAGATGCAGTGGCTCACGCCTGTAATCCCAACACTCTGGGAGGCCTAGGCAGGCACATCACCTGAGGTCAGGAGTTCGAGACCAGCCTGACCAACATGGAGAAACCCCCGTCTCTACTAAAAATACAAAATTAGCTGGGCATGGTGGCACATGCTTGTAATCCCAGCTACTTGGGAGGCGGAGACGGGAGAATGACTGGAACCCAGGAGGCGGAGGTGGAGGCTGCAGTGAGCTGAGATCACGCCATTGCACTCCAGCCTGGGCAACAAGAGCGAAACTCCATCTCAAAAATAAATAAATAAAAATAAAAATAAATTAAAAAGGGGGTGGGCCGGACATGGTGGCTCATGCCTGTAATCCCAGCACTTTGGGAGGCCGAGGCAGGCAGATCACCTGAGGTCAGGAGTTCGAGACCAGCCTGGCCAACATGGTAAAACCCCATCTCTACTAAAAATACAAAATTAGCCAGGTGTGGTGGCACACGCCTGTAATCCCAGCTTCTCGAGAGGCTGAGGCAGGAGAATCTCTTGAACCTGGGCGGCAGAGGGTGGAATGAGCTGAGATCGCGCCATTGCACTCCAGCCTGGGCAACAAGAGCAAACCTCTATCTCAAAAAAAAGAAGTGGGAGAACGGTGGGGTGGAGATGTTGGTTTCTTGTTTTGGAACTCAGTTGATACCTTCTGATTTTAAATTTTAAAATGGCTGTTATACTACCTGGAAACAAGCTGTTTATTTTTTTTTATTTGATATATATATATATTTTTTGAGACAGAGTCTCACTCTGTCGCCCAGGCTGGAGTGCAGTGACACAATTTCGGCTCACTGCAATCTCCACCTCCCTGCAATCTCTGTCTCGTGGGTTCAAGCGATTCTCCTGCCTCAGCCTCCCAAGTAGCTGGGATTATGGGCGCCTGCCACCACGCCCGGCTAATTTTTTTGCATTTTTAGTACAGATGGGGTTTCACTTTGTTACCCAGGCTGGTCTCAAACTCCTGACCTCAGGTGATCCACCCACCTCGGCCTCCCAAAGTGCTGGGATTGGATTACAAGTGTGAGCCACCACGGCCGGCCAGAAACAGGGTGTTTCTGTTTACAAGAACATATCTTAAAACCATATGTGTGCCTCTTAATAATTTTCATAATTTTTTTAACTTTTGAGAAAGTTTTTTTTTTTTTTTTAAGACGGAATCTCACTCTGTCGCCCAGGCTGGAGTGCAATGGCATGGTCTCCACTCACTGCAACCTCCACCTCCCAGGTTCAAGTGATTCTCCTGCCTCAGCCTCCTGACTAGCTGGGATTACAGGGGCGTGCCACCACACCTGGCTAACTTTTGTACTTTTAGTAGAGATGGGGTTTCACCATGTTGGTCAGGCTGGTCTCGAACTCTTGACCTCATGATCTGCCCGCCTCTAGAGAAAGTTTTTAAAATTGCAAATATCTTGCTTTGAAGAAACAGTTATCTCAAAAAGGAAATAGCTATCTTCAGTTTTTGCTTAACTTTTTCTTGTATGAATTTAAGTAAAATTAAATCAATACATTTTCATTTAAAGAAACTGACATGAAATGCAAAAAAAAGGAAGCCACCTGACTTGTGGCTCCACACAACAAACTGACTAGCATGGACCCATCTCCTGTTGTAACACAGAATTTGCTGGATAAAACATCACCTGAGGCCAGGCGCGGTGGCTCACGCCTGTAATCCCAGCAGTTTGGGAAGCCGAGGTGGGCAGATCACAAGGTCAGGAGTTCAAGACCAGCCTGACCAATATGGTGAAACCTCGTCTCTACTAAAAATACAAAAATTAGCCGGACGTGGTGCCGTGTGCCTGTAGTCCCAGCAACTCAGGAGGCTAAGGCAGAAGAATCACTTGAATCCGGGAGGCAGGGGGTGCAGTGAGCCGAGATCATGCCACTGCACTCCAGCCTGGGCGACAGAGCAAGACTCCGTCTCAAAAATAAATAAATAAATAAATAAATAAATATCACTTGAAATTGTCTCAACAGCAGATGTTGTGTATCATCAGCAGCCACAGCAGCTCTGGGGTGTCTAGGGGTGTCCCATCTGGCATTAGAAGCCCCCAGCTCTTGCACCCACACTGGTAAGGGGAAATTCCAGCCTCAAGCTCCCAGCCAGAGTCACTGTGTGTTGCTTACAGCCTGAAGAAATTAACAGGATACACCAAGCTTCACCCTCAGGAAACAGGAAAAGCAGAACCAGAGGGCAACCGAGTGAGACGTGGACTAGAGCTCCACTAACATCTGGACCTCCTTGCCCCGCGCCACACCAAGGGGCCTACTGGGCGCCACAGGCTAGGCAGGGAGCGCTTCTGTTCCTAGTGCTCCCCACGATGCCCCGGAAGTTCAGGGAGGTAAGAAGCGTAAGGTCAGAGAACTGGAGCCAGCTGTCAACTGCCCCCGCCCCACCCAGGCCATTTGGCTTCTGCTACCGGCATGCTGCTCAGGGCTCTGCCCAAGGACAACGACGAGCCCCCTGTGTCCTCTCCTGGGTCATCTTCCATGACCCTGAGGCAGCGAAGACAAGCTCGGCAGCTCCCTGAGCTGCTTCACACCAACTACCTATGAGTCTGAGGCCAGCATCCAGGCGCTGCCCAGACCCTGAGAGTCCCTGGACCATGACGTAGCCTGTGTGTGAAGGGAGCAAGACAGCCTTGACAGAAGCACAGAGAACGCCACTGGGATTCTTAAAGACGCGAAGGGAAAAGGGTACCTTCAAGAAAAAGCAGGACAGCGTAGCCACACCACCTCTCCCCATCTGGGAATTCTCCAGGTCCAAGTCTTGTACTTAATTCTAATTCTGCTCATCATGTTTCCCTCCCCACCCCTATCCCCAACAGCACAGAAGATGCTGGCGCTGCATCTCCTCCAGCACCGAGAGGCCTCGAGGCCCCAGGGAGCGGAGGCAGGGTTCAGGCACAGCCGCGGGAACGCCCACACCCAGTCCTGCCACACCGTAAAACATGTCTGCGGCATCAACCTCACGCAGGCCTGGCGGACCTGAAGACTGCGACACGGACACTCAAGCCCGCGGCTCTCCGGCCTGGGCTCAGGGCGGGGGGAAGGAGAGGGAACCAGGGGTACCCACACGGCGCTCCTCAGGGACAAGACCCCAGGCTCGGGCCCGAGGCGGGCTCGCTGGAGAGACGCCGCAGCCTCGCGGGGGCGGCCGTGGCTGCGTCCGGGAGACTGACTAGCCAAGGCCCCGCTCCTGGACGCCCTAGCGGGGCGGGCAGCGGCCTGCGGACCCCGCCCGGCCCTCTCGGCGGACTGTGCCCTGGCAAGGCGGCCGGGCTCCGGAGCCAGCCGGGGCTGCGGCTAAGGCGTTGCCCGCCCCCGTCCGGAACGCGCCACTCACCCGGCGCGGGCGGGGAGAGGACGGCGCGAGCCCGACCCTGCAGCCGCTGACTGGACCCCGCCGGCGCGGGCCCCACAGATCAGCCGACAAAGCCTGCACCGCCGCCAGCCCGCCGCGACCGGAAGTCGCGAGAGGCCCCGCCTGGGAAACTTCCTGCGCCGTTCTAGGAGCGCCAGGGATCGGCTCCCCTCTCAGTGGTGCGGACTTCCGGGCCCGGGGACTAAGACCCCCGGAGGGGCCAGGGGTGTCCGGCAGGAGCGGCGTTGCTACGCGGTTGGGAGGGTTGCGGGCCGGGAAGCGCGGGCTCGGAAACTCGGGTCTGGAGCTCGCGGCGAGGTCCGACCGCAGCCCAAGACCAGCTTCTCAGGAGGCGAGGATCCAGGGGAAGTAAATACCGTGAGGGCCAAACTTCACCTCTCTGCGCCCCAGAGAAGTGGGGAAGCGGCGCGCTGTGGAGTTTTTTGGTTTTCGGGTTTTGGTTTTTTTAAGACAGGGTCTCGCTCTGTCGCCCAGGCTGCAGTGCAGTGGCGCGATCTCGGCTCACTGCAGCCCCGACCTCCCGGGCTCAGGTGGTCCTCCCATCTCGGCCTCCCAAAGTGCTGGGACCAGAGGCGCGCGCCACCGCGCCGGCTCATTGATTCTTGGTAGACATTACTCATTGCTAGAATGAGTCACAGTCCGAAATAATCGAAATAATTACATTCCCCTGCCCCCCCCCCCCACCAAAAAAACATTATATTCGTATTTTGGGTTTTCTTTTTCCATTTTTCTGCTAGCACTGAGGAAACTTGTTTACCTAAATTGTTAGATAGGATTGGGAGGAATTTTGTTTTAGCAATGACGCTCAATTTATTTTTATTTTTATTTTTTGAGATGGACTCTCGCTCTGTCACCAGGCTGGAGTGCTGGAATGCAGTGGCGTGATCTCTGCTCACTGCAACCTATGGCTCCCTGATTCAAGCGATTCTCCTGCCTCGGCCTCTGGAGTAGCTGGGATTACAGGCATGCGCCACCACGCACAGCTAATTTTTGTATTTTTAGTAGAGACAGAGTTTCACCTTGTTGGCCAGGATGGTCTTGATCTCCTGACCTCGTGATCCACCCGCCTTGGCCTCCCAAAGTGCTGGGATTACAGGCGTGAACCGCTGTTCCCAGCCGACGCTCAATTTCTTTAGCTCTTTCTGACTTATATGCAAAAAACATAACAGCAGTTTATCACCAAGTGTACTTAATGACCTGTCAGTTGACCACTTGAATAGGTCCTTTTTAAATTTTGACAGAAGCAAACAAAGAATTAGAAGTAACCTAAAGTGCAAAACTACATGAAGTCTTTCCCAGCCAATAAATTCACCTACTTTCTTAAAATCAACTGCAGAGTTTTGAATTGTCCCTTTGATGAGGAGGACAGCCCAGGTACCAAGGCCAGGTACCAGGGTGAATAAAGGAAGAGAAGCAACGTGGGAGAAGGAGCTGTGGCCAAGGGGGACACGCTAGGCGCGTGCCCTCATCCAAGGACCTTCTACAGGAATTCCAGGGCAGAATCCATGTGGAACTCCTGCTGTGATTCTCCAGGGGCTCCCCGGCTCTTGGAAAGGCTTCTGTGTTCCAGGGGTGTGTGTGAAAGCCCTACATTGAGCGACCCCACCTCTCATCCAGGCCCGGAGACCTTGGCTGCTGCAACCCTATTGCCAGCTTACCATGGGACCCAGCTCTTAAGGCGAGAAGGGCTTGAGGCCTCTTCCCCACAGGGCTTACAGACCTTTCAGCCTCCCTGTCCGCAGGCCCAAAGAGCTTGAGAACACCGCCTGAGCAGGTTGTCACAGATCAAAATCTGCCTTGTACACCTGACGCCTGCCACTTCAACCCCACCAACAGCTAACACATGGCTGCAGCTTGGCACTTAATACTTTTTTTTTTTTTTTTTTTTTGAGACAGAGTCTCTCTCTGTCACCCAGGCTGGAGTGCAGTGGCGCGATCTCGGCTCACTGCAAGCTCTGCCTCCCGGGTTTATGCCATTCTCCTGCCTCAGCCTCCCGAGTAGCTGGGACTACAGGCACCCGCCACCACGCCCGGCTAATTTTTTGTTTTTTAGTGGAGACAGGGTTTCACCATGTTAGCCAGGATGTTCTCGATCTCCTGACCTCGTGATCCACCCGCCTCGGCCTTCCAAAGTGCTGGGATTACAGGCCTGAGCCACCATGCCCGGCTGGCACTTAATACTTTGAGTTTACTTGTTTGGTACTGATTGTCCCTGCCAGTAGAAAGGAAGCTCCGTAAGGTCAGGGACCCCCGTCTCGTTCCATGTCTAGCCCAGTGCCTGGCCCATGTGGACCTCAGCAACTGTGGTGGATGCTGCGATGAGAGGCCCCGGGAGACCCCTCCAGTGACAGGCTGGGTGTCCCAGTTGTTCAGGGTGTGGTAAGCGGCCTTCAGCCATCAGCTGCAACTCGCCAGGGTCACACCCTTCCCTGGGACAGCCCACATTGCAAAGTCCTGGACATCCTGGTCCAACCGAGGACAGCCCTGAGGACCACTTCTGTGGCAGAGCTCCCTGTGGGGGACCAGTAGCCGCTGTGCTTGATGGCATCACAGCCCCACTCCTGCCTCTTGTGTCTTCCCCTCCACAGGTCCAACATCACTCCGTGAAAGTCTGCTCCCCACCTAGGAGCCCCCTCGAGCCACAGCAGCCTTGCCAGGTGACTTCTAATATTATCTCCATTTTATAGATGAGGAAACAGAAATAGGGAAACCAAATGGCTCACCTAAGGTATCAGCCAGGACATGCTGGAGGAGGCCTCAGATGTAGCCATCTGCCTCCAAAGCCCTTGACCTAGAGCAAGTACAATGCCAAAACCAAGGAGTGTGGCTGGAAGGCAAAAGGCCCGAGGGGAGGCTGCCATGCAAGATGAGGCTGGCGCTGTTGCCATAACCAGAGCTCAAGAAAGGAAAGCTGTCCAAAGAAACTGCATTCAGCCAGAAAGGGAATTTATAGGGATTTGAGGGGACGGAGCCATTCTGAAGACAAAGCAGAAATTCTGATAAAAGATCCCAAAACATAGTTTCAAGCTATCTGGGATGTGGGGTTTAGGAAAACAGGCCATGGGTGGTCTTGGTACGGGAGCAAGCACAAAACTGTCTGGGAAATGTCCCTGAGGAAGGCCACTGTGTCTTCGGGCCATGAGCAGAGCTTTCCTGCTTTGGGCGAATGGAGTCTGGGGACAAGTTGATGACAATGGAGGGCTGAAGACAGCTTGGGAATTAGTCTTTCCGAGATAACTACTGGGTGGGGCAGATTGTGTGGTCCCGGTCCAAGCCACACAGGAAGCCCACACTGGCTTCTGAGCAGGAGTGTAACAAAAGCCAGATGACACTGGAAAGACACGTTGGCTGCGTGGTGACCACAGAGGACAGGGTGAGGACGGTGGCAATGGCAGCCACACAGCAGAGCACCTGGGGTGAGACTGGACCGAGCCAGGAAGAGGCAGGGACTGGCTCTGAAGGCCGAGGGAGGGTTCACAGGAGGGTGGGGAGTGGGCAGGAAGCTGACATCCATGGTGACGCAGGGTGGGGCAGGTGGGAGAAAGGTGAAAGAAGAACAGAAGGTCACTTTGGGATGTAAGTTTGAGACCTTGCTGCTAAGTGAGGCCAAAAAATTAAAAGATTTTTAAAATCTGCTGGTAGCTGGAGAAGGACCCGAGACGTGCAGATGGGAGTTGTGGCAGTAGTGGCCATCTTGAGGGACAGACACCGGGAGAAAACGAGTGATGCGTGCAAGGAGGGGCATCGCTGAGCCCACACAAGACTCAAGATGGATGAGACAGAGGCGGCCTCAGGTGCCTGCAGGTGGAGAGAGAAGGTAGGGGTGGCCTGGAGGCAGGTCTCTTCTGAGTATCACAAAGCACATCCAAAAGTAAATGATGCCGGGTGTGGTGGCTCTCGCCTGTAATCCCAGCACTTTGGGAGGCTGAGGTGGGTGGATCAGCTGGACCAACATGATGAAACCTCGTCTCTACTAAAAATACAAAAATTAGCTGGGTGTGGTGGCACGCGCCTGTAATCCCAGCTACTTGGGAGGCTGAGGTAGGATAATTGCTTGAACCTGGAAGGTGGAGGTTGCAGTGAGCCAAGATCATGCCATTGCACTACAGCCTGGGCAACAAGAGTGGAACTCTGTCTCTAAAAAAGAAAAAAAGAAAATGAGGTAGGAGGTGGAGCTCAACTCCGGAGGCAGGGCTTGGACATGGGACCAAACTGAGGACTAGCTAAAACAGGTCCAGGGCAGAAGAGCCTCCTGTAAGGCACACCCACCAGTGTGCCATATCAGTTTACCATTGCCATGGCAACACCGGAAGCTACCGCCTCTTTCCATGGCAACAAACAGACAATGCAGAACTTACCAAGCTAATTCTAGAAATTTCTTTTTTTTTTTTTTTTTTTTTGAGACAGGTTCTCACTCTGTTGCCCAGGCTGGAGTGCAATGGCGTGATCTCGGCTCACTGCAGCCTCTGCCCCCAGGGTTCAAGTGATTCTCCTGCCTCAGCTTCCTAAGTAGTGGGACCACAGGCGTGCGCTACCACACCTGGTTAATATTTGTATTTTTAGTAGAGATGGGTTTCACCATGTTGGTCAGGCTGGTCTCGAACCCCTGACCTCAGGTGATCTGCCTGCCTTGGCCTCCCAAAGTGCTGGGATTACAGGCATGAGCCACCTCACCTGGCCTAATTCTAGAAATTTCTGCATAAGCTACCCCTTAATTTGCATATGATTAAAAGTGGATATACATGTGACTGCAGAAGTGCCTCTGAGCTGCTTCCCTGGGCTCACTGCCTATGGGGTAGCCCTGTCTGCAAGGAGCAGTCCCTCTGCTGCTGCTGTACACGCCACTTCAATCAAAGGTGCTTTGAACACCATAGGCTCGCTCTTGAATTCTTTCCTGGGCAAAGCCAAGAACCCTCGTGGGCTAAGCCACAATTTTGGGGCTCGCCTGCCCTTCATCAAAAATATTTTTTTAAAAGATCTCTGGCCGGGTGCGGTGGCTCACACCTGTAATCCTAGCACTTTGGGAGGCTGAGGTGGGCGGATCACCTGAGGTCAGGAGTTCAAGACCAGCCTGGCTAACATGGTGAAACCCCATCTCTTCTAAAAATACAAAATTAGCTGGGTGTGGTGGCGCGCGCCTATAATCCCAGCTACTTGGGAGGCTGGGGCAGGAGAATCGCTTGAACCCAGGAGGCAGAGGTTGCAGTGAGACAAGATCACACCATTGCACTCCAGCCTGGGCAACAGAGTGAGACTCCATATCCAAAAAAAAAAAAAAAAAAAAAACTCTATGGTTAAAAGTCAGCTTAACTGAAAGCTGAGGTTCAAGCTCCTCCCTCCTCTGCTGTCTTGGTATCACAAGATGTCCAGTGTCTCAGACCCCTTAAGGAACACAGAAAAAGGTGGCACTCACACCCTTTTGGGTCGTCCTGTGGAGGCTGAAGAGTCATGGACAGGGTCCTCTCAGGTCTAAAACTCTGCTCTCTTTGTATTGTATCACCTGATCTCTTTGGCTTTGGGGGGCACCAGAGATTACTTTGTTTTTTGTTTTTTGTTTTTTTTATTTATTTATTTTTTTTATTTTTTATTTTTTGAGATGGAGTCTGGCTCTGTTGCCCAGGCTAGAGTGCAATGGCACGGTCTCAGCTCACTGCACCCTCCACCTCCCGGGTTCAAGCGATTCTCCCACCTCAGTCTCCTGAGTAGCTGGGATTACAGGCAACCACGACCACGCCAGGCTACTTTTTGTATTTTTGTAGAGACGGGGTTTCACCATGTTAGCCAGGCTGGTCTTGAACTCCTGACCTCAGTTGATCCACCAGCCTCGACCTCCCAAAGTGCTAGGATTACAGCTGTGAACCACTGCACCTGGCCACCAGAGATTACTTTGTACTGTGAGACACTATGTGCTTTTGCGTGTGTGATGGCTAGTTAGTCATAGGTGAGAGCTGCAGTTTTGGAGGTGGCTGACAGCAGTGGTCTGCAGTGAGTGTTAATTACACAGGGGGCTGTGCAGTTTTGGAGGTGGCCAACAGCAGTGGTTCACAGTGAGTGTGTGTGTGTGTGTGTGTGTGTGTGTGTGTGTGTTGTTTTGTTTTGTTTGAGACGGAGTCTCGCTGTGTCGCCCAGGCTGGAGTGCAGTGGCACGATCTCAGCTCACTGCAACCTCTGCCTCAGGTTCAAGCAATTCTCCTGTCTCAGCCTCCCGAGTAACTGGGACTACAGGCACCCACCACCACGCCAGCTAATTTTTGTATTTTTATTAGAGACGGGGTTTCACCATATTGGTCAGGCTGGTCTCGAACTCCTGACCTCAGGTGATCTACCAGTCTCGGCCTCCCAAAGTGCTGGGATTACAGGCATGAGCCACTGCACCTGGCGTCTCGTTCCGTTGCCCAGGCTGGAGTGCAGTAGTGTGATCTTGGCTCACTGCAACCTCCGCCTCCCAGGTTCAAGCAATTCTCCTACCTCAGTCTCCGGAGAAGCTAGGATTACAGGCGCCTTCCACCATACCCGGCTAATTTTGTTATATTTTTGGTAGAGGCTGGGTTTCACCATGTTGCCCAGGGTGGTCTC
Organism: Homo sapiens; assembly: GCF_000001405.40. Lineage (NCBI taxonomy): Eukaryota > Metazoa > Chordata > Mammalia > Primates > Hominidae > Homo > Homo sapiens. Next base: position 143,629,530 of record NC_000008.11, on the reverse strand, counting down.
GAACTCCTGACCTTGTGAACCACCCACCTCAGCCTCCCAAAGTGTTGGGATTACAGGCATGAGCCACCACACCTGGCCAATTTTTTTTCTTTTACATAGGAGAATTTTGTGTGGTCAAAATAATGGGGGAAGGAAAACAATTTTGGTCCTAGTACAGAATGCCAATATAAAAAGGAAGTATAGGCTAAAACTGGAGGGGTAGTGAGTTGTGCAAGGTTTGTGGAAGATGAATCTTGTGGAAAGAATTTTCTGGCTGGGCTCAGTGGCTCACACCTGTAATCCCAGCACTTTGGGAGGCCAAGGTGGGAGGACTGCTTGAGCTCAGGACTTCAAGATAAGCCTGGGCAACATAGCAAGACCTCATCTCTACTAAAAATCCAAAGAATTAGCCAGGTGTGGTGGCACATACCTGTAGTCCTAGCTACTCAAAAGGCTGCGGCGGGAGGATTGCTTGAACCTAGGAGTACAAGGCTGCAGTGAGCCACGTTCACGCCACTGTACTCCAGCCTGGGCGACAGAGTGAGCCACGTTCACGCCACTGTACTCCAGCCTGGGCGACAGAGTGAGCCACGTTCACACCACTGTACTCCAGCCTGGGCGACAGAGTGAGCCACGTTCACGCCACTGTACTCCAGCCTGGGCGACAGAGTGAGCCACCTTCACGCCACTGTACTCCAGCCTGGGCGACAGAGTGAGCCACGTTCACGCCACTGTACTCCAGCCTGGGCGACAGAGTGAGCCACGTTCACGCCACTGTACTCCAGCCTGGGCGACACAGTGAGCCACGTTCACGCCACTGTACTCCAGCCTGGGCGACACAGTGAGCCACGTTCACGCCACTGTACTCCAGCCTGGGCGACACAGTGAGCCACGTTCACGCCACTGTACTCCAGCCTGGGCCACAGAGTGAGACCTTGTCCCAAAAAAAATAAGACGCCAACATGGGTGAAACCCCTTATCTACTAAAAATACAAAAATTAGCCGGGCATGATGGTGCACCCTGTAATCCCAGCTACTCGGGAGGCTGAGACAAGAGAATCGCTTGAACCTGAGAGGCGGAGATTACAGTGAGCTGAGATCGCGCCACTGCACTCCAGCCTGGCGACAGAGCAAGACTCCATCTCAAAAAAAGAAAAGAAAAGAAAAGAAAAAAGTGTGTGTGATCAAGATGGCTAAAATTAGAAGGGGATCATTTAGTTTTACTAAAAATTGAGCATTAATATACAAAGCACACAGATGCAGAGCCAGAGTCTGGGCCCTGTGTTGGAATAACAGAGTTTTCCTGGAGCATTGATCCGCTCTTTAATAGAAAGTTGTAAAAGGTTATAAAATGTTTTTGGAAATCTTATCTTCTGTGATAAAAACTGAAATCGGATAGATATGTTTATAAAGTTATATTAAAATTAACTTTAGGGGCCGGGCACGATAGCTCACACCTGTAATCCCAGCACTTTGGGAGGCCAAGGTGGGCGGATCACCTGAGGTCAGGAGTTCGAGACCAGCCTGGCCAACATGGTGAAACCCTGTCTCTACTAAAAATACAAAAATTAGCCAGGCATTAAGGCAGGCACATGTAATCCCAGCTACTCGGGAGGCTGAGGCAGGAGAATCACTTGAACCCAGGAGGTGGAGGTTGCAGTGAGCCGCGATCATGCCACTGCACTCCAGCTTGAGTGACAGAGTAAGACTCTGTCTCAAAAAAAAAAAAAATTAACTTTAGTATTAGTAGTATACTGATGCAAAGATAAAAATTGGTTTTCTCTTTAGAGAAAGATTATTGGAGGTATTAATAAGAAATCATTTAAAATGGTTTACCTTTGGAGTAAAAAAACAGAGGGACTGGGCACAGAGGCTCACGCCTGTAATCCCAGCACCTTGGGAGGCCAAGGCAGGCAGATCACTTGAGGTCAGGAGTTTGAGACCAGCCTGGCCAACATGGTGAAGCCCTGTCTCTACTAAAAATACAAAAATTAGCTGGGCATGGTGCCAGGGCCTGCAATCCCAGCTACTTGGGAAGCTGAGGCAGGAGAATTGCTTGAACCCAGGAGGCAGAGGTTGCAGTGAGCCGAGATGGTGCCACTGCACTCCAGCCTCGGCCACAGAGAGAGACTCCATCTCAAAAACAAAAAAGTTAATTAATTAAATTAAAATTTAAAAATACAAAAAATGCCATGTAATACATCGACTCTCCTGAAGTTGCCTACATCCCCCTGCATCTCCCCTGTGCTGAGAGTGTCAGAGCTTCTAGATCTCCCTGGGTTTAGTGTAGATATTTACTTTTCTTTCCTGGGATGGCCCTGTGCATGGAAGATATTTGTCCACCTTTTCTCCTGTTCATCTGCCTGTGGTCAATTGATCCACAGGCTCAGGTATCAAATGCTCAGAGGGTGGAGGGGAAGTTCTCCGTCCCCGTCAGGGCACTCATCTGCACAGGCAGGATGTGTACGCAGGCCTGCAGACACCTCGTGGGGCTGCCCCAGCTAATTGCCACAAAACAACGCAAGGTTATTGTCCTGTGGTTCTAGAAGCTAGACGTTCAAAATCAGGGTGTCTGTAGCACTGTGCTCCCTCCAAAGGATCTAGAGAGGAATCTTTGCAGCCTCTTCCCGATTCTGGTGATGGCCGGCAATCCTTGGCACTCTCTGGCTGTAGCGGCATCTCTCCAACAGCTGCCTCTATCATCACGGAGCCGTCTTCTCCCTGTGTCCAGATTTCCTCTCTTTATAAGAATATCGGACCGGGCGCAGTGGCTCAAGCCTGTAATCCCAGCACTTTGGGAGGCCGAGGCGGGCGGATCACGAGGTCAGGAGATGGAGACCATCCTGGCTAAAACGGTGAAACCCTGTCTCTAGTAAAAATACAAAAAAAATTAGCCGGGCGAGATGGCAGGTGCCTGTAGTCCCAGCTACTCAGGAGGCTGAGGCAGGAGAATGGCGTGAACCCCGGGGGGCGGAGCCTGCAGTGAGCCGAGATCATGCCACTGCACTCCAGCCTAGGCGACAGCGAGACTCCGTCTCAAAAAAAAAAAAAAAAAAAAAGAATATCGGGCCGGGCACAGTGGCTTACGCCTGTAATCCCAGCACTTTGGGAGGCCGAGGCGGGCGGATCACCTGAGATCGGGAGTTCAAGACCAGCCTGACCAATATGGAGAAACCCCATCTCTACTAAAAATACAAAAAATTAGCCGGGCGTGGCGGCGCATGCCTGTAATCCCAGCACTTTGGGAGGCCAAGGCAGGAGGATTGCCTGAGCTCAGGAGTTTGAGACCAGCCTGGGCAACACGGTGAAACTCCATCTCTACTAAAATACAAAAAGTTAGCCGGGCGTGGCAGCATGCTCCTGTAATCCCAGCTACACTGGAGGCTGAGGCAGGAGAATTGCTTGAACCCGGGAGGTGGAGGTTGCACTGAGCCAAGATCGCGTCATTGCATTCCAGTCAGGGCGACAGAGAGACTCTGTCTCAAAAACAAAAAAAAAAAAGGCCAGGCGTGGTGGCTCATGCTTGTAATCCCAGCACTTTGGGAGGCCAAGGCAGGCAGATCATGAGGTCAGGAGATCAAGACCATCCTGGCTACAGTGAAACCCCGTTTCTACTAGAACTACAAAAAATTAGCCGGGCGTGGTGGCAGGCACCTATAGTCCCAGCTACTCGGGAAGCTGAGGCAGGAGAATGGCGTGAACCTGGGAGGTGGAGGTTGCAGTGAGCCAAGATGGCACCAGTGCACTCCAGCCTGGGCGACAGAGGTAGACTCTGTCTCAGAAAAAAAAAAAAAAAATCAGTCACTGGATTTGGGCCCACCCTACCTCCATATGACCTCATGTTAACTTGATGACATCTGCAAAGACCCCATTCCCAAAAAGGTCACCTTCACCAGTAAGTTGGGGGTTAGGAGTTGAATATAGCTTTTTGGTTGATGTAATTCAACCCACAGCACTGCCTTTTTCATTCCATGTTATGTTTTTTGAGATTTTTGAGATTTGCCAATATATGAAGCTATAAATTATCAGTGAAAATAAATAATTCAAAATCTAAGCTGTTGAAACTCTAAATTATTTTAAGCCTTAAAAGAATGATTATGAGACAAGGCCCGGTGGCTCATGCCTGTAATCCCAGCACTTTGAGAGGCTGATGGGGGTGGATCACTTGAGGTTAGGGGTTCAAGACCAGGCTGGCCAACGTGGTGAAACCCTGTCTCTACTAAAAATACAAAAATTAGCTGGGTGTGGTGGTGTGTGCCTCTAGTCCCAGCTACTTGGGAGGGTGAGGCAGGAGAATTGTTTGAACCTGGGGGGCAGAGGTTGCAGTGAGCTGAGATCACGCCATTGCACTCCAGCCTGGGCGACAGAGCAAGACTCCATCTCAAAAAAAAAAAAAAAGAATGCTTATAGACCTGAGTCATGTGACAGACAGTTGTATGTAACCTAGGCAACTAGAACCTTTTTTTTCTCTGATTTTAGATTAAGCCTTCTTCCTTGCATGCATTGTTTCGTAAAAGGCTGTAAATGGCTGAAGGGTACCAGGGAAGAGCCCTTGCCTCTCCAATGTTGACTTTCACTGTAGATTAACCTCCTTCTCAGCTGCCTCACACAAAGGCTTTATGGCTCTCAAGTTGTATTAAGATGGAATGTTAAATATACTCTTTTAAGTTAGAAAGGAAATGAAAACATGCTGTAGGGAAAAGAAAACACACTGAAACCAACTAATTAATTTGTCGTACCTCTTAAACCAGCCTTGTATAGAAAATTTTGTAATCCAGGTAAACGTCTTTGTTTTCTGTCTCTAATAAGCAAGAACTTAACTTTTAACTTTGGAACTGATATGGTTTGGCTGTGTCCCCACCCAAATCTCATCTGGAATTCCCACGTGTTGTAGGAGGAACCTGGTAGGAAGGTAATTGAATCTCAGGGGCAGGTCTTTCCTGTGCTGTTCTCGTGATAGTGAGTATGGCTCACAGGATCTGATGGTTATATAAAGGGGAGTTTCCCTGCACAAGCTCTCTTGCCTGCCACCATATGAGACATGCCTTTCACCTTCCATCATGATTGTGAGGCCTCCCCAGCCACATGGAACTCTAAGTCCAATAAACCTCTTTCTTTTGTAAATTGCCCAGTCTTGGGTATGTCTTTATCAGCAGTGTGAAAGCAGACTAATACAGGAACATTGAACCCATTTCTCTGCAGTCAGTGTCTCCTAGGTAGCTATTCCCAGCTTTTTGCCTGAATAAACTCTTTAAAACTAATTCTGGGTTGGGCATGGTGGGTCAGTCCTGTAATTCCAGCACTTTGGAAGGCCAAGGCAGGAAGACTGCTTGAGTCCAGGAGTTTGAGGCCAGCCTAGGCAAAATAGGGAGAACTCGGCCGGGCGCAGTGGCTCACGCCTGTAATCCCAGCACTTTGGGAGGCCAAGGCGGGCAGATCATGAGGTCAGGAGATCGAGACCATCCTGGCTAACACGGTGAAACCCCGTCTCTACTAAAAATACAAAAATTAGCCAGACACGGTGGCGGGCATCTGTAGTCCCAGCTACTCGGGAGGCTGAGGCAGGAGAATGGTGCGAACCCGGGAGGCGGAGCTTGCAGTGAGTCGAGATAGTGCCACTGCACTCCAGCCTGGGCGCTAGAGTGAGACTCCGTCTCAAAAAAAAAAAAAAAAATAGGGAGACCTCATCTTTACAAAAAAATGCAAGAATTAGCTGGGTGTGGTGGTGCACACCCCTAGTTCCAGCTACTCAGGAGGCCAAGGTAGAAGGATTGCTTGGACCCAGGAGGCCAAAGATTCAGTGAGCCATGATTGGCCACTGCACTCCAGTGGGCAGTTGAATTTTTGTTTTGTTTTGTTTTGTTCTGGGACAGGGTCTAGCAATAGAGCAAGACCCTGCCTCAAAACAAAATAATACAAAACTGATTCTGGGCCAGGCGCAGTGGCTCACGCCTATAATCCCAGCGCTTTGGGAGGCCGAGGCAGGCAGACCACCTGAGGTCAGGAGTTTGAGACCAACCTGACCAACATGGAGAAACCCATCTCTACAAAAAAAAAAAAAAAAAAAAAAATTAGCCATGTTGGTGCATGTCTGTAATCCCAGCTACTCAGGTGGCTGAGGCAGGAGAATCACTTGAACCCAGGAGGCAGAGGTTGCGGTGAGCCGAGAGCACGCCATTGAACTCCAGCCTGGGCAGCAAGAGCGAAACTCCATCTCAAAACAAAACGACACAAAAAAACTGATTCTAACCTTTTGATTACTTCAGGCTGACATATCCATTTTCACAGAAAAATAGTTTCTGGTATCAACATCACTTATCCATCCATTCTCCTGTCCAGGCCGTCAGTGCTGTCTGCATCTTTTTGCTTTACTGCAGGGCTGCTGTGGAATTCCTGCGCCGTCTCCCAGTGCACACACAGGACACCCTCTCTGGTAGACTCTGGGAGCGTCGCTGCTGTGCAGACAGGGATCGGCCTGCGACTCTGCGAGGGGGACCTCCTGTCTCGTAGTGTCTGTGCCACCTGTAGCTCTGCGTCCTCACCAACCCTAGGCACCATCTGATGGTTAAATGGGCCAATCTGATGGATATAAAATGCTCTTTTTGTGGTTTTAGGGTTTTTTTACTCCCCTCTCCCTCTCTTTGTGGTTTTAATTTGTATTTCCGCCGGACATAGTGGTTCACACCTGTCATCCCAGCACTTTGAGAGTTAATTAATTAACTTCCTTCACCATATTGGCCAGGCTGGTCTTGAACTCCTGACCTCGTGATCCGCCCGCCTCAGCCTCCCAAAGTGCTGGGATTACAGGCGTGAGCCACCGCACCTGGCCGATTGGGTTTTTTTGTTTGATTTGAGACAGGGCCTCACTCTGTCGCCCAGGCTGGAGTGCAGTGGTGTAATCATAGCTCACTGCAGCCTCGACCTCCTGGGCTCAAGTGATCCTCCCACCTCAGCCTCCCAGGTAGCTGGACCCACAGGCATGCAGCACCATATCCAGCTAATTTTTTTTTTTGAAACGGAGTCCCACTCTGTTGCCCCTGCTGGAGTGCAGTGGCACAACCTCAGCTCACTGCAACCTCTACCTCCCGGGTTCAAGCAATTCTCATGCCTCAGCCTCCTGAGTAGCTGGGATTACAGGCGCCCCTCACCATGCCTGGCTAATTTTTTTTTTGTATTTTTAGTAGAGACAGGGTTTTACCATGTTGGCCAGGATGGTCTCGAACCCCTGACCTCAGGTGATCTGCCCACCTCAGCCTCCCAAAATGCTGGGATTACAAGGGTTAGCCACCGTGCCTGGCCTCTGGCTAATTTTTTATTTTTTGTAGAGACGGGGTCTCACTATGTTGGCCAGGCTTGTCTCAAACTTCTGGCCTCAAGGGTGATACCTCCACCTCGCAAAGCACTGTGATTACAGGCGTGAATTACTGGCCTGGTACATTGTTTTAATTTGTTACTAAGAGATGTGGATTCAACTGCACATCTGAGACCAGTGATATTCCTTATAAGAGGGATCCCCAACCCCCAGGCTATGGACCAGTTCCGGTCTGTGGCCTGTTAGGAACTGGGCCACATAGCAGGAGGTGAGGCCAGGCGAGTGAGCATTTCAGCTTGAACTCTCCCTCCTCTGGTATCAGTGTGGCATCAGATTCTCATCGGAGCACCAACCCTATTGTGAACTGTGCAGACAAGGGATCTAGGTTGTGCGCTCCTTATGAGAATCCAATGCCTGAGGATCTGAGGTGGAACAGTTTCGTCCTGAAACCACCCCCGCCCTGGTCCATGGAAAAATTGTCTTCCACAAAACCAATCCCCGGTGCCAAAAAGGCTGTGGACCGCTGCCTTAAAACAATTCAAAATTACAAATGCTATTATTATCTCTTCTTTTTCTTAAGAGAAAAGTTCTCACTCCGTCCCCAGGCTAGAGTGCCGTGGCACAATCACAGCTCACTACAGCTTCAAACTCCTGGGCTCAAGGGATCCTCCTGCTTTAGCCTCCCAAAGATGCTGGGATTGTAGGCATGAGCCACCGCGCCCGGCCCAATATTTCTTAAGTTCGCCCAAAGATGGAACATCTTGAAGAAATCTGGATCCGTTTTGACCTTGAACCCTTCCCTGCTTGGACACAGAATAGGAATAGTGACATGTCAAAAGCATCAGATACGATGTAGACAGGATTTGAGAAGCTCTGAGAGAGAAGGGAAATGGTGTAGGATACCCAGATGAATACCTAATTGTCTTTCATGGGAAACAAAATTAATTTTGAATGTTCACTGCCACAGCTATTTGATATGAACTGTAGGTCATTAATAATGTTAGAGAAAGCTCACCAAAACCCAAGCAGAAAGACTGACAAATTCACTTTCGAAAGGATTTTAAAACACATTTCTTTAATTTTAGAGAAAATATTTTTCTAAATTGAAAAAGCTGCACATGAAATACACAAGAGTGGCATACCAATAAAATAGGGGAAATTGGCACAAAAATGTTTGTATGACTATGAAGGAGAAAATTCTCACATAAATAATCCTAAGGTAATTTTAGCATAAAGGATTTTCTGACTGTTAGAGATTAAGGTATAGGGCCAATCAAAGAGAGATGTGAACAGACAGACTATCTTCCTGCTCTTTTTCTTTTTGTTTACAATACTCCAGCACTGGGAAGCCTGAAGGAGCATGAGAAAGACTGTTGCTGTAAGACACGGCGCTATCTATGGCCTGAATATTTGTTATCTGTTGAAATCCTAACCCCGAAGGTGATGGTATGAGGAGGTGAGGACTTTGGGATGGGATGACTGCTCTCATAAAGGAGGCTAGAGAAAGGCTCCTGGCCCTTTCCAGCAGGCGAGGACACAGATGCCATCTTGAACCAGGAAGTGGCCACACCAGACACGGAATCTGCCAGCACCTGGTTCCTGCACTTCCCAACCTCCAGATCTGTGAGAAATAAATTTCTGTTGTTTACAGCCATCCACTCTGTGCTTCAGAGACCTGAACAGACTAAGACAGATGGTGAGCAGCGCTCTATAAAGGTGGTGATTATAAAGTGAAATTAAACATTATATATAAAAATCCATGACTGGCTGGGTGCAGTGGTTCACACCTGTAATCCCAACACTTTCGGAGGCTGAAGCAAGCGGATCACCCGAGATCAGGAGTTCAAAACCAGCCTGGCCAACATGGCGAAACCCTGTCTCTAATAAAAATACAAAAATTAGCCAAGTGTAGTGGCGGGCGCCTGTAATCCCATCTACTCAGGGAAGCTGAGGCACGAGAATCGCTTGAACCTGGGAGGCGGAGGTTACAGTGAGCCAAGATCACGCCACTGCACTGCAGCCTGGGCAACAGAGCAAGACTCCATCTCAAAAAAAAAAAAAAAATCCACGACTAATTTCTGAATCTAAGAAATGGAGGCCAGGCGTGGTGGCTCATGCCTGTAATCCCAGCACTTTGGGAGGCCGAGGCAGGCGGATCACAAGGTCAGGAGATCGAGACCATCCTGGCTAAGAGGGTGAAACCCCGTCTCTACTAAAAATACAAAAATTAGCTGGGCGTGGTGGCACGCACCTGTAGTCCCAGCTACTCGGGAGGCTGAGGCATGAGAATTGCTTGAATCTGGGAGGCAGAGGTTGCAGTGAGCCGAGATCACACCACTGTACTCCAGCCTGGGCGAGAGAGCGAGACTCCATCTCAAAAAAAACAAAAAAAGAAATTTTGGATTTCTTTGATAATTTCAGTTTCTACTGCCTCAACAGAAAAAAGTCTCCAAATTGAATCTTTTTTTTTTTTTTTTTGAGACGGAGTCTTGCTCTGTCACCCAGGCTGGAGTGCAGTGGCACGATCTCAGCGCAGTCACCTCTGCCTCCCTAGTTCAAGCGATTCTCCTGCCTCAGCCTCCCGAGTAGCTGGAATTACAGGCATGCACCACCACACCCAGCTAATTTTGTATTTTTAGTAGAGACGGGGTTTCTCCATGTTGGTCAGGCTGGTCTCGAACTCCCGACCTCAGGTGATCTGCCCACCTCGGCCTCCCAAAGTGCTGGGATTACAGGTGTGAGCCACCACACCCAGCCGAACCAATTTTTAAAAAGAAGAGTACAAGCCGAGTGCAATGGCTCATGCCTGTAATCTCAGAGGTTTGGGAGGCCAAGGCAGGAGGAATGCTTGAATTTGAGTGATCAGGACAGGAATTTGAGACCAGCCTGGGCAACACAGCAAGACTCCATCTCTGAAAACAAAAAAGAAGTACAATGACTTAAGAAAGATTGTGTAGTTCGACACTATGGTCAACAGAATACAAATTATGTGACTTTAATATCATAATTAGTAACTGCTGAAATGAAGAAAACTAAATTTTTATGGAAGAAATATATAACAATTTAGAAACTGTGAAGTCTTTTTTTTTTTTGAGATGGAGTCTCGCTCTGTCGCCCAGGCTGGAGTGCAGTGGCGCGATCTCGGCTCACTGCAAGCTCCGCCTCCCGGGTTCAGGCCATTCTCCTGCCTCAGCCTCCGGAGTAGCTGGGACTACGGGCGCCCCCCACCATGCCGGGCTAATTTTTTTGTTTTTTTTTAGTAGAGACAGGGTTTCACCGTGTTAGCCAGGATGGTCTCGATCTCCTGACCTCGTGATCCGCCTGCCTCGGCCTCCCAAAGTGCTGGGATTACAGGCGTGAGCCACTGCGCCCGGCCTAAAATTGTGAAATCTTTATTAAGCAACGCTGCCTGCCCATCACCAGAGCAGGTGGACATACCCAGCAGCGACTCACTTCAGTCATCTCTAATGTTTTGCTAACTTCCAGTCAGATAAAAGCCATCGCCTTACGGATGTCTTTAAACGTTATCATCATGAAACGTCCTTTCATAGCAAGATGTTAAGGTGGTGGGGGCGGACCACATTTCCCTTACCCTTGTCAGCCTGAGTGACTGTTTTTATTTTATTTATTTGAGATGGAGTCTCGCTCTGTCGTCCAGGCTGGGGTGCGGTGGCGCCACCTGGGCTCACTGCAACCTCTGCCTCCTGGGGTCAAGCGATTCTCCTGCCTCAGCCTCCCAAGTAGCTGGGATTACAGGCGCGCGCAACTACCCCCGACTAATTTTTCATTTTTATTAGATACCGGATTTCACCATGTTTTGCCAGGCTGGTCTCGAACTCCTGACCTCAAATGATCCGCCCGCCTCGGCCTCCCAAAGTGCTGGGATCACAGGCCTGAGCCACCGCGCATGGCCGTGACTGCTTTTAAACGCCTTTCGATGGAAGACGATGACGGTGGCCTCTCGATGTCAGGGCCGCGCTGCCACCCCCTCCCGCCCCAGGCAGCAGGACTGGGCTCTGAGCTGAGGGCAGGAGCAGCTGGCGGCTCGCAGCGCGACCGTGGGAACCACTGTGAGCCGCCGCGACCCTCCTTGACTCGCCGTGACCCATCGTGATCCGATGTGATCCTTCTTAACCCGCCGTGACCCGCTGTCACCCACAGTCACCCAACGTGATTCGCCGTAACTCTGGTGTTGTTTGCTGCTTGCTGCCCGAGCCTGGGCGTACCCATGGGCGCGGGTGACAGTGCAAGTGCTTGGGACGACAACCCGGGCTCCTCATCGCGGCCGGAATCCAAGAGGCTGCGGCGCGAGGTCTGCGTATTCGGGGGCGGAACCCTGGGAGGGAAGGGGAGCAAAGGGAGACGCCGCAGCGTAAGCCCGCCTGGCCCCAGCGCCGGCGAGGCTCCTTCCGACGCCGCGGGCATCCCGCGCGGCGCTGCCGGCTGGCCCTCGTCTCGTGTCCTTCCGCCGTCCCAAGCAGGGCCTGGGCCCAGCGCCCCGCGGGCTAAAGAGGTTGCGGCCCGGGACTTCGTCCGGGGACCCGCCCGCGCGCGGCCGGCGGACGAGACTGCGCTTCCCAAGCGGCTTTGCGGCCGCGGACTCCAAGTCCCAGCTGTGCCCGGGACGCTGCGCGCCCCCGGGACTCCATTTCCCAGAGTGCCCCGCCCCAGCCTCCCGGCCCCGCCCCCCACCTGGCTCCGCGGGCAGCCGGAGCGCACCCGGCCGGAAGCCGCTGTCGGGGAGCCGGCGGTGGGGCTGGACGCAGGTGAGGTGGCACCGGACTCAGCCGCGCCCTGGGCCCTGGATGCTCCGTGAGAGTCAGGGAGCGCTGTGGGGGTCTGGGATCGAGGGGCATGGGGGCAGCCTGGGGCTGTGGTAGAGGGTCTGGCTGCGGTGAGGTCTCCCCGCGTGCTTGGGAGCCGCGCGACGCCTGCGCAGGGCCCCCTCCCCTAAGGGCTGGCCCTGGGGCCCTGCCGGGGGAGCCCGAGCAGGTTTCCGGCTCCCAGGATGGGATCCTTGAGGGTGGCTGCGCCCCGAGGCCTGTCCTGCCCTGGAGGAATCTGGCTCGCCAGGGCTCTCCAGGACCAGCCAGCCTCGAGTGGGCGTGGGCTGCACACAGGCGCCGTCTCGTGCCTGTCCCTAGCATGCGGGCTTTAGCTGCGAACCGTGTTAACGACCTGTGCCAGGAGCCCCCGTCCCAAGGTTGTCTGCCTCCCCTCTTGTCAGTCAGAGGGGAGTAGAATGTACCTTTTCTCGGCCTAGTGGGGAGTCGTGGGTTGGGACCAGCTGCTCTGGGCTGGGTGGTAGCTCAGGACCCCTGCGGCGCTGTAGGCTGAGAGCTCCCAGGGGAACAGGGCTGCGACGAGGGAGTGCCTCGGTCCAGCTGGGTCTTTCTGGTTGCCAGTGGACTATGCCCCACTCTGAGGGCCTCACTCTGTGCCAGTTGCCACAGAAGAGTGGGGCTCCAAAGGATGAGAGCGTGATGACCTCAGCCTCCCACTGTTTGACATTACAGGTGCAACTGACATGGGTGAACCCCAGGGATCCATGCGGATTCTAGTGACAGGGGGCTCTGGGCTGGTAGGCAAAGCCATCCAGAAGGTGGTAGCAGATGGAGCTGGACTTCCTGGAGAGGACTGGGTGTTTGTCTCCTCTAAAGACGCCGATCTCACGTGAGTGAGCCCATCCCCAGATCAGCCCTTCCTCTCCATCCTACCCCCCACCCTAGAACTAAGAGTTCCAGGCTGGGCATGTTGCTGAGTCTAACAGTAGCTGTGTTTCTGGGTCCTTCCTGCCAGGTGGCTGGCCTGGCCTGGGTGTGCTTGGCTGTGTTCCTGGAAAAACAAACACCCTCCCATCTCTTCCTGGAAGCCTGCACCCTCATATCAGCCAGGCCCTGGGGCCACCCTCCCTTTTGACTGTCCCTCCTGCCATAGTCCCACCCAGTTCCTGCACTTGGCACCCAACCCTGGGGTGCTGGTTCCCTCCAGAGCCTCCTGACAGCCTGGCTTCCTACAGGGATACAGCACAGACCCGCGCCCTGTTTGAGAAGGTCCAACCCACACACGTCATCCATCTTGCTGCAATGGTGGGGGGCCTGTTCCGGAATATCAAATACAATTTGGACTTCTGGGTAAGTGAGGGTGGCCCCAGCAAGCACTGGAAACCAGGATCCCAGGTTCTGGGAACTTCCTGGCGGGCTTCCCACTCTCACAGGCCCACATTCCCACCCCAGGAAGTCCCTGAGGATCAGGGCTTGGCACAGCCTGGTGGGGGCAGCCCCTGAGGGACCCCCAGTCACTCACACTTGGTGCTGTGGACAGAGGGCCATGCAGGGGGCCTGGAGGCACTTGGCCCAGTAGGCAAAGCTGTGGAGCTGACTTGCAGCATTGGGAGGCTGAAAAGAGCCAGCGGCCACGTGGGACTGGGAGCTGGTTCCTGCCCCCTGAGTCCCCAGGGCCTCTGGAGCCTCTGGCTCCCAGGACTGTGCTGGCCCAGCTCCCCTTAGCCGGGCCCACCACACACTCTGGGGTGCAGGGGTGTGAACCGCGCTCTGTGCATCTGCTGCCTGTGTCTGGGGGAAGGGGGCGTGGTGTAAGGGCCCTGCCGTGGCTAGCTGTGTTCCGGAGGGTTGGCCCCACCAGTCACTGGGCAGCAGCCTTGCCTTAGCTGGCTTTGCTAAGCGTAGGAGGCACTAGCGTGAGCAGAGGCTCAGAGGAGATTCTGCCCAGGAGCCCTGTCACCCCAGAGCCCTCTTTGTCGGTGTCTCGGCCTTCCCAGCAGGCTGCCTGGCCACCACCTCTCCCTTCTCCCAAGACCAGTCCCAGGGCTCCAGCCATGCCGTGTCTAGTTCATGCACGGGAAGTGGGGCCCGCGGGGTGGACCCGGCAAGCGCAGGCTCCATTGATCCTGGGAAGTAGAGCCAGGTGGGAGCTCCTCCAGGGTGGGGAAGTAGACCGCCCTGTTCCCCGTGTAGTGGGAGCCCCAGCCCAGCCCAGGGCCAGACTGGGCTCCTTCCCAGCCTCCAGTGGGGTCCTATGCCCTGACCTCAGCAGCCTCCTGGGTGGGGCCCAGCCCTGAGCTGGGGGTGTGGTTCTCCTCATAGTGGAAGGCAGAGCCAGCCCCTCCTCCAGCCTTGGTGGGGCTGGAGAGCAATGGTGTCTGTAAGCCCACTGCCTTGTCCGGAAACGGTTAGGATGGGCAGGCTTGGGTCCTCCCAGGGCTGAAGGGCCAGGGTGTGTCTCCACTTCTGCGTCTGGAGGAGCAGGTAAGGGCTGGGATCTGGCCTGGGGAGCCTGAACTGTCCCCGCCTCACCCCTGCAGAGGAAAAACGTGCACATGAACGACAACGTCCTGCACTCGGCCTTTGAGGTGGGCGCCCGCAAGGTGGTGTCCTGCCTGTCCACCTGTATCTTCCCTGACAAGACGACCTACCCGATAGATGAGACCATGGTGAGGGGCAGGGCCTGGCTGTGGGTGGGGCCGGGGAGCCGGTGGGCAGGGCCAGGAAGTAGCGGCCTCTGCCTCTCCCACGCCCGCAGATCCACAATGGGCCTCCCCACAACAGCAATTTTGGGTACTCGTATGCCAAGAGGATGATCGACGTGCAGAACAGGTCCTCGCGCCCATCCTGCTGAGGCCCAGCCAGGAGTCGGGGAGAGGGCCCCCAGGGGCGGGTGGGGCCGGCTGGTCGGGTCTTCGTGCCAGCCTCAGTAAGAGGCCAGCGGCAGCCTGGGGTGGGATCGCGGGCCCAGGACGAGGGCAGGAGACGCTGTGCCTCCGCAGGGCCTACTTCCAGCAGTACGGCTGCACCTTCACCGCTGTCATCCCCACCAACGTCTTCGGGCCCCACGACAACTTCAACATCGAGGATGGCCACGTGCTGCCTGGCCTCATCCACAAGGTGCACCTGGCCAAGAGTGAGTGCGTCCGTCCGATGGGGTGCCCGGGCTCAGCTCGGGAGGAGGTGACCCAGTGCCTCTGACACCTGCTCCTTCCCCAAATCTGCAGGCAGCGGCTCGGCCCTGACGGTGTGGGGTACAGGGAATCCGCGGAGGCAGTTCATATACTCGCTGGTGCGTAAAGGAAGGCACAGCTCTCCCCAGAGAACCTGCCCTATTGAGCCCTGGGCTGGCCCCTGCTGGGCTGTCGGGGAGGTGGTGCAGGAGGGAGGCTCCTACCAGCAGAGAATCTGGGCTGAGCTCCAAGAGGAGCCATCTCTGGTCCTCGTGGAGGCCCCATAGGCTCCTGTCTCCAGGAGTCACTGGCGTAGCTCTGAGCTCCAAGGGAGAAAGGAGGGACCCCTGTTCCCCAGGCTGAGCCCCCACTGAACAAGGACAGCAGTATGGACTCCCCAGCAGGGGCGTTTGGGAGAGGGTTGGCTATACCCATGGTCTCTGACCCTGCCTGTCTGACCTCTAGGACCTGGCCCAGCTCTTTATCTGGGTCCTGCGGGAGTACAATGAAGTGGAGCCCATCATCCTCTCCGGTGGGTACCTCAGCCCTCAGCCCCCTTCCTCCATGGTAGGACAGGATCCAAGGTTGTCCTGGGAGGCTGGCTGAGGGGTGGGAGCAGGAATATTCATGGGCCGTCGGGTGGCACCAAGGGGAGGCCTGACCCGGTGGCTCCCCACAGTGGGCGAGGAAGATGAGGTCTCCATCAAGGAGGCAGCCGAGGCGGTGGTGGAGGCCATGGACTTCCATGGGGAAGTCACCGTATCCTCTGGCTCCAGTGCTGGGGGTTGGGCGGGGGCCCCTTGGGCGGGCTCAGTGGCCACCCGGTGTAGGGCCAGCGTGGGTGGGACACTGCGGAGGGAGGATGCTCACCCTGGCAGGCGGAGGAGCTCTGCTGTGGCTCCCCTGGGAATGGCAGAGGTTCAAGGGCAAGCTGCGGGGGCTGGGGTGGAGGTGCTCTTCTCGCTGTGGCCTTGACAAAGCCTCCAGTTTGATACAACCAAGTCGGATGGGCAGTTTAAGAAGACAGCCAGTAACAGCAAGCTGAGGACCTACCTGCCCGACTTCCGGTTCACACCCTTCAAGCAGGGTGAGCCCTGACCCCACAGCCCTCCACTTGGTGGAGGCCTGCCCCAGCCCCTCCCTCATGCTCGCTACCAGGGCAGAGGTGAGGTGCCCCCTCAGAGCCTGTACTGCCCTGGAGGTGGGACACCAAAGCTCTGAGGGGTGACTTCCCTGTCCCTGGGCCTCCTCCCCCCACTTCCTCCCATGCGGCCCCGACCCTCCCTGTCCATGGCCCTCACCTGCCTGCCTCTGCAGCGGTGAAGGAGACCTGTGCTTGGTTCACTGACAACTACGAGCAGGCCCGGAAGTGAAGCTGGAAGACAGGATCAGGTGCCAGCGGACCATCGGCTGGCAGAGCCCAGCGGCCACCACCCGTCAACCCTGCCAGGAGCTGAGGGCACCACCCAGCAACCTGGGCCTGCATTCCATCCGCTCTGCAGCCCCAAGCATCTTTCCAGTGGGGCCCCCATTCACGTTGGTCCTCAGGGAAACCAGGGTCCCGGGCAGGCCCGGCGCTTTGCTCCCCACACCAGCCCCCTGCGCGTGTCCACTCTGATCCTGCATCCCACTCCCTGGGAGCCAATAAAGTGCATTTTCACAGGCCTGGCCTTGGCAGCTCTGTGCTGAGCCGTCCCCCACACCCAGGGACTGCCCCCTAGCCTGGCCAGTCCCAGGACCCACTATCCCCCTGGCTTACTGTTCAGCCCCCAAGAGCTGGTGACTCCCTGGGGTGGAAAGGCCGCAGAGGCTGGAGATGGGAAGGCACACGTGGGCAGGCAGCAGGCAGGCAGCAGTGAGACTGGTGTGGACTGTCAGCTGGACAAGGATGTGCAGGGCAGGGCCAGTCCCAGCCCCTCCACATGTGGCCACCTGCAGGCCTGAGTAACTTGAGCTCACCCGGACCTCCCTGCCTCAGCCTGAGGGCTCTGGGGAAGCTGGTCTAGTGGGCCAGAAACGTCTAGTGAGCCAGCCGAGCTGAGCCCATGGATGGATATGAGGGGAGGCTGATGATTGGGTGGCTCGGGCTTCCCCTGGCCTGGCCCCTCCTCTCTGTGGCTCTCAGGCTTGGGCGTGGGTCCCCCACCTGGCCTTATCCCATGGAGAGGGACAGGTGCCTGCTGGACAGGTCAGCTCCAGCCACCAGAGGTGGGGTGTCATTGCTCGCCGCCCCCGTCCATTCTCAGAGGGGAGACAGCAAAGTCCAGAATGGTTCCCGGGCCAGTGCCTCAGCCAGGCAGGGTGGCGCTGGGGTATGGACCAGGAGCACTGGGCTCCAGGCCCCGGCTTGCCCGTCGCCCCCTTTCTCAGTGCCTCTCACAGAGGGAGCCCCTATGCCAGAACCCTCTGGTCCACTGCATCCAGGACCCAGATGCCCTCCCTGGCTCCTGGCCCAACTCTGGGCCCACGTCCTCAGGGTCCCTCTCCTGGGCGCCCTGTGCCGTCTTCACGCACATGATGCCTTTTGGCTGCAGGTAGGACCTGCTGCTTCACTTCTTCGTTCATTCCGGCAGCGGTGATGTGTCCTCCCTGTCCCGGCACTGAGTCCAGACCGGTGTGTCCTGCACCCAGCCAACCGCTCACCTCATCTCTCACTGTCCCTTTGTGTCCAGCAAGCCGAGGTGTCCTCCAGGCCTCCCCTGAGACTGGCCCCCTCTTGGGTCAAGGCCTCCCTACCTTTTAGGCCTCAGCTGAGGTGGCCCAGCCTCCAAAACACCTTCCCTGATGGCACCTTCACAGCGCCTCTCGGAGCATCCACCCTGCCCTGCTGGGATTGTTTGTCTGGAAACCTCTGGGAGCCCCGCCTCAACCCCTAACCCTCCCGCTGACACCCCAGGACCTCGAGCTCCAGGAGACGGGTTGGCCTCGTTCACAGTGTATCCCCTGGCCCCAGCCCTTTGTGGATAAAGGCTCTGCCCATGTGGGGGTTCAGGAAAGGCCTCCTGGAGAGGGTGGCGCCTATGTGGCTGCTTGGATCCACCAGGTGAACAGTGGGAAGAAGCCCAGCCAAGAGCAGAGAGGTGCCCTGGACACAAGCCTTGGCTGGCTGGGTGTCCACGTCAGCTGAGGGCTCCCAGCTGATGCTCAGAAGCCCAGCCCGGCATGGGACGGAGAAGCTGAACGGGGCTGGGCCCCTGGGCCTCCTTTTACCCACTGTGGCCCTGGGCACTCAGCCAGCAATCCTCCTTCACCTCGCCTCAGTCCACTTGTTTATGATGAGCTTTGTCCTTATGTATGATGGCATGGCACTGGATGCCTCTGGCCCCTCTCACCTCCCCACAGCCTTGGTCCTGAGCCATCACTGGCCCAGGGGGCCTGGGAGAAAATCCAGGGAGTCTGTGGGAAGGGGCTGGGAGGATCCGAGGTGGCAGGAGATACAGCTGCTGACGCTGTGTGCTGGTGCAAAGTGTCCACCACCCACGTTTCTCGGCTGCAGTGGCCGAAGCAGCCTCCTGGTGGCTTTCTGTCCCTTTCCACCTCATTTGCTTCAGAGCCTTGACACACTGGCTGTCCTGCGTGTGTGCTGACTGTAGTCTGTCTACACTGCCACCAAGCAGGGCTGCAGGGTGGGGTCCAGCCTGTCCCATCTGCTGCCGTGGGGTGATCTTGCCCAGGCCCAGAGCAGGGCCCAGAGGCTGCAGCTGCACAGTGAATGTTGAATCAATGAGAGGATTTCATTACTGAAGAGCTTAGAAAATGTCAAAGGCTTGGGCCGGCACGGTGGCTCACGCCTGTAATCCCAGCACTTTGGGAGGCCGAGGCAGGTGGATCACGAGGTCAGGAGATTGAGACCATCCTGGCTAACAAGGTGAAACCCCATCTCTACTAAAAATACAAAAAAATAAGCCGGGCGTGGTGGCGGTCGCCTATAGTCCCAGCTACTTGGGAGGCTGAGGCAGGAGAATGGCGTGAACCCGGGAGACGGAGCTTGCAGCGAGCCCAGATGGCGCCACTGCACTCCAGCCTGGGCGACAGAGCGAGACTCCGTCTCAAAAAAAAGAAAAAAGAAAATGTCAAAGGCTTCAAAAGAAAATAACATATGTAACATGCAGCTTTAGATTGGATGATGAAAAAACCGCACTCAGATCTTCAAGCCTTGTTTTCCTTGTGTCATTAAAAGTGACGAGTACCCCCTCCCCGACTGTCCCCTCCGTCGGTCTCAGGCCCCTGGCCCTGGCCTGCTCTCCGTGACCTGGGTCTCCGCCCCTAGTGCTTCCCCGCAGCTCCACCGTCTGTGGTCGGCGGGGCCTCAGTGACCGCACGCTCTGGACCAGCCCCGCAACCCGCTTCGCTACCCCTCCCCTCCGGAAAACCAACATGTGCTCCTCGCACGCGCGACCGGGACCCCTCCCCGCTCCTCCGGCCTCTCCGAGCGCGAGTACCCCGCCGGCCCCGCCCCTTACGGCCCCGCCCCCAGTTTCTCTCAGCCAATGGGCAGTGAGGGGCGGCATAGCCCTTTCGGGCCAATAAGCAGCGAGAGGCGGGGTTCCCGCGCCTTGCGAACTTGTAGAGTGCGGACAAAAAGCCGGCCGGAGTGTGCCGTCCCAGTAACCAATCGGCGAGGGTGGGGACGGGGAGGCGAGTCCTATTGGAGGGCGGGGGTGGGGCCTAGATCTGTGGGCGGGGCGCGGCCTGTGGATGGGCGGTGAGCGCAGCGGCGTCCGAGGCAACAAGATGGCAGCTGCGGAGCCGTCTCCGCGGCGCGTGGGCTTCGTGGGCGCGGGCCGCATGGCGGGGGCCATCGCGCAGGGCCTCATCAGAGCAGGTGGGGCGGCGCGGGGCTAGGCCTGCGGTCTGGAGTGGGAGCAGCCCCGTGGGAGGTGTCCTGCCGCGAGAGTGGGGCCGGGGGCGCGGGCCCAGCCAACCGGGTCTCCGCTCCGCTGGGCGCAGCCGGGGCCACGCCTGTTTGCTCTTACTTTTTTGACGTGGCTGCGGGAAGATTTGAGTCACACGTGGCTAGGTGCCGCTTCCGTGGCCGGCTTCCTGGCCGCGTGGCCTTGGCCAGGCTCACCTCTTCCAGCCTCTGATTTTCTCTTTGCGCGCCAGCCCCTCTCATGGGGAGCAGCAGGGCTTCTCCCCCAGACACCTTGGCTCTAGGGACACCTGGGCCAGACTATCCATCCTGTGCCAGCAGCACCCCCACGTTGTGACAGCCAAAAATGCCTCCAGACACTGCCGAATGTCCCCTGGGTGGGGGGAGGAGACAGGCAAAATCATCCCCTGTTGAGAAACACTGCTTTATACCCGGAATATTTATGCTGACCATATACTCCTCCAGGCATTTAGAAGCCTCTCTGCAGATTGTGGATAGGGAGAGCTGGGTGACTTTTGACTCTCTGCCTTCAGCCATACTTCAGGGTCCAGAAGAGTCAAGATCAATCGGGAAATAGCTTACTATGAGTCTCAGGAGTCTTCCCTGTGAAACCTGGCAGTACCGCATGCCTCCCAGAGCTGTACAGGTTAAATGAGACATAAATGTCTAGTGTTGAGCTTAGTACTGGTGTGTTTGGCTGCCACTGTCATGATTAATTGCTGTGTTCAGGTTGTGGTGTACACTTGTGCCTTCCTGTTCGACCTTACCAAAATCTAACCCAATCTTTCCACCCCGTACCCGACAAAAGCAGATAATTTCTACCAAGTAGGCATTTAGCCTTTTCTTAGACATTCCAGCATAGACTCTCCCTCTCGAAGAACCTGGGCCCCGATTGGGCCTTCTGTGGCCAATCAACTGCCTTTGTACCCACCACATTCCCCCAAGGCCTGGTGTTCCTCCAGAGGTACTGCCTCTTCTGCTCCAGGCAGCCTTCCCTTCCCTGGAGGCAGAGGCCCCAGGGATCTGTGTCCTCACCAATGAGGTAAGCTCCTGGCCTCCATACCCAGCAGCAGTCAGGGGCGTTGACCGCCAAGTAGAATCAGTGGATCTGATTGCCTGGGCCCAGTGAATGGTGCATCCCGCTTTGGGTTCCTGGGGCCAGGAGGGGGCCCAGGATGGGCCAGGCGTGGCTGAGCCTGAGAGGCCAAGTGAGCTCCCTCTCCTCTCCGTGCCATCCTATCCCACCCCTTCACCAACCCCTCTTCCTTTTCCTTTCTTTCCAGGAAAAGTGGAAGCTCAGCACATACTGGCCAGTGCACCAACAGACAGGAACCTATGTCACTTTCAAGTGAGCATAGAGCCCAGGTTCTTCATACCCTCAGGAGCCCAGGATAGCTCTTGGCTCCTGTCCCACTAAGACACTTATCAGAGCCAGGGATGGGTGGTTTATTTAGCTGAAGTTTGCAGACTGGCTGGTCTGGGCTGGGAAAAGGGAGATTAGAGGCCAGGAGGAAAGTAAGGTTGTGGAGGGCCAAAGCAAAGTGTTTGTGTGTGTGTGTGTATGCATGTGTGAGTGCATGTCCGTGAGTGTGTGTATATGCACGTGTGTATATGTGAGGCTATGCGTGTGCATGTGTGTATGTATGTGCTCATGTGCGTTTGCACGTGCGCTTGTGTGTGCGTGTGCACGTGTGGTGAGTGCATGTATGTCAGTGCATGTGTGTGCGTGTGTGTATGAGTGCATGCTCATGAGTGCATGTGCACCTGTGTGGTCGTGAGTGCACGTATGTGCTTGTGCATGTGTGCCTGTGCAGATGTGTATATGAGTGCGTGTGTGCGTGTATGAGTGCGTGCGTGTACACATGAGTGCATGCTCGAGTGGGTGTGTGTGCATGTGTTTGTGCTCATGAGTGCATTCATGTGTACATGTGTATGTATGCTCGTGAGTGCATGTGTCTGCGTGTGTGTATATGAATGCATGCTCGTGAGTGCGTGCATGTGCATGGGTGTGTTTGCATGCTGGGTGGTGGTCACAGACATTCACTGGGGATGGAGGGCTCAGGGCTTGGGGAGGCGCTGACATCAGGATGGCCTGTGAGGAGTAGGGCTAGTCTGGGGGAGTCTTGGGCACTGGAGAAGTCGGGGTGGTCTAGACACTTGCAATGGGAGAGGCCCTGGGACCATGGGAACGTGTGGCATCCAGCAGGAAGGGCTGTGATGGAGAGGGTGCGCCGCTTACATGGCCCCTGAGGCTTGGTCCTGGTGTCCCTGGCGCAGGCTCTGGGTTGCCGGACCACGCACTCCAACCAGGAGGTGCTGCAGAGCTGCCTGCTCGTCATCTTTGCCACCAAGCCTCATGTGCTGCCAGCTGTCCTGGCAGAGGTGGCTCCTGTGGTCACCACTGAACACATCTTGGTGTCCGTGGCTGCTGGGGTGTCTCTGAGCACCCTGGAGGAGGTGAGTGTCCCTTGGGCTAAGGCCTTGGTCCCAGTATAGGCTCTGCTGGCCAGGCTTGGGCGGCAGGCAGCCCCCCAGAGAGCCTGAGAGGTGGCCGTGTGGCCCACCTGGATCAAGTGGCTGGATTTAGGGTTCCCTCCTGGTGCTGTACCTGGGAGGCAGACGCTGGAGCCCACCGCGAGCTGACGTGGACCTTTCCTGAGGCCCCTGCTGGGGCCTGCCCAGCAGGGCCCAGTCCTACAGACTCCCTGATTCTGACCTCTCTCTGGCCAGCTGCTGCCCCCAAACACACGGGTGCTGCGGGTCTTGCCCAACCTGCCCTGTGTGGTCCAGGAAGGGGCCATAGTGATGGCGCGGGGCCGCCACGTGGGGAGCAGCGAGACCAAGCTCCTGCAGCATCTGCTGGAGGCCTGTGGGCGGTGTGAGGAGGTGCCTGAAGCCTACGTCGACATCCACACTGGCCTCAGTGGCAGTGGCGTGGCCTTCGTGAGTATTGCCTCGTCCATCCCCGGCCCCACCCTCGGCAAAGAGGGGGCCCACCCCAGTCCCTCTGACAGCCTCTGCCCTCAGAGTCCAACCTTGAGGCCTGCGTGGTTGCTCCCCAGGCCCACTGGGAGCTCTGCTTGTCCCCGGGACTTCACTGCCTTGGGGATCTTTGAGGCCAGCCCCTTTGCAGACCGTTGGGCTCAGGCCTTGGTTCTGGCCACCCACGGCTACTGCTCTGGGCATTGTTCCTGAAGGTCCTGAGCCCCCAGGCTTTGACACCTATCCCCCCCAACCACCATGCCGCGGCTACAGGTGTGTGCATTCTCCGAGGCCCTGGCTGAAGGAGCCGTCAAGATGGGCATGCCCAGCAGCCTGGCCCACCGCATCGCTGCCCAGACCCTGCTGGTGAGTGAGGGTGGCCCCTGGGGAACATCGGGAAGGCCCAGGCCTGTACCTCTTCCAGTGCGCAGGGAAACAGCAGGCTCGAGAAGCTGGGGCCAAGGTTGGGGGATGCAACGAGGGCAGGCCGCACAGTGGGGACCGCACCACCTCCCCCCGTCACCAGGCCCTAACGCTCTCCTCAGGGGACGGCCAAGATGCTGCTGCACGAGGGCCAACACCCAGCCCAGCTGCGCTCAGACGTGTGCACCCCGGGTGGCACCACCATCTATGGACTCCACGCCCTGGAGCAGGGCGGGCTGCGAGCAGCCACCATGAGCGCCGTGGAGGCTGCCACCTGCCGGGCCAAGGAGCTCAGCAGAAAGTAGGCTGGGCTCTGGCCATCCTTTCCTGCCTCTGTGCCCCTGCCTCTCCCTGTGTCCCTTCCCCTGAGGACTGCGGCTCCCTCCCTCCTGCATGAGGGTCTCCTACTGCTCCTTCTCCCCTTGCACAGGGAAATGCAGGGGGCAGGACTTGGGAGGTTCCAGCAGGCGGGGGAGCCCCGACCAGTGGGGACACTCCTCCCTCCCCAGTGAGCAGAAGGCACCGTGGTGGTGGCTCTGCCCCTTGCTGCAGTGAGCCCACCTTGCTGCAACATTGGTTCTGAGGGGCCCAAGAGATGGCGTCTTGGTCATTTGCCCGCATGGTTGGGCAGTTGGTTGAGGCCATGAACAGAACTTACGGTAACAGGCACGGCTGGCCCAATGCCTGGTCTGGAGCTGGAGCTTGCCTTTGGCTTTCCAGGTGGCTCCGTGCAGCTACAGCCAGGCCGGCTGCCTCATCTCAGCTCTAGGGGGCACGAGCCATATGGGGTCTGCACAAGAGACCCTCTCCCCTGCAGTAAAGCCAGGGGCCCTGGCCTGATGGGGCCCCCATGGGGAGCTGGAGCCTGCCCTGCAGCCTGGAGAAGAGGGTGGCTGTGGTGGGCGTGCTCATCCCCTGCTAAGGAGCAGGAGCTGCTGGGCCAGGTCTGCGGCAGTGCTGGGGTGGCACCAGGTGGGCAGTGGTAGGTGGGGTGGCTTGAGGTCTGGGAGGGTGGCCCTGGCCAGCCAGGACACATGCAGACCCCTGGCTTTAGTCTGGATACAGGCTCCCTCTTTCCTCCCAATCCTAAGCTCCTGACAAGTGGCCAGGTGGCTCTGGGCCCTCCTGCCCCGTGCCTAGGTCAGGGGTCCTGGAATACCCCGTAGCTCTGGCACCACCACACTGGCCTCTGATGGCAAGACTTGGCCCCTCCACCTGTCCCTAACGGACGGCAGGTCAGGAAAGCCAGGACTCAGGGGAGAAGCAAACCCCCAGGATTGAAGGCTAGGGTTCTAGGGCCTTTGGGTGGGGAGGGCCCGGGCCGGACAGCCTCAGCTCCGTCCCCTGCCCCACAAGATTCACCTGGGCCTCCAGTCCCACGCTGGCCCCAACTGCTGCAGCTCTCGGCTTCCGCCCAACAGCCTCTGGAGGTGAGGCGGGAGCATGCCCTCAGCGAGGCTGGGCGGCGGGTCCTGCTGTGCCATCTCCCTGTGCGCCTGAGCAGATCAATCCACCAGTGCAAAACAGGGCTAACGGCACCTGCAGGACAGCAGCACGCTCCATCCCTCATGCTCAGCTGCCTCTGCGGCCACGGACTTCTGCCCTTCATCTGCTCTCTCTTACTCTCCTGAGCCTAGCCCGTCCGTAAGCTCCCTCCCCTGCCTGGTTCCCAGGGCAGGCTGACTCAGTTGACTGCTTGGTCCAAGCCTGGCCCTGGCACTTGTCAGGGTCAGCCTAAGGAGATGGGAATAAAGAGGCCAGAGAGCACCAAGTGAGCTCATGTTTCACCAGAGGTGGATAAAACCAAGTTCTGGGCTGGGCCCAGTGGCTCACATCTGTAATTCCAGCACTTTGGGAGGCCGAGGCGGGCAGATCACAAAGTCAGGAGTTTGAGACCAACCTGACCAACATGGAGAAACCCCATCTCTACTAAAAATACAAAATTAGCTGGATGTGGTGGTGCGTGCCTGTAATCCCAGCTACTTGGGAGGCTGAGGCAGGAGAATTGCTTGAATCCAGGAGGCGGAGATTGCAGAGAGCCAAGATCATGCCACTGCACTCCAGCCTGGGTGACAGCAAGACTCTGTCTTGGAAAAAAAAAAAAAGAAGGTCCAATGCCTGCCCCATAAGTTGAGGCCTGGAACCTTGGTCAAGCACAGGTGTCAGCCGAAGGGGGTGCTGGCACTGTGGACAGCAGAGGTCTCCCCATGCCTGCTACAGGCCTCTACATCACCTGGGGGCTTTGTAGGGCATGGAATTGCAGTTTCCCCTGCACGCTGTCACCCCAGGGGACTGTATGCCAAGCCTGGGCAGGCCTGGGAGCCTGGGGTCTGGTGCAGGCGGCCCCCTGAAGGAAGGTGGACAGCCCTTCTGACGGCCACCTGCATTCACACCAAGCCCATCTGCAAGGAGAAATCATTGACTTTGCACCAACACCTGTCTCCCCCTGGGACCTCTGACAAGCCCTGGGCACTAGGTGAGCTCAGCTCGGGAGGTGGAGATCCCAAGCCAGCCACTCCTGGCCCAGCTGGTGAGGGCCTGTGACAAAGACACGGGCTCAGTTCTCGGCACGGCAGGGAGCGTTGTGGTGAGCCAGGCCTCCCCTGTGCCTTCTACTTCCAGGTGAAAACTGTTCTTCAAGACAGAAAACGATGGATATGATTACGGTATCTTTGATCAATGTTCCACTTTTATGCCCTATGCCCCAACTGTTAATCTAGGGGGTATTCCTGATCCAAGCGTTGGATCAAGAGTTTAAAAATAAGACTTCAAAACAGGGATGCTCATGAAGTGGACATGTCCAGCCTTTATTAGATAAAGCCACTGGGCCCATCTGACCAGGCGAGCTCAGCTGTAAACAAGCTCGCCAGTTAGAGGAAGGGCCCTCAACAGAGCATGACCCCACAAGCCTAGGGACTCCGACATGCTGTTGGGGCTGCTCCCCATGGGTGTCTCAACTAGGTAGGTAAGGGGTTGGGGTCTCTGCAGGACCCCCCCGTCTGGGGGTGCTCCCCTTCCTTTCCTACCACAGTGTGATGTTTCATCCGCAGCCCAGTGGACATCGAGGGGGTCCCCCAAGCCTGCAGGTCCTTGGGCCAAGGCAGTGGCCTCGTCCCCCTGAAAACGCGGGTCGGGTGGTTTCAACAAAACCTGCACTCATCTTTCCCTCCTCAGCGCCTTCCCTTCTCCAGCCCCCACAAGCCCAGGAACTCTGACAATGATGCTGACACGGGGGTCACTAACTGGAAGAGCAGTGAACAGGAGCTGGGGGCTCTTGGGGGCCATCTGAGCTGAGGACAGCTGGCTGTACCTCCGAGGCCACAGGCACCCCCACCCACCCCTGCGCCTGCAGGGAATGTGCAGAATCTGCCAGAGCGGAGGCCAGAGCCCGCAGGCAGCCACGGCTGTTAGAGGAAGCAGATGCAGCCTCACCCCAGCCCACGTCTGTCACCACAGCCAGGGCCTGGCAGGCGATGGCACCCGCGCAGCTTTGGGAAAGAACACTTGGCCTCCCAAAGGGTTCTGCCACCCCTGGGGGCCGCTACAGCCACCAACCCTGGGGTCTTTCCATCACTTCAGACACTGAGCAGAACCCAGAGAGGGTTAGTGAGCTGCAGGTAGGGCTGGGACGGGGCCCCAGGTTCCAGCCCAGGGTCTCAGGGATCCATGGCTGGCACTGCCCACAGGGCCAGGCATGGGCAGAGCAGCCTTCTCAGCAGCGGGGCCCAGCGGCCAAGCCTCTGTCACACAGCACCCTGTGCCAGCATGCCCCGTGCTAGGGAGAAGATGCTTTTTAAGCCCTCTTTAGGGGGTATTTCCCGTCTAGTAAGTGCCAGCAGGCAGACCCACTCTTGACAGGCTCCTAATGTCCCCACCAGCGTGCACCTGCACTTTTTTTTTTTTTTTTTTGAGACAGAGTCTCGCTCTGTCGCGCAGACTGGAGCGCGGTGTTGTGATCTTGGCTCACTGCAATCTCTGCCTTCTGGCTTCAAGCATTTCTCGTGCCTCAGCCTCCTGAGTAGCTAGGGTTACAGGCACCTGCCACCACGCCCAGCTAATTTTTGTATTTTTAGTAGAGACGGGGTTTTCACCATGTTGGCCAGGCTGGTCTCGAACTCCCAATCTCAGGTGATCCACCCGCCTCAGCCTCCCAAAGTGCTGGGATGACAGGTGTGAGCCAACGTGCCTGGCCTCTTTTATCTTATAGCAAAAATTAGTGCTGCCTTGTTTATAGAAAGTGGCCATTGAGGGACTGGGGGACAGGCCACAGCCACCCCGATGAGAGGAGCGGGCCTGCCCTCACCGACACCAGCCTCCTGGGACCCGGGCCAACAAAAGGGCTGAGATGGGAAGAAAGGTTGGAAATGAAAGCCTCGCCAAAGACGCAGCGGCAATGAGTAGTTGGGCTGAAGGGCAGCGCCACGGGCCGCCCAGACTACAGACAAGGCCTGGCTATGCAGCCCTCACTGGCACCGCGGCCGTGAAGTCAGCTTCTCCTCAGAGCCCTGGAGGCAGGCCTGGCAGAGCAGAGGTGGTGTCCCCGCCTTGGGGGCCTGTGCCCCTGGGAAGGTGCTGGCCCAAATGTCTCAGGCTTTCTGCAGCCCATCCCCAGCAGTTCAGGCCAGAGGCTCTTCCTGCAGGTGGCGGTGGCCTGATGGGCTCAGCAGGCATGCCTGGAGCTGCTGCCCTGAGCTCTGCTCAGGGAGTCTGTTTCTTCTTCCCCAAATTTCCACGGCCTCCCTGAGCTCTCAGATTTTGAGATATAGATATATACATATATATGTATATATTTCTTCACTTGCGGGCAGTTCCAAGGAACTGTTTGTTCCTGGACCTGTATAAAGGTCACTTTTGGGGGACACCCTCCAGCTGCCCCACTGCCAAGCTGGTGCACAGCCCTTCCCTTCCCCGTGCAGGCCTCCAGCCTACCCCTGCACTCCACAACTCTGGGTTTTCAAGGTTCCCTCTCCTAGGAGGACACTGGGGGCAGATGGGGACGAGGGGTCAACACCTGGAGGCAAGCAGGCCAGCTCCCTGCCCCTCACACCAGCTCGGGCAGCATCTCTGCAAAGGCAGTTCCCACCCTACCTGAGGAGGCATGGGCATCCCTGGCCCCAGTCCAACCAGAAGGACTGTAGGTCTAGACCTGGCCAGAGCAGAACAGAACCAGGGTTTGACAGGCCCTGGGGCCCTTTCCTCCTTTCAAAGTAGGCCTCCCAGGAGCAGCTTGTCAGCCACATCCTTGGCAGTCCCAGGAGAGGCAGAAAAGTCTGAGGGTGGGGAGGAGAGCCCACAGAGGGTGGCACTGCGTATTGCCCTGGGGGCTAATGCCAGGGCCTGCTTCCAGGTAAGTCAGGTGGCTCCAGGCCCTGGGACTGGACAGAATGGTCTGTGGCTGATGAGGAAGCAGGGGAAACTCTCCTGCCGTTGGCCAAGTCACCAGGGCCCAAAGCCAGGCAGCTGCCAATCCCACGGAATAAGAGATCTGTTCAGTTTTCTTAGGGAAAACTAAAAATCCAAGGAAACGGAACTCTACACCTCCCTGCTGCACCCAGAACCTAATACAGGGCTCCACCCCTCCCACTCCACAGTGATGCTCCAGTACCTGGGGCCTCTGACCTCCAGAGAAACCGCAGGGCGGCCCGAGACCAGCCCACCCGGCCCCTGTTCTCACGGCCCCTCTGAAGAGTATCTTTAAAAACAGATTTAATGTGTTAAAAAAAAATAGAATCAAGTGGTGTGCTTCGCCACTGAGATGATTGTGCTGTGGCTCCGGGGCCACATAGCACCAGGGCTCGATAGCAGACAGGAGTTTCGGCCCTCGTCCAGTGCATGTGACTGGTGCAGGGGCGGAGGCCCAGCCCCACGGGGGCCAGAGCAGGAACACAGCCACCTGTTCCAACAGGCGCTGTGCCTTGTATGCCCCGTACATGTGCCTGCCCTGAGAGGAGCATGGGCCAGGCCTCTCTTCCAGCTGTGCCCCCAGGGTGCCAGTGAGGCAGGGCGACCTCTCACCAACAGAGCTCCTCCAAGCCATGCTGGATTTGGATTCCTGGAACCCCCTGTACCCATGCGGTGGGCCACCCCAGGGGGAGGGGAGGAGAGATGGGAGACTGTGTGTATGTCCCCTCCCTCCAAGTGCAGCAGGAGAAAGGTCACTGGGCTGGCCTGGTCACACACCGTCATAGGGGCCTGCTGGGGTATGCCCGATGCCCCCCAGCCTCCGGGCCATGCTGATGAGTGAGCGCAACTGCACCAGCCTCAGTGGCCCCACCTCTCTGGGGTCCTGGTTCTCCAGCCACCGCAGAGCTGTTTCTAGCCCCCGCACGGCCTCCCCGGCAGTCGGCACTGAGGTCCCTCCATAGTCGGTGGCCTCCTCCTCGTCCTCTCCGCCCCCCATGGCAGAGGGCAGACTGGCTGGGGCCGGAGGCGCTGCAGGGGGCAGGGCTGGGCCCACCTCCTCCCTGCAGCCCTCGGGCGGACCCCCATCATCGTCCAGGTGCAGCCACTCCGCAACCTCCTCCGGAGCCAGGCACTTGTAGGCCAGAGCCGCCAGGTGGGTGAGGTCGCTGAGCACCCTGCTGTGCTCGGCGGCTTCCTCGGCCTGGGCCGGCTGCCCAGCACTGTCCTCGCCGGGCCGGGGCTCGAAGGCAGCCCGCAGGCCCAGCAGCCAGCAGCGCTCAATGCTGCCCGCCTGCACCAGGTCCCAGGAGAGGCCAGCCAGGTAGAGCATGTCCTTGAGCATGAAGCTGCGCATGAAGTCCAGCGGGGAGCCGCTGGCGCAGGACACAGCCAGTCGCAGCAGCTCGCGCTTGTACAGCTGTTTGAAGGCGGCCACCACGCCCTGCTCCAGCGGTGCGGGGATATGTGCCCGGCTGCTGCCTTTGGACAGGAACAGCACCCGCACAGCGCCATCCGGTGTCTGCAGCTCCTCCGGGGGACCGAGGGGCTCCGGCCTGCACCGCACGGGGGCATCCTCGCTGTCCAGGGCGGGCATACTGGCAGCTGGGCTTGGGCAGGGCGGGTGGGCCACCAGCAGCACGGCCTTCTGCTGCAGGCAGCTTCGGCGCAGGTAGCGTTTGACGCCTGGGACAAATTCCTCAAAGAACCAGCCCCGCAGCAGCGGGCGGCTGAGCCAGGCGTCGGGGCTGTAGCGGTAGGAGGCCGGGAACTTGTCCTGGTTGTGGTGGCGCAGGCTGGGCGGGTCCGGCAGCCGCCCGATGACCAGCGGCTTCAGCTTGTGGCTGCCGGTCAGGTTTGCGGCCAGCAGCACCGTTACGCGGTCGCCCCGCCAGCGCCGGCCACAGCCCCCCGCCCCGGGGTCCCCTGCGCCCGGGGGCGCAGCCTGCTCCGGAAGCAGCTTCCAGTAGAGGCCGGTGACGCTGGCGCTGTAAATCTGCTCGTCCCCGTAGCCGCCCTCGGCCGGGGGCGGCGGGGCCGGGGCGCGGTCGGGCAGGGGGCCGGCGCCGGAGGGCAGCGCGGGCTCCTCCTTGACGGGCGGGCCGGGCGCGGGGCTCGGGGCTGGGGGCCCGGCCTCGCCGTAGAAGCGCTGGCTGGAGATGCCGTGGCGCTTCTGCCAGCGCCAGAACCAGCCGTGGCTGGCCTTGAAGGTGCACTCGGGCCCGTAGATCTGGCGCGCGAAGGCCTCGGCCTGCGCCTGGATGAGCGGGCCAGACAGCGGCACCCCGTGCTGGCGCAGCGCCAGGAACCAGGCGTACACGGCGCGGTCGATCTCCTCCTCGTTGGCCAGCCGCATCTTCTTGCGCTGAGTGCCCACCTCACCGCCCAGCTGCTCCAGGAACCAGCGCAGCTTGGGCTCGTCCTTGAGCCAGCCGCGCAGCGTCCCGCCCGGCACGCCGAAGTCGCGGCACACACTGGCCTGCCGCTCGCCGCCCTTGACGCGCTCGATGGCCTGCAGCTTGTCCTTGATGGAGTAGGCCTTGCGGAAGGCCATCTTCACGGCCACGCGGGGCCGCGGCCCGGGCGCGGGGGGCGGCGGCCGTGCAGCGGGGACGGGGGCTGGGGCGGGCGCGGGGGGCCCGGGCAGGGGACGGCGGCCGCGGCGCGGTACCGGGCCGGCCGGGGGGCCCGCGGGGTACATGGCTGCGGCGGGGGGGACCCGGGCCGCGCGGGTCGCGGGAGCCACACGCCCAGCCGCTCGGGGCGGGGCACTCGGGGGCGGGGCCGCACGGGTCCCTCCCCTTTGTCCCGCAGCTTGGCGGGCGCACGCGCGCTGACCTAGCCCGGCCCGGCCCCGCCCCGCGCCTGCGCGCTGGCCGCCTCGTGCGTCACTCGGCGCTTGCCGGCTGCCGGACCCGCCCCCACCGGCGACACCACTGGCCGCGAAGCGCAGGGGGGGCGCGCGCGCTGCCGCCCGTTCCCAGCACTTGTGCAGACTCCTCCGGGGAAGAGCGGCCTCCGCGGTCATCTCCAACGGAATTCTGCCTTTGAAGTGTCGGGGCACGGCGCGTCGAGGGTCCTGGCGGCCAGGCGGGGCGTGTGCAAGGGTCGCGTCCCCCCCCCGGGCCCCCGGCCCGTGGCTCTTGGTAGAGCCCAGTGCTTCATTTCCCGTGCGCGGCCCGGGCGGCCCTCCCTTTCATCAGTCTTCCCGCGTCCGCCGATTCCTCCTCCTTGGTCGCCGCGTCCTTGGCTGGCGTGTGAGTACCGCGGCCCCCGCCGGAAGGAGTCGGGCGCGACAGAGACGCCCGAGGGGCCGGGAGGGCGGGCGGCCCGGGCTGCGCCAGAAGCTCGCGCCGTTAGGGACTGAGGCACAAGTGCGCCAGCGCGGGCTTAGGGGCCGTGGGCCAAGTGCGGCACTTGGGGCGAGCGCAGAGAGGCGGGGCGACGGAGGCCACGTGGCCGGCTTGGAGGGCGTCCGCGGGACGGGGGCGCCGGGAGCACTGTCTCACGGCGCATCCCGGTCGTGGAAGCCCCTCGGCCAGGCTGCTGGGGCCTAAGGCCTGTGTTTGCTGCCGTCTCCGTGGGAGACCAGACATCTGCCCCAGCTGTTTCTCTGGCCTGCAGACCTTCGTACACCACGTCTTTGTCAAGCACCAGTTACTGCACGCATCAGCTGAGCACGGAGGGGATAGGCACGGACGCAACACTTTTGGAACTTAGACGCTAGTGAGCACGGAAAGGAATAAGCCTGTACTGTGACTGGGTCAAAATTTCTGTCTCTTGATTTGGATAGGGTGGTCGGGCAGTCTCTGAAGGGGGCGGGGATGCTGTTGCTAAGAAGTAGTACTTTCAGAGGCTTTAAGTGGAAGGAAGAAGGCAAAGGGGGCGGAGTGGGTTGGGGACCTGATGAGACGTCAGGATTGGTTTCCAGAATGAAGGACCGCCTGGCAGCAGAAGAACTGTGTAGCTAAACTTGGGGTTGTCCCTGCCCGACAGGGCGGGGTGCTTCTTAAGTTGACACTGCCTGCGGCTCACCTCCCAGGGAGGCAGGCCAGGCCATCTCACCTGAGCAGCCTCCTTCTACAGCTCCGCCCACCCCGTCATCTGGACCCCATGAGCCTTAAGCAGCTGGCTCGCAGGCAGTTGGTTACTTCCGGAGCCCGTGTGTGCCCAGCCCCGTTCTGGGGGTGGGGGATGCAGCTGAGGGGCTGGGCAGGTGTGGAAGGAGCCCCCGAGCGTCCTCTGAGGAAGTAGACGCTCACCTTCGCCTTCTCACCACATGCCTCAGGCCCAGCCAGGCTCCTAGACCTGCCTCTGTAGAGGCTTTCTGGGCGCAGTGCCAATCCTGTGAGACAGCAGCATCTCCCCTGGGCTGCTGCAGGGTTCACACGCAGTCAGTGCTGGCAGAGTGAGCGCCCAGCCGACAGAGCCCCCGCTGCCTCCCGCCTCCTCTGGAGGACTAGGCCCTCTGGGCTTTGCTCCCGGGTTGCTGGGTGAGGCTGCAAGGTTTAGCACAGGTGGGCACACGTGCTTGATGATGGACAAAGAGTACCTGGGCTGTGCCGTGCACTGGCGTCAGCCTTCTGGGGGCTGAGGACAGGAAATGTGGCATTGAGGATTTGTGGGTCATCATCCTGTGCCAGTGTGTTAAGGTGACATCAGCGTGTTGGAAGCTGGTGGCAGTGAGTTATGCTAAGTGCTGGTGTAGGAGCCTGCCACAGGTCTCCAGCTCTCCCACCTCGCTGACAGCCAAGGGTGCCGTGTGAGGTGTGGCGTGGGTATTGTCTGGGGTTCCAGAAAGCCTGTGCCGTGCTGGAGTCACCCAGGAGGCACAGGGGCTGCGCCGGGCAGGCAGGTCGGCCAGAGCCCCTCAAGCAGGGCTGGCCATGGAGCTGGCCTGCAGTGGCATTTAAGAAAAGACGTGGTTGGGGCGGGGCTTGGCCTGGGGCAGGGTGGGTTGGGTAGCTACAGTGAGTGCTCTGAGATATGCAGGACAGGCTGGCGTTTCCCAGTGGGGCTGGAATATCCAGGGGTCAGACAGGAAAGTGGCTGAGTGGGAATGTGGAACTGTGGAGTTTTTTCTCTTAAAAAGACCAAAGGCGGCTGGGCGTGGTGGCTCATGCTGGTGATCCCAGCACTTTGGGAGGCCGAGGCAGGCAGATCATGAGGTCAGGATATCGAGACCATCCTGGCCAACATGGTGAAACCCCGTCTCTACTAAAAATACGAAAATTAGGCTGGGCGCATGGCTCATGTCTGTAATCCCAGCACTGTGGGAGGCCAAGGCAGGCAGATCACCTGAGGTCAGGAGTTCGAGACCAGCCTGGCAAACATGGTGAAACCCCATCTCTACTAAAAATATGAAAAAATAGCCAGGTGTGGTGGCACACGCCTGTAATCCCAGCTACTTGGGAGGCTGAGGTAGGAGAATTGCTTGGACCCGGGAGGTGGAAGTTGCAGTGAGCTGAGATCGTACCACTGCACTCCAGCCTGGTGACAGAGTGAGGCTCCGTCTCAAAAAAAACCCAAAAATTAGCTGGCCGTGGTTGCGCATGCCTGTAGTCCCAGCTACTTGGGAGGCTGAGGCAGGAGAATCGCTTGAACCGGGGAGTTGGAGGTTGCAGTGAGCCAAGATCGCGCCACTGCACTCCAGCCTGGGTGACAGAGTGAGACTCCGTCTCAAAAAAAGACCGAAGGCCTCACTCCACGCAGGAAGACATTGATCTGTCCTGTGGCTGCTCTGCCGTGCGGTGGTTTTGCCTAAAGACCCGCTTCCTCAGGGGCTCCAGCCTCTTTTAAGGGCTAGTCGTCGCGCCCTTTGGGCACTGAAGGTACTGAAAGTTCTATCAGGCAGTGCCAGTCCACAGACTCAGGCCAGCCAGGTGGGCCGGAGAGGGGTGCTGCTGGGAGGGGTGGGCGTGCACAGGCTGAGCCGGTGGCTGACCCCGTCCCCTGCCCACCTCCCTGACTTCTCCCTGTGGAGGGTGGACAATCTGGGAGCCTGTCTGTGTGTGCGACTGTGATGGGGTGGCGTGGAGGGCAGGGCCTGGGAGCCAGCTCCTCCCAGAAAGCTTCCGTTTGCCCAGATGTGTGGAGACCTCCAGGCCGTGCAGCACCTTGGTGGCCACAGCTCTCCAGGATGTCCTCACCTTCCTCAGGGCCCTGCCCTCCTGACCTGGAGTGTTCTGGGTAGGAGTCTGCCGGGGCTGCTCCCAGGACAGGGACAGGGGAGGCTGTGAGGGCCATGCCGCTGCAGTGGGTCTTGCTGGCTGCCACCTGTGTCACAGGCCCTGTTAGCTGGGTGGAGCCTTCCAGAGCCAGGACCCCAGGGCACTCTCAAACTCTGGGCAGCTGCCAGAGGCTCAGGTGCTTGGCAGACACTGTCTACCCCTCAGGGAAGAGCCTTGGTGGTGAGCCTGGCCTGCTTCCAGGAGCAGAGTAGGGACACTTTGGCCACTTCCCCCTGGGGCCTGGCTCTGGCGTTTCCAAGACTGCTTCTCTGGCAGCCAGCTGTCTCCCTGTGTTCTCTTTAGAAAGCTCCTCCTGAGCTTGGATAAACTGCAGGAGCGAAGGGGCTGACCGTTTGTCGGGACGCAGTTGAAAGAGTCGCTGTGTCCTGCTCCGGGCTCTCCTGCTGGAGAGGAGAGGCTTGCACGTGCCTGTCGTCTGCGCAAGCTTTGAAGCTCAGACTTGGTCTCTGTTAGGAGAGATGGTGCGCTGCGTCCGGCAGGTCCTCCCATGCTTGGGAATGCGGGAAGCGGGGAAATGAGGAGGTGGGCTCGGACGTGTGGGGGGCTGTGCTGGCTGTCCTGGGAGGCTCTCTGCCCGCTGTTAGTGGCCAGCTCCCCAGGTGACGGGCCTGGCCTCCAGGTCTCCAGCATGGCTTACTGTGGTGTCTCCTGAGGGCTTCCTCTCTGCAGGGAAGCCCACCCAAGATCCCTCTTACTGGTCCCATGGGGCAGCTGCCTCCGTAGCATCCTCGTCTCCACCAGACCCCTGCAGGGTGCCCAGTTCCTCCCTGCAGGGTGCTCCCTGCTGCAGTGTGGGGTGCACAGAGGTGGGCAGGGCCCTGGGGCCGGAGCTCCCGTTGGTGAAGGAAGACGGATCCCAGCCAGGGCTCTCGGGTTGATCAGCAGTAGGAGGTGGCCCCTCCTGCCCAGTCCCACCCAGGACATGGGCTGGTGGCTGGGCTTTCAGCTGTGCCCAGCTGCCCTTCGCAGAGCTTGCAGGGTTTATGAGGTGGCTCTGGTGAGATTAGGGGCAGGACACCTAGTGTCTCCAGCCGAGGAGTGAACTGGGTGGAGGTCCTGTCCTTGTGTGCACATTGTGGGAGAGTCAGTCTGGGAGGCCTTTGTAGCTTGTGCTGGGGCCCTTGGGTGCCAGCCCTGTCTTGACGGTGGCTCCTGCTGAGAGAGAGGCCCTGTATTAATGTGAGCCCTGGGCTGCCTCCCCCTTGAGGGTCCTTGTCATCTTCCGGGCCTCCTTCAGCAGACCGGACACAGGGGCAGTGCAGGTGAGGGGCTTGGGGGAGCTCCTTGGCAGCTCCAGGGGATGCTTGTGGGCGCTGGCTTATCTTGTCTCAGGCTACCTTGCTCAGGTGACGACAGGGTGGGTGGATTTGGGAAAGGTTGGCTCAGATAGTGGTCCCTGCTTGTCCCCCAGGGCCTGCCTAGGCTCCAACTGACAGTAATCCCAAGAGCTCCCCTTTCAGGGGATGACGGAGTGACGTCACCTGTGTGGACTCAGCTGCCACCTGGGATTGTGGTGGCGGCGGGTCTGTCTGGCGCTCAGCTTCCATCTCCACCAGTGTCACCTCCACACCACCTCGCCAAGCAGCTTCTGGAAAGGCCCCCGGCCGCCCCGGGCTGACCTGCTGCTGTGTCTGACCCGGTTAGTCTTTCTGGCTGCCTCTAACCTTGCTGCTTTTCCTTCATGCTGTCCTAGGAGGCCAAAGCAAAGTAAGTACTCGCCTGTCCTCATGCCCCATTCCCCTTCATTTGACCGGGGAACCCCCAGCCCTCGCTGCACCTGAGGGAACCCAGCACCACCTGCGCATGGCCCAGTCTGCCCAGAGGGCCTCAGTTTCCCATCTGGAAAGTGGAGGAATTGGGTTTTCTGGATGGGGCAGCAGCAGGTGGGCACCCTGTGTGGCCGTGAGCAGGGTCCTGTCCTGGGCTGGCGGGTCAGCAGCTGACATGCGGCTCCCTGCAGGGAACAGGTGGCAGTGCCAGGTCTCGGTAGGAGCCTTGAAGTGGCTTCCCCTCCCTGAGCGGCGGCTTCTGCCCGGAGCCCCCAAGAACATAGTCTGAGGCCACTTTGGCCAATAAAGTCTGGTAGGGCATCAACACTGGGGGCCAGCTCAGTGGCACTGCTGATGGGACCTGCACGGCTCCATGGGAGCAGAGAGACTGGTGGGGGTACCACCGCACGATGTCACAATGCCCTGTCTCCTGGGCTCTTGCTCCCACCCCACCCCCAACCCACAACCCCTGCCTCTGCCCATCAGCCTGGCCTTGGTAAGTGCTGCCCCAGCCTGGGGAAGGAATGAGCAGGGGAGCCTAGGGAGCGTCTTCATGGGCCCTGTGGCCTCCCATGGGCCCCGGTTCCTCGTTGGTGCCATTAGAACTTGTTGCTGGGACTGCGGGATTCGGGCCACATGCCCGCAAAGAACTCCATGTTCCACTTAGAGGCTGCAGAGTGCAGTGCCAGGGGTGCCTTCCCAAAAGTCCTCCCTGCCTGGGTGGAGCGTAGACAGCTCAGCACCCCACGGGGGGCGTTGGAGCCAGCCTTGGTTTTGTTGGGTAAGGATGTTAGAAGAGGGGCGAAGACCCATAGCCACTGGTGTGAAGGGTCTGCTCTTGACCGAAGGCTGCCTCCCTCTGGGTGCAGACCAGGCAGGTGGTCCCAGTCACGGTGCCCTGGGGCCACTGGGTCTGTCTGCCCTCAGGCTCCACTAGACACACCTGCGGAGGCAGCAGACTAGCAGCGGTGTCTGTGAGGGGCAGCTGCACAGCCCCCTCTTGAGGGTGCTCCTAGGCGTTGGTTAGGCCCAGGCGTTTCTGCTTTTGGGGAGCAGAGCCTGGAGTCGGGCATGGCTGGGGAGGAAGCTATCGCAGGCTGAGCGCGGGCTGGGGTGCTGACCTGCATCCCAAGAGCAGATTTGCCCCTGGCCTTCTGGGCCTGTCCTTTCTGTAACACCACACTGGACACCTGGGAGCAGAGCGTGCCCCCGGCAGGATCCCACATGGCTGCTGGAGCACTGGGGCAGCAGGTGACTGAGGTCGCCCAGAGCTTGAGGGAACACCTCATCCAGGGAGGAGGCTGAGGCTCCCAGGCCACAGTAGCAAGTGGGGAGTGGAGCCTCACAACCTGCCTCCCACCAAGATGGTCCCTCTTAACATTACACAGAAGCAAAACCTTAGAGGGGGCCCTGATGTCCTGGGACTGTGAGAGCCCCATGATTCCCCTTTAGCTTGGATGGACCCAAAGGTATGGACTCCAGCTGGGAGGCGGGGGCAGCTGATAGAGAGCCTAGAGCCGTCTCAGTGCTCCAGGCGCTTGGCCCCTCCTTTCTACACAGTGGTCACCAGCATCCTCCCTGGCGTCTCCTTCATGAGTGGGCACTCCACCCTCTGCCCGGCCACCTGGCCCCCTCCTGGGGAGGACAGTCAGGCCCACAAAGAAGCTCCCTCTTTTTTTTTCTTTTCCCCTGCTCTGTTGTCCAGGCTGGAGTGCAGTGGCGCCATCTCGGTTCACTGCAAGCTCCGCCTCCCGGCTTCACGCCATTCTCCTGCCTCAGCCTCCCTAGGAGCTGGGACTACAGGCGCCTGCCACCACGCCCGGCTAATTTTTATTTTTATTTTTAGTAGAGACAGGGTTTCAACGTGTTAGCCAGGATGGTCTCAGTCTCCAGACCCTGTGATCCGCCCGCCTCGGCCTCCCAAAGTGTTGGGATTACAGGTGTGAGCCACCGTGCCTGGCCGAGGCTCCTTCTTTTGTAAGAACTTTGAGGGTGCTCTGGGTGTGGCAGTGGTGTGGCCAGGACAGCCACAGAGACCGTTCTGTAGAATGGGAACACCAGCCACCATGGTGGGGTGGCCAGGCCTGGCCTGTGGAAAAATGCAGGGAAAGCTAGTTAGCCAGTTAAAGCTTATTTCAGATAAATGACGAAAAATTTTTAGTGTAAGTATGTCTCAGATACTTCATGGGCCATACATTCACTAACAAAATTATATATTGTTCATGTATTGGGAGGCACTTGGCCTCCCAGAGTACTGAGATTACAGGCATGAGCCACTGCGCCCGGCCTGTTTTCTCTTCACAACAAAACGTCCCCACATGGGCTTGACTTCGAAGTCCTCGAATGTCATCTCATGGAAGCCCCACTGGGGAGCATCCTCAGCCCCTGCCCAGGGAGGGCAGCCACGGGGAGGGCGGGCACGGGGAGGGTGGGCACGGGGCTGCGGCCACCCGCTGTGTTGCAACTCTGCCCTCTGCTTGCTTTTTATCGCTGTGTCCGGAAGATGAGGAGCGGGAAGGCCTCCTGCACCCTGGAGACCGTGTGGGAAGACAAGCACAAGTATGAGGAGGCCGAGCGGCGCTTCTACGAACACGAGGCCACACAGGCGGCCGCCTCCGCCCAGCAGCTGCCAGCCGAGGGGCCAGC
The DNA here is from genome assembly GCF_000001405.40 of Homo sapiens. Classification (NCBI taxonomy): domain Eukaryota; kingdom Metazoa; phylum Chordata; class Mammalia; order Primates; family Hominidae; genus Homo; species Homo sapiens. The sequence goes on along the minus strand of NC_000008.11, from coordinate 143,589,938 downwards.
CATGAATGGGCCCGGCCAGGACGACCCTGAGGACGCTGATGAGGCGGAAGCCCCTGACGGCGGCAGCAGGCGTGATCCCAGGAAGAGCCAGGACAGCAGGAAGCCCCTGCAGAAAAAGAGGAAGCGCTCCCCCAAGAGCGGGCTCGGCCCCGCGGACCTGGCCCTCCTGGGCCTCTCGGCCGAACGCGTGTGGCTGGACAAGTCACTTTTCGACCAGGCAGAGAGCTCCTACCGCCAGAAGCTGGCAGATGTGGCTGCCCAGGCAGCCTGGCCTCCTGCCTTGGCCCCTTGGGGTCTCTGCACCCATGGAAACCAGGTGGCCTGCCACCACGTGACCTGGGGGATCTGGGTCAACAAGTCCTCCTTCGACCAGGCTGAGCGGGCCTTCGTGGAGTGGTCTCAGGCCCTGTTGCTGGCCCCCGACGGCAGCCGCAGGCAGGGGACTCCCAACACAGGCCAGCAGGTGGCCGTCCCCGACCTGGCCCACCAGCCCAGCCCACCGGTCAATGGCCAGCCCCCGCTGGGCAGCCTGCAGGCACTGGTTCGGGAGGTGTGGCTGGAGAAGCCCCGGTATGATGCAGCCGAGAGGGGCTTCTACGAGGCCCTGTTTGACGGCCATCCCCCAGGGAAGGTGCGCCTGCAAGAGCGAGCCGGCCTGGCCGAGGGTGCCCGGCGGGGCCGCAGAGACCGGCGGGGCCGCAACATCTTAGGGAACAAGCGGGCCGGGCTGCGACGGGCCGATGGGGAGGCCCCCTCTGCCTTGCCCTACTGTTACTTCCTGCAGAAGGATGCAGAGGCCCCCTGGCTCAGCAAGCCTGCCTACGACAGCGCCGAGTGCCGCCACCACGCTGCCGAGGCCCTGCGGGTGGCCTGGTGCCTCGAAGCTGCCTCCCTGTCTCACCGACCCGGTCCTCGGTCTGGCCTGTCCGTGTCCAGCCTGAGACCCAAGTAGGAGAAACGTGCTGGGTGGGCACCCAGCCTGGGCTGTGGGCACAGGGACAGCCATCCCAGGCTGGGGCTCCTCCAGCTTCCTCCCCTGCCCACCTGGGGTGGGGGCTCCCCGAGACCCGTGGGCCCAGCAGAGTTGAATGCAGGAGCAGGCTGAGTAAAGGTGGTGCTGCGCTTGTGGGTTCCAGGGACACTGCTTGAGGTTACAAAGTTCCAGGCTGCCTGGATGAGGGCAGGGAAGGGCTCAGCACAGGGCAGAATCTCTGCCTTGCCCAGGGTCCCTCTTTGGCTGGGAAGCTCCCCAAGTCCCCTGTGGCTGTCACATGCCAGGGCTGAGAAGATAAGGCTACTTATAGGGGCGGGAAGCATTGAAGCTGGTTTCTGGCCCTAGCGCTCCCCTGCGATGAGATGTGGGAGCCAGTGTGTCCCTGCCTGTCCATCCTGTGCACCCCCAGCTTTCCTTGTCACCTGAAACCACCTCTGAGGGAAGGTGGTGGCGTCTCAGATGCATGGGCATGTGGCTGGTCAGGTGGCCTCCATCCCAGGGTGCCCCGTCTGTGTGACCTCCCTCTGGGTGCTGTGGGCTTGCTCCAGGGTGCAGGTGCAACCCCAGCAGCGGTCTCTGGGGCCAGGCAGGTGGGTGGACGATTGGACTTGGAGGGGAATACAGAGGGCATGGAAGTGGCGAGGCTGGCCTGTTGGCGAGGGTGTCCTGGTGGTGGGGCGGGCTGAGTCAGGGAAGGACTCTGAAGGTCCCAAGCAGCTGCTGAGGCCCCCAAGGAAGTGGTTCCAACCTTGGACCCCTAGGGGTCTGGATTTGCTGGTTAACAAGATAACCTGAGGGCAGGACCCCATAGGGGAATGCTACCTCCTGCCCTTCCACCTGCCCTGGTGTTCACGGTGGCCTGGTCCCTCCTTGCCGAGAGAGTGTCCTGGGTCAGGGACGCAGAGGACGCTCACAGACTCCAGCCCTTTGTTACCGAGAGGACACTTGGCAAGGTCCAGCGATGGTCCGGAGTCCACACACAGACTGGCGGCAGGGCAGGAGGGGGACAGTTCTGTTGTGCTTGGTTGGACAGTAAGAGGGTCTTGGCCAGTCCAGGGTGGGGGGCGGCAAACTCCATAAAGAACCAGAGGGTCTGGGCCCCGGCCACAGAGTCATCTGCCCAGCTCCTCTGCTGCTGGCCAGTGGGAGTGGCACGAGGTGGGGCTTTGTGCCAGTAAAACCACAGGCTGGATTTGCCTGCGGGCCATGGTCCCTGTCTAGGGCAGCAATTCTCAACCTTCTTGCTCTCAGGACCCCAAAGAGCTTTCATTGTATCTATTGATTTTTACCACATTAGCAATTAAAACTGAGAAATGGGCCGGGCACGGTGGCTCACGCCTGTAATCCCAGCACTTTGGGAGGCCGAGGCGGGTGGATCACCTGAGATCAGGAGTTCAAGACCAGCCTGGCCAACATGGTGAAACCTTGTCTACTAAAAATACAAAAAATTAGCCAGGCACAGTGGTGTGCACTGGTAGTCCCAGTTACTCGGGAGGCTGAGGCAGGAAAATCGCTTGAACCCAGGAGGCGGACGTTGCGGTGAGCCGAGATCGCGCCGCTGATTCCAGCCTGGGCGACAAGAGTGAGACTCCATCTCACACAAAAAAAAAATAACAAAAAAACTCAGAAATGCTAAGTGTACTTATTTGTTGAAGAAACTTGTTACATATTACTAACATCTTTTTTTTTTATGAGAAATACTTTTCCCATAACCAAAAAATTCAGTGAGCAGAATGGCCTTGCTTGAGGTTTTTGCAAATCTCTCGGGTGTCTGGCTTAGTGGGAGGCAGCTGGGCCCTCATACCTGCCTCCGCACTTCAGCTGTTTGACATAAACCCAGCTTCGTGTGAGTGAAAGGGAAGGGCCTGGGGACCCTCAGAGGTTCTCGGACCACACTTTGAGAACTCCTCGTCTGGAAGACAGGCCTGGGGATGCCATGTGGGGTGAGGGCTTACGGGCTTGGTGTCGCTTTGTGGAGAACCGCTGGTGTCTGAAGCGGGTGTCAGCCCCACTGCACCTTGGTGCTTCTGGGCTGTCCTGATGCCGAGGCCCACTTCCCAGCCATGCTGACTTTGCCTCTTTCCCCTCCCAGCAGAAAAATGGCTACAAACTTCCTAGCACATGAGAAGATCTGGTTCGACAAGTTCAAATATGACGACGCAGAAAGGAGATTCTACGAGCAGATGAACGGGCCTGTGGCAGGTGCCTCCCGCCAGGTGAGAGCTGCACGTGGGGCGGCTGGGCGGCTCTGCTGCCCGACAGGAGTGGCCGGGGCACACAAAGCGGATTCAGCCAGGCCAGGAAGGCAGAGGCACCCTGGCCCAGTGGCTCTGCTGTGGGTGCTGGGAGTGGGGTCTCGGGGCAGGCGGCCTTGGCCGGGCCCCCGGGCCGGGTCTGCTCAGGGCCCTCCTGCCGGCGCCTGTGCACTTGGTGTGGGGCCAGGCCTGGCACTCCTTCCCCCGCAGACATGGGCGCCTTTGCCTGTCGTCACAGCCTCAGGCATCTCCCGCTTTTCTGGCCCGCCAAGCTCTCGTTCTGTGCAGTACTTTCTTGCTGTCTCTATGTGAGGGTTCATGGGGTTTTTTGGTTTGTTTTTTAATTAAATTCTTTTTTAATAATAAAAAAAAGACTGGTTCTTTCTGCACTGTCTGCAGGAGAACGGCGCCAGCGTGATCCTCCGTGACATTGCGAGAGCCAGAGAGAACATCCAGAAATCCCTGGCTGGAGTGAGTACCCGCGGCCCACGGACCTGCGGGCTCCTGCTCGGCCAAGCAGCATGTCTGATTTTTCCTGATGCTGCTGGTTGTTTTGGCTTCACAGCAGAGTCAGGGCAGGGTGCACGGCGCTGTGCTCCTTGGGACGTGTGGCTCTGTGACCTCCATGCCCGGACTGCCACGGACAGTGTTCTTATTCTCGCGTCCCTTCCGTGCTTACCTCGTCTGCCGGCTGGCGGTCACACTGGCCGCTCCTGTGGGGCCGGCTGGGAGCTGAGTGGTGCCATTTGCAGGGTGTCCTGTGGGCACCTGGCATGAGAGCCTGTGCCTCCCTGCTTGCTCCCTGTGGCAGGACTGTGTGTCTGCTGGGCCTTCCCACATTCCCTCTTAGATCTTGCCTCACTGGGGAGAGAGAAGTGGTGGTTCTGCAAGGCGCAAGGAGTTCAGAGCCTAGAGTTGGCACCGTCTTGAGTTGGAGACCCAGAAGGAGCCCTGTATCCCTGCTTGGCCTCCAGGCCCCGGGCCAAGATCAGGAGTTGGAGGCAGTAGCTGTGGCCTGACAGGCTGGCTGGGGAAGGGGTGTCCTCCGGGAGGTGGCAGCCCTGGTGTTCCCGAGGAGTTGGGACTGCGTTCTCCCCGGGACGGGGTGGTGTCCTGGCCCCAAGAACGGGGTCAGTGTTTCTGTGGCTGCTGCTATGGCTTTCCACAGCCTCACGCTGGAAACAGTACATCTGTATCATGCCGGGTTTCCAGGCCAGAAATCTGAAATGTGTCTCACGAGGCTGTCCCCAGTGTCAGCAAGGTCGCCATCCTTCCAAAGGCTCAGGAGGAGTCTGTTCCTTTGCCTCTCCCAGATTCTGGTGGATGCCCACGTTGCTTGTTTCAAGGTGCTCAGCAGGCAGCCTCATCCCCGCCCCGCCTCCACTTCCATCTCGCGCCTCTCTCGAACCTCCTGCCTCGCTCTGTCACTTACGTGGTTCTTGTACTTGCTTTGGGCCCCCAGGATCCCAGGTCCAGGATGTTCCCACCTCAAAATCCTGAATTTAATCGTGTTTGCCAATTCTTCTTTTTGCCATGTAAGGTAGTGGATTTGCAGGCTCTGGGGGTTGGGACGTGGGCGCCGGAGATTCTCATTGTCTCATTTGTAAGGTGCATTGCTCCTCACCAACATCTGCAGAAGCCTGGGTCCCCCACAGTGTCCCTCCAAAGTCCAGAATCCCATCCAATCAGGCATGGGGGATTGCGTGGTCCATCCTGAGGCAAAATTCCTCTCCATCTGTGGACCAGTGAAACTGGAAAGCAAGTTATCTGCTCCCAAAATACAATTGTGGGACAGGCATTCCCTTTCAAAATGGGAAAAAGAAGAAGGAAACAGGGCGTCACTAGTCCCAGGCAGTTTCACAGTCCAGCCCGGCGGGTCACGTGAGGTTTGAAGGGAGCGCTCCTGTGTGGCCCATGGTCCCCCCCGCTGTCATTTTTTAACATCCCTATTCCTACCAACAGCATGTTCGTGGCAGTTTAGGTTGTTCTAGAAGATGACGTGTTTTCTCTGCCCTGCTCCTCACCTCCTCTGAGTCCTCACCGAGGGCCTTAGCATCTGAATTCTGCCAACAGGGTGCTCAAGACAGGCTAGGGTTTTTCTTTTGGAGGGGGTGGGTGAGTTGTGGACAGAGTCTTGCTCTGTCGCCCAGGCTGGAGTACAGTGGCATGATCCTGGCTCACTGCAACCTCAGCCTCTGGGGTTCAAGCGATTCTCCTGTGTCAGCCTCCCGAGTAGCTGAGACTGCAGGTGTCTGCCACCAAGCCCAGCTGACATTTTTTTTTCTTTTTTTTTTTTTTTTTAGTAGCGGCAGGGTTTCGCCATGTTGGCCAGGCTGGTCTTGAACTCCTGACCTTATGATCTGCCCACCTCGGCCTCTCAAAGTGCTGGGATTACAGGCGTGAGCCACTGTGCCCGGCCCAGTCTAGGGGTTTTCTGTCACGCTCCTCAAAATTCTTCCCGCCTCACCACTGCCCAACTCCAAAGCCATCTCCACATTGTTAGGCATTCCAGCAGCACCCCACTTCCTGGGCCAGGATCTGTGTTGGTTTCCACTTGATGTTGCTGTAACGTTGCCACACTTCCGTGGCTTAAAACAGCACAAGTTCCTCACCTTACAGTTCCGGGGGCCAGAAGTCTGAGATCATCTTATGGGGCAAAATCAAGGCTGTGGTCCTTCTGGTGTCTCTGCGGGGAGAATCCGCTTCCTTGTCTCTTCTGGCTGCTGGAAGCTGCTCACGGTCCTTGGCCCAAGGCTCCCAGGCAGCTGTCTTGTCACTCAGCCTCCCTCTCCCCTCCCTCGCTCCTGCTGCCTAGTGTGGGCCCTTGTGATGACAGTGGGCCCACCTGGGTGATCCAGCATCCTCTCTGCCGCTTAACTTAATCTTATCACATCTACAGAATCCCTTTGCCATGGGAGACCATATTTACAGGCTCTGCGGACTCGTATGTGGCTTTGTGGGGGCCATTGTTCTGTCTGCCACAGCCACAGCCACCTAGGGGTGTGCTGGCTCCCGGGCCATAAGCTGGGCATCCCTGGGTGGGTGGGCCCAGGAAGGGCTGCCACTCCTGTCTGCCAGGTGGGGTGCTCCTTTGTGCCTTGCGTTCTGCCCACTGGCTTGCACCCCTGGCTTGCCCAGGCACCTGACCAAGTCCAGGCTAGGCAGACATGAGATTAAGGGAGCACAGATTTTTGCGCCCAAGTCAGGCATATTGCACTCCAGTGCCCAGAAGGCAGCGGTCGGGGGCTTGGCCCTGGGGCTGCAGGAACTCTTCAGCCCTGGCTGTGTGGAGTCAACCCTAAGGTGTCTCTGGGACAGGCAGGTGGTCGCACTGTTAGGGCTTAGGGACTGGTTTGCTGCTATAACAAAGGTCCATAGACTGGGTGACTTAAACCACATGTATTTTCTCACAGCTCTGGAGGCTGGAAGTCCATGATCGAGGTGGCAGCAAGGCTGGTTTCTCCTGAGGCCTCTCTCAGCATGTAGACCGTCTTCTCCATGTCTTCACACGGTCATCCATCTGAGTGTGTGTGTGTCCTGATGTCTTCTTATTGGACACCAGTCAGATTGGATTAGCCCCCTGCCCCTCAGTGACAGTTACCTCTGCAAAGGCCCTGTCTCCAAATAAGGTCACATCCTAAGATACCGGGGGATAAGACTCCAGCATGTGGATTTGGAAGGACATTATTCAGCCCATGGCAGGGGCCCAGTCTCATCTTGGATTTGGGGTGGGAGTGCTCAGCAGACACTGGGGTTTCAGAACTGCAGGGTTTCTGGTAGCGTGGTGCTGGCACAGGGTTACAGGCATGGGTCTGGCTCTGAAGTGTTTGCCTTTGGCATCCCCCAAGTCCCTGAGGGGCTCTCTGAGGCCCGCTGTGACTGCACTGGGTGACCTGAGCCTGCCCGTTGAAGCTGTGCTCAGGGATTCTGATGCCTGGCATCCCTAGTCCCCCCTGAGTCAGCATCAAAGGAGGGGACTCTCCCTGTGTCCTGAGTGCTGTGGGCTCTGGCCTAGTGGCCCGCAGAGCCAGGCAGTGGTGAGACGGCCCCCGCTGCTCATCATGCAGCCCGGGGCCAGTGCTGACTTAGTGCCTCTTCCAGAGGGGACCTTTTCCCTGTCCTTGGGCCTGCTGTGTGGGGTGCATGAGGCCTCAGGTGCCACTCACAGACTCCGGCCTCCTCAGGACCCAGCCCCACTCCCGCGGGAGGTCTGCTGTGATTCTCCATGCCCCCTGGCGCCCCAAAGCCTGGCCCTCCCGTGCTCCGGCTTCTGCCCCCGAGTTTGTCAGTTTCTGCCGGTGCCTCCCGTACCCCCACCACCATTCACGCGCCTCTGCCAGCCTGGCCTTTCCCTGTCCATTTCCTCCTGGCCTTGCTGCCAGGTGGGCCTCCTGGGCCAGTTTGGCTCGGCCTTGCCCATGATCTGCGGGGCTTAGCTCCCACACCCTCCAGATACATAAACAAGCATTCCCCACAGCATGGTCCCAAGGACGGTGGCAGGAGGGCCCCAGGGATGGGTTTGCACGTTGGGCAAAGGCCTGAGTATGTCCGCACCTGCTGCAAGGAGCGGCTTTGCCTGCCCGGCTACTCCAGGCCCCTCCCCACAGAGAGGGAGCCCCGGGGAGCTGCCGAGATGGGGTTTGCTGAGAGCTCCATGCAGCCAGGTGCACCCTGTCCTTCGAGCCATCCTGTTGGAGGGTGGGCAGGCTAAATGGCCCATGCGTGCAGGTAGATGCTTAAGGACTGGCTAGTGTTAAGGGCCAGGAGGCTGGGATCCTGTCTGGGCCCCGAGGTATCAGTCTCAGCTATGGCAGAGTATGAGGTGGGCTTGGGGCCCTGGATCACCTAGAGACTGGCTTGCTGAGTGAGATGGCAGGCGTGAGGCCCAGGGAGACAAAGCTTTGGGTGGCTGCTGTCCACACAGGTGGGCTCCTTCCTTCTTCCCCCACTGGGCCCTCAGCTGCTCCCGCCTCCCATTTCCAGTGCTGCCTGGTCCCCTGAGGCGTGTCCCAGGTTGTCCCTAGGACTGTGAGTCCTTCAGCACCTCCCACCCAGCCTCTGAGCCTGGCTGCTCAGCAGGATTCCGCCGGGCAGCAGCAGCCATGGCCCAGCTCCCCACAGCCTCCGTCTCTGGGGCACCAAGAGCCTCCTGTCCTGGACTTTGCCTGGCTGAGAATTTCACTGTGGTCTGTGGTGGCCGCCACCTCTGAGGTCATAAGTTTGAGCTGGGCATCAGCGGGGGGCACCTCCTGCTCTCCCGAGCTGTAGTTTTCCTTCCGTGAGTTCCTGCAGTCCTGAGCATGGCAGGGGGACCCTAGGAGCAGGCTGGGCACTGAGCCCTCCCCTCCTCCTGCCTTGCAGAGCTCAGGCCCCGGGGCCTCCAGCGGCACCAGCGGAGACCACGGTGAGCTCGTCGTCCGGATTGCCAGTCTGGAAGTGGAGAACCAGAGTCTGCGTGGCGGTGAGGCCCCGGGCCAGTGGGTTGGGGCTGTCCCTGGCCCCTGCCATCTAACCGTGCTCCCCTTGCCCCCCCAGTGGTACAGGAGCTGCAGCAGGCCATCTCCAAGCTGGAGGCCCGGCTGAACGTGCTGGAGAAGAGCTCGCCTGGCCACCGGGCCACGGCCCCACAGACCCAGGTGAATGCTCTCCCCACGCCTGACACTGCAGGGGACCACGTGGCCCTGCTGGCTTCCACGTCGCCCTGTGGGCTGGCCCCAGCAGCAGTGATGAGCTGGCAGCCAGGATACTGGAGTCCTCAGGTCCCCAGGAAGGTTTACAGTTAGCCCTGGGCAGGTGGAGGCAGTTTTTGTCTTTCCTGGGGCCCTGCATGTACACAGCTGCGGTACACAGGGGCTGCCCTTCCTCCAGTCAAAGGAGGGAGGAGGGCCAGGAGGTGGCCAGGCAGCTCTGGGCCCTGGTTGGGGCGTCTCAGCCGTGCCTCCTGTCCCTTCCCCTGTGGCAGCACGTATCTCCCATGCGCCAAGTGGAGCCCCCAGCCAAGAAGCCAGCCACACCAGCAGAGGATGACGAGGATGATGACATTGACCTGTTTGGCAGTGACAATGAGGAGGAGGACAAGGAGGCGGCACAGCTGCGGGAGGAGCGGCTACGGCAGTACGCGGAGAAGAAGGCCAAGAAGCCTGCACTGGTGGCCAAGTCCTCCATCCTGCTGGATGTCAAGCCTGTGAGTGGGCGGGGTGGGGCTTCAGGGGGCCAGGCACTGCCCTGGTGCCCGCCTAGCCGGCTCAGCCTGTGACCCTCCCCCTGCCCTCTGGGTTCTGGGGAGACTTTAAAGCCGAGTTTAGAAGTCTTGGGATAAACACAAACTTGGAGGCAGGAAGGTGTGAATTTGGATTGTTTTCTGTGGGCCCTTTAAGGAAACAGAATTGTGGACACACAGTGGTTGAGGGTAGGGTGCATGCAGGTACTTCCTGGGTGTTCTGAGGGTGGCTGACCCCAGCTTTTCCTCCCCTTTCCCCACAGTGGGATGATGAGACGGACATGGCCCAGCTGGAGGCCTGTGTGCGCTCTATCCAGCTGGACGGGCTGGTCTGGGGGGCTTCCAAGCTGGTGCCCGTGGGCTACGGTATCCGGAAGCTACAGATTCAGTGTGTGGTGGAGGACGACAAGGTGGGGACAGACTTGCTGGAGGAGGAGATCACCAAGTTTGAGGAGCACGTGAGTGAGCCGGCCGGGGAGAGGAGGGGAGAGGAGACTGGGGACCCTGGCCCATACCCTGCACTCCACCCCACGGCAGTGGGGAGCGAGTCCCAGAGTGAACCCCACCTCAGAGGAGGCTCCTGGCTCCGAGTGGGCTGTAGGGGAACAGCCCTGACCGTCACCCTCCGCCTCTCCTCAGGTGCAGAGTGTCGATATCGCAGCTTTCAACAAGATCTGAAGCCTGAGTGTGTGTACGTGCGCGCGTGCGTGAGGCCCTGCCACGATTAAAGACTGAGACCGGCCCTCTGGCTCCGTCCTGGTCATTTCCTGCTCGTACCTGGCCTGTCTCCCTCCCTGTCTCAGCCCCATCTCTGCCCTGCTGTTCCCACACAGTCATCCTGGCTGCTGCCACCCTCTGTGGCCATGTCACCTTGCCCCCAGCAGACCTCCGCCTGTCCCTCCATCTCCTGGCCACTCCCTCCCAAAGCTCTGGCCCTCCCTCTTCTTTCCATTGCAAAAGCAAGTCCAGTTCAGGGGGTTTAAAAAGCCAGAAACAGAAACTGTTAGGTCACTATCTGGAGAGGCCACCACCCCACCACTCTGCCTCCTGTTGGCATTGTCCCCATGGGAGCAAGCGTGCAAGCCTGGAATTGTCCAGGAAAGAAGTCCCAGTAGCACCCGGCCCTGCTGCCATGCCCTTTGTCATGTGCTGTCCCGGCCCTCCCCTCACCTCATTCATTCCTGGAATCCCTGCCCCTTGCTCCAGGGACTGTGCCCCTCCCATGATGTTCTGGGGTGGCCAGAACGTGGCTGCCTGGGCTCTGTGGAGCTGTGCCTCAGCATCCTGACAGCCGTATGTGGTCAGCATGGGTGGCCACACTCCCTCCCCTGGACCACCCGTGTTTGCATTGGGGTGAAAGAGGATGGGGTGTAATTACTTGATTACTTCTGGTCAGACTCTGTCCTCGGGGCCCCAAGCCACAGGGGAATGGATTCTCCCTGGGTAGTGGCCCCTGACTTTGCCCTCAAACCTTTAGAAAGTTTCCTGTGGGGCTTGGACTGCAGGACCCCATAAAAGCCACCACTGAGGGACACTGGGCCTTCATAGCCACAAAAGGTCTTTTGGTGCCAGCCGACAGTGGGCATGCGCCCCCCTGCCCCACGCCGCCCTTTCCTGGGTGCCAAGCTCTTTCCAAGCGACATTTGCGTCCATCTGGGCTGCCTCGTCCTAGCCTGGCTGCTCAAGCTCTAACTAAGGCAGCCTCTGGCCTCCCTCCCCAGGCCCAGGGCAGGAGCTGGCTGCTGGCCAGCGGTTGTCTTCTGGGTCGGTGGGGGTGGAGTCTGGCTGGTCTGTCCTCCACCCTTTCCGCCGCCTGGCAAGTCCTGAGCTGCACCTCATTGCCCGGCCAAAGGGCAGAGACACGAGCGACTGGGGGCACCTCTGGTGACCAAGACCGGGCTGCGCTCCAAAGAGGCCGTTGGGCCTGGAGTGGGGTTGGGGGGTCCGAGAGGAGTTGGGTGACATCCCCCACCCCATCCCGGGTCCAGCTGTTTCAGCCCCTCTCGGCGCGCCGATACTATTAGCCCCACCCGTCCTCCATCGAGTCCCGTGCCGCTCCCAAACGGCACGATAAGCCCCACAGGGAGTGCGCCATAGGCCGGGGCGCGTCACGGGGTCGGGGCGGGGCGGAGTCCGGACGTCGGGAGCAGGATGGCGGCGGAGCAGGACCCCGAGGCGCGCGCGGCGGCGCGGCCGCTGCTCACTGACCTCTACCAGGCCACCATGGCGTTGGGCTATTGGCGCGCGGGCCGGGCGCGGGACGCCGCCGAGTTCGAGCTCTTCTTCCGCCGCTGCCCGTTCGGCGGCGCCTTCGCCTTGGCCGCCGGCTTGCGCGACTGTGTGCGCTTCCTGCGCGCCTTCCGCCTGCGGGACGCCGGTAGTCCCCCGTCCGCGCGACGAGCCCCCCACGCCCGGCAGAAACCCCCACCTATGGCCGGTGGAAGTCCTTGTCCCCCCGTGGAACCCCCCATGTCCCACGACCGGTCTGTCCCCGCGCTGGTCTCAGCGCAGTTACCTCGTTTCCAGACGTGCAGTTCCTGGCCTCGGTGCTGCCCCCAGACACGGATCCTGCGTTCTTCGAGCACCTTCGGGCCCTCGACTGCTCCGAGGTGACGGTGCGAGCCCTGCCCGAGGGCTCCCTCGCCTTCCCCGGAGTGAGTAGGGGTAAGCGGGCGGCGCGGCGGCCACGGGGTGCTGGGCCGAGCGCGGAGCTGACTTCTCTCCCCGCAGGTGCCGCTCCTGCAGGTGTCCGGGCCGCTCCTGGTGGTGCAGCTGCTGGAGACACCGCTGCTCTGCCTGGTCAGCTACGCCAGGTGGGCTGCGGGCCACTGGCAGGGAGCGTGGGCATGGGATGGGCCCCCAGCGCCGGGGCTCCGTGCTGGACTGTGGCGGCGGGGCTGGCTGCCCAGGGGTCCCAGGACTGGCCTCCCGCCCCCACTCTTCAGGGTGTAAGGAGGGGCTGGGTGAGGGTGGAGCTCCCAGGTTGGAAGTTCCAGGCCCCAGGTAACCGCCGTCTTGGGTGGCCTAGTGATCCTCACCCTGGGACCCCCTGACTCTTGGCTCCCCACAGCCTGGTGGCCACCAACGCAGCGCGGCTTCGCTTGATCGCAGGGCCAGAGAAGCGGCTGCTAGAGATGGGCCTGAGGCGGGCTCAGGGCCCCGATGGGGGCCTGACAGCCTCCACCTACAGCTACCTGGGCGGTGAGTGTCTGGTGCGGGGCAAGGCAAGGGCCGGGAAGGAGGAGCCCCATCTTGGCCCGAGGTCCCCCAATCCCACCGCCTTCCTCCCCAGGCTTCGACAGCAGCAGCAACGTGCTAGCGGGCCAGCTGCGAGGTGTGCCGGTGGCCGGGACCCTGGCCCACTCCTTCGTCACTTCCTTTTCAGGCAGCGAGGTGCCCCCTGACCCGGTCAGTCCCTCCTCTAAACCCTGCTGTCTCCAGGCGACAGGCCCCAAGCCAGCCCTTGCCCTGGCGAGAGGTGTGCCACCCAGGCAGGTCACCCCAGTGCTGTCCCAGGAAGCTGGCACGGGCTGCATTACCTTTGCTCTCAAACTAGGGTGTCCCTGGCTGCTCCCAGGCCTCATCCTGCATTCCTGGCCCCCATTCTTCACCGACTCTGTTCCACAGATGTTGGCGCCAGCAGCTGGTGAGGGCCCTGGGGTGGACCTGGCGGCCAAAGCCCAGGTGTGGCTGGAGCAGGTGTGTGCCCACCTGGGGCTGGGGGTGCAGGAGCCGCATCCAGGCGAGCGGGCAGCCTTTGTGGCCTATGCCTTGGCTTTTCCCCGGGCCTTCCAGGGCCTCCTGGACACCTACAGCGTGTGGAGGTGAGCCCGGGCACTTTAGGGGTGGGCTCAGCAGAACCTCAGCAGCCTCTGACTCCCTTATCTATTTCTGCAGGAGTGGTCTCCCCAACTTCCTAGCAGTCGCCCTGGCCCTGGGAGAGCTGGGCTACCGGGCAGTGGGCGTGAGGCTGGACAGTGGTGACCTGCTACAGCAGGCTCAGGAGATCCGCAAGGTCTTCCGAGCTGCTGCAGCCCAGTGAGTTTCCCGGGGAGGAGGTGTGCCTGGTGGGAGATCCCCGGGGTTTGGGAATGGGCAGGGAAGGACAGTGAGGTACTCTGCTGAAGTTTCAGCGGTGATACTGCAGGCCGTGGCAGGGAAGTAAGTGGTGGGGCTCCCTAGGAGCTCCCAAGCAGAAGGTGAGCACAGGTGTCCTTGACTGAGGCGGGGCGGGGAGCAGGGGGACACCAGGGTGAATCAGGAAGACCCGAGGGGTGGCCCCCACCCTTTCTCCACCCACGCGGCAGGTTCCAGGTGCCCTGGCTGGAGTCAGTCCTCATCGTAGTCAGCAACAACATTGACGAGGAGGCGCTGGCCCGACTGGCCCAGGAGGTGGGGTGGATGAGTGGGTAGGCGGAGGGTGGCTGGGGGGCTCTGGGGGCCCCTGCAGGTTCTGGCTGGGCTCATTGCCACCTCCTTCCCCGCCCAGGGCACTGCCACCCCCTTCCCCACCCAGGGCACTGCCACCTCCTTCCCCCACCCAGGGCACTGCCACCCCCTTCCCCACCCAGGGCACTGCCACCCCCTTCACCCAGGGCAGTGCCACCTCCTTCCCCACCTAGGGCACTGGCACCTCCTTCCCCACCCAGGGCACTGCCACCCCCTTCCCCACCCAGGGCAGTGCCACCTCCTTCCCCACCCAGGGCAGTGCCACCCCCTTCCCCACCCAGGGCAGCTGGGCTCACGGCCACCCCCTTCCCCACCCAGGGCAGTGAGGTGAATGTCATTGGCATTGGCACCAGTGTGGTCACCTGCCCCCAACAGCCTTCCCTGGGTGGCGTCTATAAGGTAGGGACAGTGTCGGGGGCCCAGGTGGGGGCAGGTCTGAGGGATGGTGCTGGGTGGGGGATAAGGACCAGCCAGCTCAACGCCCTCTTCCTGCAGCTGGTGGCCGTGGGGGGCCAGCCACGAATGAAGCTGACCGAGGACCCCGAGAAGCAGACGTTGCCTGGGAGCAAGGCTGCTTTCCGGCTCCTGGGCTCTGACGGTGAGGCCCTCCCATCCCCCCTGCTGTCCACCTTCAAAGCACCAGGGCCCCCGCTTATTCTTGCCCCGTCCACACAGGGTCTCCACTCATGGACATGCTGCAGTTAGCAGAAGAGCCAGTGCCACAGGCTGGGCAGGAGCTGAGGGTGTGGCCTCCAGGGGCCCAGGAGCCCTGCACCGTGAGGCCAGCCCAGGTGGAGCCACTACTGCGGCTCTGCCTCCAGCAGGGACAGGTGGCTGCCCCACCGCCCTCATCCTGACCCCCAGCCCCGGTAGAGCCCTGACTGGGAGCTAGCCCCAAGCTTCTCTTTCCTTACCTCCTCCCTGCAGCTGTGTGAGCCGCTCCCATCCCTGGCAGAGTCTAGAGCCTTGGCCCAGCTGTCCCTGAGCCGACTCAGCCCTGAGCACAGGCGGCTGCGGAGCCCTGCACAGTACCAGGTTGGGGGGAGGCCCACCCTGTCATTCTGCCCTGTGCGCCCCCGCCCTCACCCTGCCCACCGCTCCTGTCCTCTGCTCCCTGCAGGTGGTGCTGTCCGAGAGGCTGCAGGCCCTGGTGAACAGTCTGTGTGCGGGGCAGTCCCCCTGAGACTCGGAGCGGGGCTGACTGGAAACAACACGAATCACTCACTTTTCCCCACAGCTTGTCCTGTGTTGTTTGTGTCGTTTGTTCACCCAGCCCACGGGCTGCGCCTCCCGGGCTGCGGCTGGGCTGGAGTCGGGAATCTGAGCTCGAGGTAGCAGGAAGATTTGCATCCCAGTGAAAGCACAGGCCCTGCCGGCGTGGGAGACAGCCCTGTGCTGAAGCCCGAAGGGCAGTGAGGAGTTCCCCGGCTTTGGGTAGGCTGTGGGGAGTCAGATCCCACACTAGAACTACAAAGCCACAGGCAGGGAGGGCTTTGGTGTCTGCCTTGGAGTTGAGGGAGTTGCTGCAGACCTTTCCTTGCTAGAGGCAGGCTGGGGACAGGACAGGGTTGGGGGTAGTGCCAGGTAAGAGGGTCCAGCCGTGGCCCTGGGCTCCCACGCCTGCCTAGGCACTGCCCCCCAGGCTCAGGGTCAGTGAAGACGTCTCAAACTCCCCAAGTCAAAAGGGAGTGCTCAGGTGTCTCCTGCCACTGCTGCTGCCAACCCAGCACCACCCTGGCATCTGGCGTCAGGGACACAGCTCCTGACCCAGCAGCCCACGGAAGGAGAGGAAGAATGGGGAAGAAGTTGAAGCTCCAGGAGATGACTCAGCCCCAGACACCTGGCCAGAGTGGCACTGCACGTGGCTGTGCTGGGCTGGCCCTGCCTCTGCACCAGCAAGTTCCTGATCTCAGGGTTCCGCCAGTTTGGGCAACGTGAGCTTCAAGAGGAACTGCTTGGGGGAGAGGTTCTAGGCTTGGCAGGAAGTGGAGGCTGGGGGCCTGGGCCTCTCTTGTCGAAGCAGCCTGAGGTGGCACAGACAGGCAAGGGTGTGGGGGGAATGCTGACCGCCTGGGGCACTTCCGTCTGCCCAGGCATTCCACCAGACCAGCTCACCTGGCTCCCCGGGCTTCAGGGTGGGCAGCACCACTGTGTGGTTGGCTGAGGGTGGAGGGTGGGGACTTGGAGCAGAGGCCCAGTCCAGCCAGCCCCGGGGAGTACGAGCTAGGAGAGAGATACAGACTCACACACATTGGACAGAACACACCACACCCCAGGCACCCCCAGGGCACCCGCGCACTCCGAGGGGCCCAGCCAGAGTGGCTGTATTCTTCCGTTCTTGCACTGCTGTAAAGAAATACCTGAGACTGGGTAATTTCTAAGGAAGAGAGGTTTAATTGGCCTGTGGTTCTGCAGGTACAGGAAGCATGGCTGGGGAGGCTTCAGGAAACTTACCATCTTGGTGGAAGCGGAAGCGGGCAGGTCTTACATGGCCGGAGGAAGGGGTGGGGCGGTGCCACGCACTTCCAGACAACCAGATCTTGAGAAGTCTTATCATGGGAACAGCACCAAAGGGGGAAGTTGCCCCCAGGATCCAATCACTTCCCACCAGGCCCCACCTCCAGCACTGGGGATTACGTTTCAACATGAGATTTGGCCAAGGACCCAGGACCCAGAGGGGCCTGCACAAGCTCTGGAGGGGCCACCGCTCCTCTGGTGTCTTCACTGCCCCCTCCACACCTCCGGGCTGCCCCAAGCTCACCCAGTCATGCCTGTTGCAAGGTGTCTGACAGAGCCAGCGTGCAGGGGGCGGAGCCAGCGTGCAGGGGGCGGGGCCAGCCCCTAGCCCCAGGCCCAGTGGGGAGCTGACTGCTGCTTGGGGGCTGAATCAGGCCTCGACTCAGGGTGGGGCCCAGACTCCTGGACCCTGCGAGGACCTCCTCAGAGCTGTCCACAACTGCCCTGAGCTCCCTGGTCAACAGGGGCTGGTAGTCAGGGTGGGGGCCCTTCTCCCCCTTTCTTCGTGGATCTGCCAGCTCTTGGGGATCCTGTTCTCAGGGCCCTGGTGGGTAGAGCCACACCACAGGCACTCAGGCTGCAGGTGGCCACTCCCCTCCAGCAGCCCAGGCAGGAGGGCCCCTCAAAGGCCCATTGTAGGCACGTCCGTGTGGCTCCCCAGCCCCCGCAAGCTCACGCTAGCGCACGCCACCACGCCCGTCCGTGGTCCCGCCCGGGGCGGCTTCTAGGTCAGTCCTGGGCACAACTTCGCAGGAGGAGCAGCGGCAGGTGCTGCAGGCAAGGGCCGCCATGGCTGGGGGTGTGTGGGGCCGGAGCCGGGCCCGGGAGGCTCCCGTGGGGGCTCTAACCCTGACAGCACTGACTGAAGGAATCCGGGCCAGGCAGGGGCAGCCCCAGGGACCCCCTTCCGCAGGCCCTCAGCCCAAGTCCTGGGAGGTCAAACCTGAGGCTGAGCCACAGACCCAGGCACTCACCGCCCCCTCTGAGGCAGAGCCTGGACGTGGGGCCACCGTCCCTGAAGCTGGCAGCGAGCCCTGCTCCCTCAACAGTGCCCTGGAACCAGCCCCTGAGGGGCCCCACCAGGTGACGGGGGAGGGAAGGGATGTTGTGCGAACCGGCCTGGGGGTCCTGTGGATGGTAGGTGGAAGGCGGGGTGGCAGGGGGGCGGTGCTGGCCCCGGGGGAGGTCAGCGTGAAACAGGCTGGTGAGCAACAGAGGAGCAAGGGATTTTGTAGGAAGCCAGGTGGGAGGCCGAGGGACCAGGAGGAGAGCTAGGAGAGGTTTGGGCACTTCAGACGCCCCACCCATCCTGCCCTAGGTTCCCCAGAGTTCCTGGGAGGAGGGAGTTCTTGCCGACCTCGCGTTGTACACGGCTGCCTGCCTGGAGGAGGCTGGCTTTGCAGGGACCCAGGCGACAGTGCTCACCCTGTCCTCAGCCCTGGAGGCCCGGGGCGAGCGGTTGGAGGACCAGGTCAGCCTTCACCCACTTCATGCCCTACAGAATCCTGCCGGTTCGGGCACCAAGGTGGTGGGAGGGGCCTGGAGAGCGCAGCCTGACCCTGCCATCTTCAGGCTGCTCCTGCCAGGCGGGATCAGGGTGGGGGTGGAGGTGGGGTGCAGGCCAGAGGGGAATGGACGGTGGAGGAGGCCTGACTGCTGAAGTCTGCCCCCTTCCCCACCAGGTGCATGCTCTGGTGCGTGGGCTGCTGGCGCAGGTGCCCAGCCTAGCGGAGGGGAGGCCCTGGAGGGCGGCCCTGCGAGTGCTGAGCGCACTGGCCCTGGAGCATGCGCGGGACGTGGTGTGTGCGCTGCTACCCCGCTCTCTGCCCGCCGATCGGTAACCCAACCGTCCTGGCCCTGCGGTCCCCACGCGGCTTCCTTCCCTCTTCCCGCTTGGCGGTGGAGTCTGGCCCCAGAAGAGGGAGCTGAAAAGGGGCAGGGCCTCCTTATTCCAGCCCCGCGATGACTCATGCCCCGTATCCATTCCCGCTCCCCTCATTTTTAGCTCCGCAAACTCCCCCCACACTCCTGCCACAGAGTTTCTGATGCTGGGCTCCTCTCTTGGAGCCACCTTCTATCTTCGGGTGGCCTCCCCTGGAGACCGTCCTGGGGTTGGCTCCGGAGTGGGGTGAATGAGGCTGGGGGGCTAACGTGCCTGGACACCCCTGGCTCTTTGGTTAATTGGCCCCAGAAGTTATCTTTGGTTTTATTCTCTGTGGCAATTTTTTTCTTTTTAATAATGCCAGGTTTGTTTCACTGTCGCTGACCCAACGGGACTCCCAGTGGGTCCCCACCCTGCAGCTCAGCTTGAGATAGGCTATGTTGTGGTCTGCACAATTAACCCTTCATTTGTTTCTCTGAGATTTGGGGATGGGGGGAGATGGGAGGGGTTTCCTGCCCCTCCCCTGCTGGAGTCCTACTGGCTGCCTCCACCCTGGCTGGGGACTCCCTACATTCCCTGGACACCCACCCATCTCTTGTCTCACACCAGCCCCCTCCAAACCCTCAGGGTAGCAGCCGAGCTCTGGCGCAGCCTAAGCCGTAACCAGCGTGTAAATGGGCAGGTGCTGGTGCAACTGCTGTGGGCGCTGAAGGGTGCTTCGGGGCCGGAGCCCCAGGCACTGGCGGTAGGTGGCTCCAGCCATTACCAGGGGGTGGGGGCGGGGGTGGGGGGTGGCGAGGAGCGGGGAGGATGGGCATAGGGAGTTTGCACCTAGGTAACTGCTCCTGGAATGTCCCATGCGTGTCTGAGGCTGTCCCCATCCTGTTGACAGCACGCCTGTCCCTCTGCTGCCCAGTGCAGCTCCAGGCGTGCCCCAGGCCTGAGTGGGCCACTTGCTCCACAGGCCACACGTGCTCTTGGGGAGATGCTGGCTGTTTCGGGCTGCGTGGGAGCCACGAGGGGCTTCTACCCACATCTGCTGCTTGCGCTGGTCACACAGCTGCACAAGCTGGCCCGCAGCCCGTGCTCCCCCGACATGCCCAAGATTTGGGTTCTGTCCCACCGAGGGCCACCACATAGCCATGCCAGGTGAGAGGCAACACCAGGTTACGTGGGGCGGGCCAGCATGCTGTCACCCTCTCAGCTCCCACTGCCCACCTGCTCACTGTCCCCACCACCAGCTGTGCTGTGGAGGCCTTGAAGGCGCTGCTCACCGGGGATGGAGGCCGCATGGTGGTCACGTGCATGGAGCAGGCAGGAGGCTGGAGGAGGCTGGTGGGAGCCCACACCCACCTGGAGGGCGTCCTGCTGCTGGCCAGGTGAGGAGGGTGAGGAGGGGCCCCAGGGTGTCACACCAGGAAGAGAGTCGTTGCTGGCCAGGTGCTGGGCAGGGGGACAGGGAAAAGGCAGGGGCATGAGGGTGGTGTTGGGATGGGGTCTTCTCGAGGAGAAAGGCCGCCAAACGGAGCGAGAGCTCCCATTTCCACCCACCCCAGTGCTATGGTGGCACATGCCGACCACCACCTGCGAGGCCTCTTCGCAGACTTGCTCCCTCGGCTTCGCAGCGCGGACGACCCGCAGCGTCTCACGGCTATGGCCTTCTTCACAGGGGTGAGCCTGCTTCCCGGATGGGTGGTGAAGGGTGACCCTGGACTTGATCCCTGAATCGCAGCGGCCTGCACGGGGACCGCGGGCGTGCTGACCCCATGTGCCTCGCCTAGCTGTTGCAGAGCCGGCCCACCGCACGGCTCCTGCGGGAGGAGGTCATCCTGGAGCGACTCCTCACCTGGCAGGGAGACCCCGAACCCACTGTGCGCTGGTTGGGCCTGCTGGGCCTGGGCCACCTCGCGCTGAATCGCAGGAAGGTGTGAGAGAAGGGGAGGGGTGGAGAGGGGCTTGGCCCGGTCGCGGCGAGGTCTGCAAGAGGCTGACCCCGAGTCCCAGCAGGTGCGGCACGTGAGCACGCTGCTGCCGGCGCTCCTGGGCGCACTGGGCGAAGGCGACGCGCGGCTCGTGGGTGCAGCGCTGGGCGCCCTGAGGAGGCTCCTGCTGCGGCCCCGGGCGCCTGTGCGGCTCCTGAGCGCGGAGCTGGGACCGCGCCTCCCTCCGCTACTGGACGACGTGAGCAAACGCCCCGCCTCCGGGTCCCGCCCCTGCCGCTGTCACCGCCCCCGCCCTTCCAGTCTCTCCCTCCCAGGCCCCGCCCCCGTCTCTCCCGCCCAGGCCCCGCCCTCTCAGGCCCCGCCCCGCCCTTCCAGTCTCTCCCTCCCAGGCCCCGCCCCCAGTCTCCCTCCCAGGCCCCGCCCCGCCCCTCCTGTTTCTCCCTCTCATGCCCCGCCCCGCCCCTACAGTCTCTCCCTCCCAGGCCCCGCCTCCCAGGCCCCGCCCGCCCCTCTAGTTTCTCCTTCCCATGCCCCGCCCCCCAGTCTGTCAGTCTGTCCCTCCCAGGCCCTGACCTCCCAGGCTCCGCCCCGCCCCTCCAGTTTCTCCCTCCCAGGCCCCGTCCCCCCAGTGTCTCCGTCCCAGATTTCTTCCCTCCTGACCGCCCCCGCCCCTCCCGCCTGCTGTCGCCCAGCTCCGCCCCTCCAGGGCCGTGTCCCGCCAAGCTCCTCCCCGCTCGACTTTTCCTTCCGGACCCCATCCCTTCAAGCCCCACCCCCTGCAGGGGCTCTCCAGGCTTCCCAACCAGGTCCAGCTCCAGGCCCTGTTCCCTGTCCCCAGATCACACCGAGTCAGCAGCCTTCCCTAGACCCGCCGCTTCCTCGCTCCGCGCTGGCCGCCCCCTCCCACCCTTGCAGCCCCTCTCTGTCTCCGCCTGCCCTGACTGCGCCCTCCCACGCAGACACGGGACTCAATCCGCGCCTCGGCCGTCGGGCTCCTTGGGACTCTGGTGCGCCGGGGCCGGGGCGGGCTCCGGCTGGGGCTCCGCGGCCCCCTGCGGAAGCTGGTGCTGCAGAGTCTCGTGCCGCTGCTGCTGCGCCTGCATGACCCCAGCAGGGACGCTGCTGAGGTCAGCAGCCCCCGACACCATCCCACCCCTATGCCATCCAACACTCACCACTCCCACCGTGCCTCCCCTCCGACAATTACAGGTCAGGGACTCACCCATCCCAAGGACCTCAGTGGCAGGTGTGACGGGCGGCCAGGTTACTACTGCTCTTCCCTTGAGCAGAATCAATCCAGTCTCCTGCCCTGGGCTCTTCTGCCCCTCACCCGATGCCCTTGCTCCCCCTCTTCCCACCCCACCTTTTGCCTTTCTACTTCCTGGACCCCTGACCCGGCTCACTTCCCCTATCCCAGAGCTCAGAGTGGACC